>NC_000010.11:98779458-99082489 GCF_000001405.40 Homo sapiens | reverse complement strand
CCATGAACTTCTAAGAAAGCAGTAGCAACAGACAGATTGTCCAACGTTCAGAAGCTTAACTGGGGTGCTCAGCCTTAACAAAGATATGAAAGAGTCTGTGCAGCAACTTTTTCACTCCATGTCTCAGTTTGCTATTGTGCTCATGCATTATTCCATTGTAATTATCTTTGAGGTCTTTTGGGAACTTTCCAGCTGATTGTACAGCAAGTGCTTCAACTTTCTAGTATATGTGTATTTTAGAATTTTGTTTTTTCTGATCGGTTTAGATTTAGGGTTAGGGTGAAGTTTTCTTCTCATTGACGCGGTGACCACATGTAGCAGGCCCCTACCCTTTCTTTGCCATCTCTGCCCCTTTATAAATTCGTGTGCAGCAGCTTTTATAGACTGTAAATGACAGATTATGTCATTGCTTTTAGTCATCTGAAGAGCTTTGAAAGAAGGATTAACCGTGGTACAATTTAAAAGGAAACACATTTTAGTTCACTGTGTAGAAGGGTTTTGCAATAAAGCTGTCTGAAAATGAATTGGTAGCTTTAAGAAATTGTATCATCATCGGCTGGGCGGGGTGGCTCACGCCTGTAATTCCAGCACTTTGGGAGGCCCAGGCGGGCGGATCACGTGGTCAGGAGATTGAGACCTTCCTGGCTAACACAGTGATACCCTGTCTCTACTAAAAATACAAAAAATTAGCCAGGCATGGTGGCGGGGGCCTGTAGTCCCAGCTACTCAGGAGGCTGAGGCAGGAGAATGGCGTGAACCCGGGAGGCGGAGGTTGCAGTGAGCCGAGATCACGCCACTGCACTCCAGCCTGGGTGACAGAGCGAGATTCCGTCTTTAAAAAAAAAAATAAAAAGAAATTATATTATCTCATCATCATCATCATCATCATCATCATCATCATCATCATCTTTAGTAGTAGTAGAATAGCACTCTAGTAGCTTCTTGAGCTACTAGTGAGTGCCGAGTATATCCAGATACTCTGCTAAGGGCTTTAAAGACATTATTTTTAATCTTTAGCACATCCTATAAAATATCATTATTCCTGTTTTGCAGATGAGGCACCTGAGACTTAGAGAGTTTGTGAGTTCTCAATTCAGCATATAGGCTAAATGATAAATGGCAATCTTGTAAAGTGATTGAAACATTACATGGGAGAAGATGGACTACTATCCATCTTTATATTGTGCAATGCAAGTTTTAAATACAAACAAAAGAGCATTTAACTTATATGTGGAACCACAGGATTTTATAGTTCATACATGCATATGTATTTCTTTCTTACCAGAACAATGGAAATGCTGTGCAAATTTAACAGTTTTTTACTTTACCTTCGGATGTTTGCACACTCTACCAACATTCTCTACTTTTGGTTTACTCATGAATAAGGAAGGCCTGAGGCCGGGTGTGGTGGTTCACCCCTGTAATCCCAGCACTTTGGGAGGCCGAGGTGGGTGGATCACGAGGTCAGGAGTTTGAAACCAGCCTGGCCAACATGGTGAAACCCCGTCTCTACTAAAAATACAAAATTTAAAATTTTAGAATTCAAGAAACATAGCTTCAAATATTCTACAGTCAGCATTATATAAGAGATAGGTACTTATTCCAAATAAACTGAACCAACATGTGTCTGTAAGAGGAATTTTGGCCTATAAAAGTGAAAAAAAACCTCATTGTATATGCTAAGAGAATGCATTTGGCAAGAGCATTGGCTTTAGTGGAAACTGATAGAGCTGATTTATATAAAGCATCTTTAACCCATCTGCCACTTGAATGATGGCTTCTGACTCAGTCTTCTTATTTCAAAGGATACCATTTGAGTATTGTCTTAAATCTCAAAGAGCACTTGTAAAACAGCACTTTGATTTGCTAAGTGGAACTAAATCAGAAACATGTAGACTTGGCATCCCTAAGATTTACAAAAGGAGCAGTGTCAGGGTAATGCCAAGTAAAACAATGTGATAAATTCTAAGTATTATTTTCTCACATACCTAAGACTACAAGGTTCGAGGCATTCCAGTGTCAATGCCAGAGATGCCCTCACCCTGATAAGACCTATGGCTTTAAGAAGGAAATGTACCATGGTATTTGACTCCAAAGCCATTTCCCCCACATGCCATAGCCTTGTTTATATTGTTTACTAGATAGTTAAGAAGCAATGAGAGCACTTTTTGTTGCTATTATTGGTTTTTTTTGGCTAAGATAATTCAAACTAGGCTCATTAAAGTAGTGTCCACAAGGAATATTAGGCCAACAACTTAAAACTCAAACAGAATTTTTTTAAATAAGACATTATTGAGCAAGGATGAAGGATAGGAAGCTCTAGACTCTCCTTTCCTGCACAAACACATCTGTTTAACAGCAAAACATGGACAAGTTTCTTTTTTGAGACATCCAAAAACTAATTGAGAGGCTTTTATATCCTGGGTGAGTGTGAAACCAGCCACATTAAAACTGGTATTGAAATTCAGGATACCCTTTCACAAGAATTGCTACCCTGGCACAGTACCATACAATCAGAAAGAAACCTCCTAATTCTCAGCTTCTCCTTGGGAATGGAAAGAGTTGGACCACGTATCTAATACTCCAACTTTTTTGGGGACTTCTGAGAAGACTGCTATATGTCTTGAGTGTCTTGGAGTGCTGACAGGACCTGGCATACTTTAGCTGCTTGGGCACCAGTTTGGACTGAGTGTCACTATAGCCCATGCCCCCAACTCAGCACAAAGTGAATGGATGAATAAACCCAGCTCCCAAACTTTTCCTGGTGAGAAAATGAGTTGGACCACACATCCAATGCCTCAACTTCTCTGGAGGTGCACTAAAGACTAGATCCTGTTTTGCCTGTTATGGGATGCTGACAGGTCCTGGCATATTATAGCAGCCTTGGAACCAGTGAGATCAGACGTGGTGGTTTAGGCTGGCGTTTACCATAACCCCCAATCCCAGCTCAGCACAGAGTGAATAGGTGAATAACTCCAGATCCCGGCTTCTCCCTTGGATGAGATAGAGTTTGACCATGTGTCCAATACCCCAACTTGCTTGTGGACTGCCCAAAGGACTACCATCTGTCTTGCCTGCTCAGAGTGCTGATGGGACCTGGCATACTCTAGCCACTTGGGGCCAGTGAGAACCGAGGTGGAGGTTTGGCGGTTGTCATAGCTCCTTCCCCTGGCTCTACACAGAGCAAGCAGATGAATATACCCTAGTTCCCAGCTTCCCTCTGGGGAGGGAAAGAGCTGGATCACACATCCAATGCCCCAACTTCTCTGTGGGCTGCCAAAGAATGATTTCTTTCTTGCCTCTTGTGGGGAACTAAGGGACCCAGCATACTTTGCTGCCTGGGGACCAGTGCAGACAAAGACTGTGGTTTGAACTAGCACACTCTCATAGCCGCTTTCCATGACTCAATACGGAACAAATGGGCAAAAAATCCTGCATCCCAGATTTTTCTTGGGGAGGAAACGAGTTGGATAGAACATCCAAAGATCCAACTTTTCCAGAGGCTGCCTAAGAGACTGGATTCAGTCTCGTTTATCTTGGAATGCTGACTGGACCCAGCATAATCTTGATGCCTAAGGGTGGCTAAGAGCAAAGAAAGCAGGTTGAACCAGGACACAGGTTTGAAAAGTCCCCAGAATTTCTAGCTAGGCTGATTGAAGAGGGCCTTTACCTATACAAGGCCAGTCTGTGAAAGGTAACTGTTCTCTAATGCACAGATACCATCACAAATAATCAAGGAAAATAAAAAAACAAGGATATATGTCCCACACAAAGGAATAAAGTAAATTTCCTGAAAACAACTGTAATGAATTGGAGATACAGTGTTGGCCCTCCATATCTGTGGGTCCTGCATCCATGGATTCAACCAATGACAGATCAAAAATATTTTTTAAAAATTTATATCCCAAGGCTCAGCATCATGCAATATATGCATGTTTAAAGTAAAAAAAAATGCATCTGTATTGAACATATGCAGACTTTTTTGGGGTTATTATTCCCTAAATAATATAACAACTGTCTACATAGCATTTACATTGTATAGGTATTATAAGTAATCTAGAGATGATTTAAAGTACATGGGAGAATATGCATAGATTATATGCAAATACCATCCCATATTATATTAGAGACTTGAGCATCCATGGATTTTGGTATCTGTGGAAGGTCCTGGAATCAACTCCTGATGGAAAATCCAGGGATGACTGTATATGACTTACCTGAATTCTCTGACAGATAATTCAAAATAATCATAATGATGATTGTGTTGGTCTATTTGTGTTACCATAAAGGAATAGCTGACTGGGTAATTTATAAAGAAAAGATGTTTTATTTTGGCTCATGGTTTTGTGGGCTGTACAGGAAGCATGGTGTTAGTATCTGCTTCTGGTGAGAGCCTCAGGAATTTTCCATTCATGGTGGAAGGTGATAGGGGAGCAGGCCCATATCACATGGAACGGGAGCAAGACAGAGAGAGGGAGAAGTGTCACACTCTTTTACATAACCAGATCTTGTGTGAACTGAGAGCAAGAATTCACTCATTACTGTGAGTAGGGCATGAAGCCACTCGTGAGGGATCCACCTCCATGACTCAAACACCTACTACCAGGCCCCACCTCCAACAGTGGGGATTTCATTTCAACATGAGATTTGGAGGTGACAAACATCCAAACCATATCATGATCAATGAAATCAGGAGAACAATGTATTAACAAAGTGAAAATTTCAACATAGATAAATTTGTGTGTGTGTAGTACACACACACACACACATATATATACACACATACACATATATCTGAAATGGATATATATGGATATTTATACACCTGTATATATTTAATGGATCTAAATATGAAATGGATGTGTGTATATATATGAAGTCGATACACACACATATACACATACACACACATACACTCACACACAGCCCCAAACAAATCTTGAAACTGAAGAATAGAATAATTGAACTAAAAAATTCAATGGGAGGTTGAATAGCAGACTAGATCAATCAGAAGAAAGGATCAGTAAACTCGAAGACAAATTACCAGAAATTATTCAGTCAGATGAACAAAAAGAAAAACAAGTGAAAAAGAATGAAGAAAGCTTAAGAGACTTATGGAACTCCATGAAAGCAGACCAAGAGACATATTATGAATGTTCCTGATGGAGAAGAGGTGGAGAAAGGGGGAAGAAAGCTTATTCAAAGAAGTAATGGCTGAAAACTTTTCAAATCTGGTAAAGAAACTTGACATCCAGATCCAGGAGCCCTAACAGACCTCAAATAAAATGAATCCAAAGACATCCACACCAAGACACAATGTAGTCAAATTGTCAAAAATCAAAGAGAAAGAGAACCTTTTGAAAGCAGTAAGAGAAGAACAATTTGTCATATACAAGAAAACCCTCATAAGACTACAGTGTATTTCTCAGCAGAAACCCTGCAGGCCAGAAGGAAAAGGGATGATATATTCAAAGTGCTGAAGGAAACAAAAAGGCCAACCAAGAATCGTATACCTGGCAAAATTGTCCTTCAATAATGATGGAGATAAAGACTTTCTCAGGTAAACAAAAGCTGAGAGAGTTCTTTGCGACCCAGACCTGCCTTAAAAGACTTATTAAAGGGAGTTCTTTAAGTGAAAACAAAAGGACACCTAACAGTAATACAAAAGCATAGGAAAATGTAAAATTTGCTAGTAAAGGTAAATATATAGATAAATACAGAATAATGCAATATTGTAATGGTGGTAGGTAAGTCACTTTTAACTCTAGTGTAAAAGCTAAAAGACAAAAGTATGAAAAATAGAGTCAGGCATGGAGGCTCACACCTGTAATCCCAGTACTTTGGGAAGCCGAGGCAGACAGATCACCTGAGACCAGGAATTCAAGACCAGCCTGACCAATGTGACAAAAGCCCGTCTCCACTAAAAATATAAAAGTTAGCCAGGTGTGGTGGCTCATGCCTGTGGTCCCAGCTACTGGGGAGGCTGAGGAACCAGAATTGCTTGAGCACAGAAGGCAGAAGTTGTAGTGAGCTGAGATCACACCACTGCTCTCCAGCCTGGGTGAGAAAGCAAAACTATGTATCAAAAAGAAAATATGAAAAATAACTATAAATATAAAAATGTGTGAATTGATACACAAAATAAAAAGATGTAAAGGGAGAAGTAAAAGTGTACAGGTTTTTCTGCAATCAAAGTTACATTATCAGCTTAAAACAGATTATTGTAACTATAAGATATTTTATGTAAGCTCCATGGCATTCACAAAGAAAACACCTATAGAAGATACACAAAAGAAAAAAAGAACCAAAGTATATCAATACAAAAAAAAATCAATGAAAAACAAGGGAAGACAGCAAGAGAGGAGAAGAGGGACAAAAGAATTACAAGACAAACAGAAAGCAATGAAAAAATTGAAAAAACAATGAGAAAAACCTATGAAAAAAATGGTCCTTTCCTATCAGTGGTTACATTACATGTAAGTGGTTTGAACTACTCAGTCAGAAGGTATAGTGTGGCTGAATGAATTAAAAAACAAGATCCAACTATATGTATTGTCTATAAGAAACTCATTTTAAATTGAAACACATACATAGGCTAAAAGTGAAGGGATAGAAAAATATATTCCATGTAAATGGTAACCAAAAGAGAGCAGAGTGGCTATATAAGACAAAATAGACTGTTAGTCATAAACTGTTACAAGAGACAAAAGATGTTATATAATAATAAAAGAGTAAATTCACCAAGAAGATATAAGAATTATAAATATATATGCACCCAACATGAGAGCACTTAAATATTTAAAACAAACATCGACAGAATTGAAGAGAGAAGTGGATGACAATCCTATAATAGTGGGACACTTCAGTATCCCACTTTCAATAATCAATAGAACATCCAGATAGAAATCAATAAGGAAACAGCTGACTTGAAAAACACTATAGACCAAATGGACGTAACACACATATATCAATTATTTAACCCAACAACAGAGGAATATATATTTTTCTCAAAGGTACCAAACATTCTCCAGGCTAGATAATATGTTTAGCCACAAATCAAGTCTTAGCAAATTTAGGAATGTTAAAATCATACCAAGTATCTTTTCTGATCACAGTGGAATGGAAATTAGAAATAAACAGTAGATGGGAAACTGGAAAATTCACAAACATGTGAAATTAAACAGCATACCCCTGAAGAGCTAATGGATCAAAGAAGAAATCATAAGGGAAATTAGAAAATATCTTGAGAGAAATGAAAATGAAAACACAACATACCAAACCTATAAGATGCAGCAAAAGTGATCCTAAGAGAAAAGTTGATAGTGATAAATGTCTGTATTAAAAAAGAAAGAGATCTCAAGTAACCTAACTTTATACCTCAAAGAATTAGAAAAAGAACAAACTAAGCCCAAAGGTAGAAAGGGAAGAAATAAAGATTAGAGCAGAAGTAAATGTAATAGAGAATAGAAGAGACCAACAAAACTAATAGTGGGTTTGTTTAAAAAGAGCAACAAAATCAACAAATCTTTAGCAAGATTAACCAAGAAAGGGGAGAGGGTTCAAATAAATAAAATTATAAATGATAGAGGAGACATTACAATTGATACCACAGAAATACAAAGAATCATAAGAGACTACTATGAACAATTACATGCCAACAAATTGAAAAACCTAGAAGAAATGGGCATATTCTTAGATATATCAGTCTACCAAGACTCACTCATGAAGGATTAGAAAATCTGGACGGGCCAATAATGAGTAAAGAGATTGAATCAGTAATCAAAAACCTCCCAACAAAAAGCCTAGTGCTAGGTAGCTTCACTGATGAATTCTACCAAACATTTAAAGAAGAACTAATACTGATCCTTCTCAAACTCGTCCAAAAACATTGAAGAGGAGGGAACACTTCCAAGTCCATTTATGAGGCTAGCATTACCCTGATACCAGAGCTATACAAAGACACTACAAGAAAAGAAAACTACTGGCCAATATCCCAGATAAACATAGATGCAAAAATCCTTAACAAAATACTAGCAAACTGAATGAAAGAGCACATTAATAGGAAAATACACCATGATTAGATGGGATTTTTCCCTGAGATGCAAGGATGATTCAGCTTACAAAAGTCAGTTAATGCAATATACCCCATAAACAGAATGAAGAATAAAAATCTCATAATTATCTCAATAGATGCAGAAAAAAAATTTGACAAAATTCAACACGCTTTTATGATAAAAACTCAATATATTAACTGGGAAAAGAAGGACATTACCTCAACATAATGGCCATATATGAAAAGCCCACATTTAACATTATATTTAATGGTGAAAAACTGAAAATTTTCCCTGTAGGATTGGGAACAAGGCATAATGCCAACTCACATCGCTTCTGTTCAAAATTATACTGGAAGTCCTAGCCAGAGCAAATAGGCAAGAAAAAGAAAAGTCAACCAAATCAGAAAGGAAGAAGTAAAAATTATTTCTGTTGGCAGATGACATTATCTTACATGTAGAAAATTAGAAGGATTCCACCAAAAAAAAAAAAAAAAAACTTTTGGAACTAATAAATGGATTGAGTAAAGTTTTAGGATTCAAAATCAACATATAAAAGTCACTTTTGTTTCCATACACTAACAATGAACTATCCAAAAAGGTATTAAGAAAACAATCCTACTTATGATAGCATCAAAAAGAATAAAATACATAGTAATAAACTTGACTAAGGAGGTGAAAAACTTGTACACAGAAAATGACAAAACATTGATTGCACAAATTTGACACACATACATGGAGAGACAGCTCGTGTTTATAGATTGGAAGACTGAATATTATTATTATTTTTTTAACCTTATTTTGTATTTTAAGTTCCAGGGTTCATGTGCAGATTGTGCAGGTTTGTTATATAGGTAAACGTGTGCGATGGTGGTTTGCCGCACCTATCAACCCATCACCTATGTATTAAGCCCAGCATGCATTAGCTATGTTGCCTAATGCTCTTCTTCCCCCACCCCACCCCCAACAGGCCCCAGTGTATGTTGTTCTCCTCCCTGTGTCCATGTGTTCTCATTGTTCAACTCCCACCTGTAAGTGAGAACATGTGGTGCTTGGTTTTCTGTTCCTGTGTTAGTTTGCTGAGGATAATGGCTTCCAGCTCCATCCATGTCCCTGCAAAGGACATGATCTTGTTCCTTTTTATGGCTGCATAGTATTCCATTGTGTATCTCTACCACATTTTCTTTGTCCAGTCTATCATTGATGGGCATTTTGAATGGTTCCATGTCTTTACTATTGTGAATAGTGCTGCAATGAACATACACGTGCCTTCATCTTTGTAATAGAATGATTAATATTCCTTTGGGTATATACCCAGTAATGGGACTGCTGGGGCAAATGGTATTTCTGGTTCTAGATCTTTGAGGAATTGCCACATCGTCTTCAACAATGGTTGAACTAATTTACATTCCCACCAACAGTGTAAAAGCATTCCTGTTCCTCTGCAACCTCTCCAGCATCTGTTGTTTCTTGTCTTTTTTTTTTTTTTTTTTTTTTTTTTTTTTTTTTTTGAGACGGAGCCTGGCTCTGTCACCAGGCTGGAGTGCAGTGGCGCAATCTCAGCTCACTGCAACCTCCACCTCCCAGGTTCAAGCAATTCTCCTGCCTCTGCCTCACAAGTAGCTAGGACTATAGGCGTGCACCACCACGCCCAGCTAATTTTTATTTTGTATTTTTAGTAGAGACAGGGTTTCACCATGTTGGCCAGGATGATCTCTATCTCTTGACCCTGTTATCCACCCGCCTTGGCCTCCCAAAGTGCTGGGATTATAGGCATGAGCCGCCATGCCCGGCTGACTTTTTTATAATTGCCATTCTGACTGGCATGAGATGGTATCTCATTATGGTTTTGATTTGCATTTCTCTAATGATCAGTGATGTTGAGCTTTTTTTCATATGTTTGTCAGCTGCATGAATGTCTTCTTTTGAGAAGTGTCTGTTCATGTCTCTTGCCCACTTTTTAATGGGGTTGGTTGTTCTTTTTCATGTAAATTTGTTTAAGTTTCTTGTTGATTCTAGATATTAGACCTTTGTCAGATAGATAGATTGGAAAATTTTTCTCCCATTCTGTAGGTTGCCTGTTTGCTCTGATGATAGTTTCTTTTGCTGTGCAAAAGCTCTTTAGTTTAATTAGATCCGATTTGTCAATTTTTGCTTTAGTTGCAAATTGTTTTTGGTGATTTTGTCATGAAATCTTTGCTGGCGTGTATGTCCTGAATGGTATTGCGTAGATTTTTGGAAGACTTCATGTTATTAAAATGTCCATACTACCCAATGCAGTCTCTACATTCAATTCTATCTCTATCAAAATCTCAGTGGAATTTTTTATTTACAGAAATAGACAAAACAATTCTTAAATCCATATGTAACCACAAAGGACCCTAAATAACCAAAACAATTAAAAAAAAAAAAACAAACAAAGTTAGAGGCAATCCACTTCCTGAATTCAAAATATATTATTACAAAGCTACTGGAATTAAATCAGTATGGTACTGGCATACAGACAGACATATACCAATGGAACAGAATTGAGAGCTCAGAAATAAACCCAGTTGACCCATTTACAGTCAACCTATCTTCAACAACTGTGCCAAGAATAGGCAATGAGGGAAAGATAGTCTCTTCAATAAATAGTGTTGGGAAAACTGGATATTCACATGCAAAACAATGAAATTGGACCCTTTTCTTACACGTGGACAAAAATTAATGCAAAGTAGATTAAAGATTTAAACATAAGATTTAAAACTGCATAACCACTAGGATAAAACATAGGAGGAAACCTTCATGTCATTGGCATTAGCGATGGTTTCTTGGATATGACACCAAAAGCACAGACAACAAAGTGTAAAGATGCTTAAAAACATTACTTATAAGGGAAATGCATGTCAAACTACAATGAGATAGAAATCACTTCATATCTGTTAGGATGGCCATTATAAAACAAACAAAAGATTAACAAATTCTGGCGAGAATGTGTAGAAATTGGAACCCTTGTACTCAGCTGGTGGGAATGTGAAATAGTTGCAGTCACTATGAAAGATATGACATTTCCTCAAAAAATTAAAAATAGGCCAGGCACGGCGGCTTATGCCTATAATCCCAGCAGTTTGGGAGGCTGAGGTGGGTGGATCACCTGAGGTCAGGAGTTTGAGAACAGCCTGGCCAACATGGCGAAACCCCATCTCTACTAAAAGTACAAAAATTAGCTGGGCGTGGTGGTGGGTGCCTGTAATCCCAGATACTCAGGAGGCTGAGTCAGGAGAATCGCTTGAACCTGGGAGGCAGAGGTTGCAGTGAGCCGAGATCATGCCTCTGCACTTCAGCCTGGGTGACAAGAGTGAGACTCCATCTCAAAAAAAAAAAAAAAAAGAATTAAAAATAGAAATACCATATTATCTAGCAATCCCACTTCTGCATACCTATACAAAATAATTGAGAACAGGATATTGAAGAGATATTTTCACTCCCACGTTTGTTGCAGCATTATTCACAACAACAGATGTGGAAACACTCTAAATGTCCATTGATGGGTAGATGAATGGACAAAGAATATGTAGTAAACATGTACAACGAAATATTATTTAGCCTTACAAAATAAGGAAATCTTGAAATATGCAGCAACATGGATGAAACTGGAGGACATTATGCTAAGTCAAATAAACCAGTCACAGAAAGACGAATACTGTATTATTCCACATGTACAAATTATCTAAAATAGCCAAACCAATGGAATCAGAAAATAGAATTGTGGCTGCCAAAGGCTGGGGGCCTGGGGTGGTAAATGGGGATCTGCTATCCAATGGGTATAAAATTTCAGTTATACAAGATGAATAAGTTCTAGGCATCTGCTGTACAACATTGTACCTGTAGTTAACAATACTGAATTATATACTTGATTTTTTAAAATGGTAGATGCCATGCTAAATGTTCTTACTACAATAAAAAAGAATTATCTTTTATCTCAATAGTCAAAGTATTTTACAAGTATTTTAATTTTTACCCTTTTTAGATCATAGGTAGTAGTATCTCACTGCAGTTTTAATTTGCATTTTACTAATGAATAACAGTGTTGAGCATCATATCATGTTTTATTTGCCATCAGTATATCTTCTTTGCAGAAGTGTATGTTCAAATATATTGTCCATTTAAAAAATTTGGTTGTTTACTAATTATTGAGTTTTGAGAGTTCTTCATATTGTAGATCCAAGTCATTTGTCAGATATGTGATTTGCAAATAATTTCTCCTAGTGTGGCTTGTCTTTTCATTCTGTGAATGTCCTTCAAGCAGCAGCAGTTCTTAATTTCGATGAAGTCTAGTTTATCAGTTTTTTTCTTTTGTGGATAATGCTTTTGGTGTTATTACATTCTTAATGCACAGAAAACCTTTTTAAAAAGCTTTTAGACACCTCTCTCTAAATTGCTCTGGACAACAGTGCTGAAAAACCTTGCTTTACTCTTTCCTCAAATTTCCTCAATGCCTAGATACGCAGACTCTTTTTGTTTCACTGCCCATATCCCACTTTCCCTCTCCTTGTTATGGACAAATTATCCCAATTTTAT
The DNA here is from genome assembly GCF_000001405.40 of Homo sapiens. Lineage (NCBI taxonomy): Eukaryota > Metazoa > Chordata > Mammalia > Primates > Hominidae > Homo > Homo sapiens. The sequence goes on along the minus strand of NC_000010.11, from coordinate 99,069,878 downwards.
TTGTTCAAGTAAGTATAGTTTTTTTTCATGTTACCATATGAGAAGCTGCTACTCTTACAGTGGTTGTCTGTGTAACCCTCTTTAGATAAGAACAAACACGAACAATGTGAGCATTAGATGAGATGATACATGAAAACACTGAGTACTAAGTAAATACTAGATGTGACTATTATCATTGCAATTTTATGCTGATTTTTAGCTAAATACTTTTCGTAACATCACTCACAACTGTGAAGAAGATTGAGTATTAGTACTGTATAGCTCTAACTGTAGTGAGCGTGTAACAAATGTAAATACATAAGAGGGAAGGAGAGAGGGAAGAAAAAGTATTTTTGTATTATATTCTTTAATATTTTATTTAAATTGGAAAATCACTTCTTTTCCATAGATGTAATAACCTGAAATATGAGATATGACCTAAACAAATAAGCACATCCAAAATCTATACAGTAATTTAAGAACTGCGAGGTCTAGCTCTCATGATTTGATTCCAGCATTGCACTGCAAGCCAAAACGTCCTACTATGTTACCTTATGGACTTTGAAGGTAGCTATTCTCAATTTCCCCATGATAATGGCCTTAAATATTTCAAGGACTTCTGAGATTCAGGTTGGTTCTAGAGCTTTCTTAACCTGTAGTTGGACAAAATTTCTAGCTTCCCAGATAGCCTTAAGAAACTCAGACTTATGAGAACCAGCTGAGTTCTACTCTTCTGGGTTTTGTTTCAACTGGGTTTAGAAGTACTCGCAGGGAAGTACTGAACTTATAGAATGAGTTGGGAAGTATTCCCTGCATCTTCAGTTACTGGAAGAGTTTGTGAAGGATTGGCATTATTTCTTCCTAAATGTTTAATAGAATTCACCAGTAAAGACAGCTGGGACTTGGCTTTTCTTTGAGTGAAGATTTTTAATTACTAATTTAATCTTTACTCATTATAGGTCTGTTCAATTTTTCTGTTTCCTTGAGCCTGTTTTGGTAATTTTTCTTTCTAGGAATTTGTTCATTTCACCCAAGTTGTCTAATTTATTGGCATAAATTTGTTCATAATACTCATTTACATTTTAAAAAATTTCTGTAGGATCAGTGGTGATGTGCCCTCTTTCATTCATGATTTTGATGATCTTTCCTCTCTTTCTTTTCATAGTGGATCTTGTTAAAAGTTTGACAATTTTTTGAACATTTTAGAGAAGCTTTTAATGTTTTGTTTTTCTGTTGCTTTTCTATTGTCCATTTAATTGATTTGCACTCTCGATATGGTTCAGCTGTATCCCTACACAAATCTGACCTTGAATTGTAATAATCCACATGTGGGGCCAGGTGGAGATAATTGAATCATGGGGGCAGTTTCTTCCACACTGTTCTCATGGTAGTGAATAAGTCTCACAAGATCTGATGGCTTTATAAATGGAACTTCTCCCGTACAAGCTCTCTTACCTGCTGCCATGTAAGATGTGACTTTGCTCCTCATTTGCCTTCTGCCATGATTGTGAGTCTCCCCAGCCACGTGGAACTGTGTCAATTAAACCTCCTTCCTTTGCAAATTACCATATGTCTTTATTAGCAACATGAGAACAGACTTAGACAGTAAATTGGTACCGAGTAGTGGGGCGCTGCTGTAAAAATACCTGAAAATGTGGAAGTGACTTTGGAACTGGGTAACAGGCAGAGACTGGAACAGTTTAGAGTACTCAGAAGACAGGAAGATGCGGGCAAGTTTGGAACTTCCTAGAAACTTGTTGAATGGCTTTGAGCAAAATGCTGATAGTGATATGGGCAAGAAGGTTCAGGCTGAGGTGGTCTCAGATGGAGATGAGGAACTTGTTGGGAACTGGAGTAAAGGTCACTTTTGCTATGCAAAGAGACTGGTGGCATTTTCCCCCTGCCTTAGAGATCTGTGGAACTTTGAACTTAAGAGTTATGATTTAGGGTATCTGGCAAAAGAAATTTCTAAAAGTATTCAAGAGGAAGCAGAACATAAAAGTTTGGAAAATTTGTAGCCTGACAATGCAATAGAAAAGAAAAACCCATTTTCTGAGGAGAAATTCAAGCCTGCTGCAGAAATTTGCATAATTAACAAGAAGCCAAATGTTATTCACTAAGACAATGGGGAAAATGTCTCCAGGACAAATCAGAGACCTTCACAGCAGCCCCTCCCATCAAAGGCCCAGAGGCCTAGGAGGGAAAAATGGTTTTGTGGACTAGGCCCAGGGCATGTTTTGCTGTGTGCAGCCTTGGAACTTGGTGCCCTGTGTCCTAGCTGCTCCAGCTGTGGTTAAAAGGAGCCAACATACAGCTCAGACTATTACTTCAGAGGTTACAAGCCCTAAGCTTTGGCAGCTTCCACATGACATTGGGCCCACAGGTGCAGAGAAGTCAAGAATTGAGGTTTGGGAACCTCCACCTAGATTTCAGAGGATGTATGGAAAGGCCTGGATGTCCAGGCAGAATTTTGCTTCAGGGGTGGAACCGTCATGGAGAACCTCTGCTAGAGCAGTATGGAAGGGAAATGTGGGGTCAGAGCCCCCACACAGAGTCTCCAGAGGGGCACTGCATAGGGCAGCTGTGAGAAGAGGGCCACCATCCTCCAGACCCCAGAATGGTAGATCCACTGACAGATTGCACCATGCACCTGGAAAAGCCACAGACACTCAGCGCCAGCCTGTGAAAGTAGCCAGGAGGTGGGGTGTACCATGCAAAGCCACAAGGACAGAGCTGCCCAAGGCTGTGGGAGCCCACCTCTCGAATCAGCATGACCTGTATGTGAGACATGGAGTCAAAGGAGATCATTTTGGAGCTTTAATATTTGACTGCCCCATTGGATTTTGGATTTGCATAGGGTCTATAGCTCCTTCGTTTTGGCCAGTTTCTCCCATTTGGAATGAGTGTATTTACCCAATGCCTGTACCCTCATTGTATCTAGGAAGTAACTAACTTGCTTTTGATTTTACAGGCTCATAGGTGGAAAGGACTTACCTTGTCTCAGTTGAGACTTTGGACTGTGGACTTTTAAGTTAATGCTGAAATGAGTTAAGACTTTGGAGGACTGTTGGGAAGGCATGATTGGTTTTGAAATGTGAGGACATGAGATTTGCGGGGGAGTGGGGGGCAGAGGCAGAATGATATGGTTTAGCTGTGACCCCACCCAAATCTTACCTTGAATTGTGATAATCCCCGTGTGTCAAGGGTGGGACCAGGTGGAGATAATGGAATCATGCGGGCAGTTTCCCCCATACTGTTCTCATGGTAGTGAATAAGTCTGACGAGATCTAATGGTTTTATAAATGGGAGTTCCCCTGAACAAGTTATCTTGCCTGCCACCATGTAAAACATGACTTTGCTCCTCATTTGCCTTCTGCCATGATTGTGAGGCCACCCCAGCCATGTGGTACTGTGAGTTGGAGTTACCCAGTCTCGGATATGTTTTTATTAGCATCATGAGAACAGACTAATACAACTCTAATCTTTATTTTTTTTCCTCTCTTTTCTTTGCTTCGGGTTGAGTTTACTCTTCCTTTTCTAGGTTCTTAAGGTAGAAACTTAGGTCACTTATTTGAGAGATCTTTTTCCTTTTCTAATAGAGCCATTTAAAACTATAAATGTCCCTCTAAGTATTGCTTAATTGAAAATGGATAAATTTATTGCTGATTATTTTTACTTCAGAAGATGTAGTAACAGTTTGTAATCTTGGTTTGGCAGAGACTATCCAGATATTTGTTCTGTTTGGATATTGGGGTTGAGTATTTACTGCCCTGCCAAAGCTATAATCTTTAGGGGCATATACACTGTTTCTGGGAATTCTGTTTTGTCCCAAACATTAGTCCTCTAGAGAAAGTTTTAGAAAACAATTTTCCCAGCTGCCTGCCTGTACTTATTCACTTTCTGCCTTGTACTTATGGATTTCTGTGACTTATCATTTTACTTGTTCAGTTGTTTTCCATGATCCCTTAAAGCTGAAGAGAGGTGAAGAAGGGAGGGAAATAGTATTCCAAATGATGAAAGAAACTGGAAGTTAGAAGGGTTGGATTTTGTTCCCAACATCATTGCTTATCAGGGTCAGACATGTATTTTGGATAAAATGGGTGATGTGATTTCAGAGGTATCAATAAATCATTTTTCATACTTCCTTCCTCCCACCCACTTTTGTCTGGTTAATGCCTACTCACTCTTCAAGCCTTGGCTTAGATATTTCTTCTAGAATTCTCTGAGTGTTTGTACTTCATTAGACCTCCTCTTTCATAACACTCTGTCTTAACTCTATCATAGTGATTATTACAATTTTATGTAATTTTATGCCTGTTTATCTGTTTTCCATGTTCTCTGAGGACAGGGCCCATCAGTTTGGTTCAACTCATATCAAATACCTGGGAATGTGGGGGCTTCATGTTGAATAAAAATAATTGATTTTTAAAATTTAGCAGTTATAGCTATATTCCTTTGTTTTGTTTTGTTTTTTACTAATCAATGTAAATTTGTTTTTCACATCCTTTCCAGAAAGTAGGCTTTGTTGGGAGGGAGATGGATATCTTGGAAAGCAGCACCAAAGGCAAACTGGGTGCAGAAGGAAAATGGGCACACCAAAGGCAGACTGCACTGACCCAATAGTTTTGGATACTGCTGCTCCATTTGCCTCTGAGCTTAACACAGTTTTTCATGATTCATATTTTTGGATAACATCATAACATGTTTATATTGTCTTCCCTGAAAATGGAAAGAATATCACAAAATTGAGCTGGTGGTCTTGTACCAGAGAGAAATATGTTCAAATTTAAAATTATGTGACAAACTGAGAAAATGGGAAGATATAAAAAGAAGGAAATTTAAGTTTGGTGTAATTATTTTAGAAGACAAGTAGGTCACGGAAAGCTTCATGTTCTAGGAATAATATTAATGTCTGTAATAAGCTTTAAACATGAGAATAATAGTAGAGGAGGAAAAAATTTACAGGAATTTTTTCTGATTGTATTGTTTCTAAACAGTGTTATAATTCTGTATTTTAAATCTAGAATTACCACATTTCCTTATGTCAAGCATAGGAAGCTTGAAACAACTTTTAAAAAATTTTCCTTGACTCAAATAATTTTAAATAAGAAATTCTGACAAGAAATAGTAACACTTCATACTGTGTATCACCTTAATTTTTTTTTTTTGGTTGATAAGGTGTATTTTAGAATAATATTATGCTTTTTTTTAATAATTGGCAAAACTTTTAAATGTTAAGAAGGAAGTTCATGTTGGTTGGGGAAAATTACGGGAGATATATATATATATATATATTTAAGTAAATATTTTCCCCATAATTGAGAATGGGACAGCGATTGCATATAACTATAGTAAGGTCATGGTGGTGGTAAGGAGAGAGGGCATAGAGGAGGGAGAAATGGGCATGGAAAGCAACTGCGCCAAGTCTTTTATTAGTTTGCTTCCAAAATCCCTATCAAGAGGTTTCTGCTTCAACTGGCCAGTAACTTACACTGCTTATGAGTTAGAATCCTAACCAATATTACATTATAAGGTAGTGTTTTATTTTATAAGAGGATTAAACTATGCATAGTGTTCTGTATCTTGCTTTCTTTATTTGATGATTACTCCCTCACACAAATGTTACTTCTTTGTTAGATTTCAGATTGGCTAGGAGGTACATGGCAGTTTATATATTTAAATAAAATACATAAAGTACAAGTTCCTCCTACCCCAACTCTTGTTATCTAACCCTGTTTCCCTGGAATAGATATCATTAGCAGCTGTATAAACTTCCGGACCTTTTTCTATTTTTTGTTTTTGTTTTTTGAGACGGAGTCTCACTCTGTCACCAGGCTGGAGTGCAGTGGCGCGATCTCAGCTCACTGCAACCTCCGACTCCCTGGTTCAAGCAATTCTCCTGCCTCAGCTTCCTGAGTAGCTGGGATTACAGGCACGTGCCACCATGCCCAGATAATTTTTGTATTTTTAGTAGAGATGGGGTTTCACCGTGTTGGCCAGGATGATCTCAATCTCCTGACCTCAGGTGATCCACATGGCTCAATCTCCCAAAGTGCTGGGATTACAGGTGTAAGCCACTGCGCCCGGCCTTCCAGACCTTTTTATATGCACATATGAACATATATTTATATTTCTATGCACATATAAGCACATTTATATAAACATATGTAACAAATGCATAAATATAAAATGTCTGTGTATAGGCATTTATTTACCATTAATTTAGTTATTTTAATCTGCATCCTTTTATGTGTATTTTTATGAACTTGTGATAATATTTCTGATTGACAATTTACTAGAAGTAGAATTGATAGACTAAAGGTTATTCACATTTTAAACAGTACAGGGAAATTGCCCACCTAAATGGTTTACACTCTTTTCAACTGTGAATGTGAGTATCCTTTTTCTCCACACCATTGCCAACATGGGTATTACCGATCTTTTTAATTCTTGCCAAGCTGAAAAGTGGTATCTTCCTGTTTGCAATTTCCTTATACCTAATGAGATGGAGCCTCTGGCATTTCTTCTGCAAATTGCCTATGTATATCCTTGCTGTTTTTTTTTTCTGTGTGTGTGTTGTTTGTATTTTTCATATTGATTTGGGAGCATTTTTGGATTATTGGGGTACTAACATTTTGTTAAATACTTGTCATAAATATTTTCTTCAGTCTTATGTTTATCTTTTTTAACTTTTCTTCCAAAAAATTTATTTTTATTTTGTCAAATCTTTAAGATTTTCACATATATTCTCATATAACTCCTAAAACAAACTTATGAAGGTAAGAATTACTATCATCATCATGTAGATGAACTAACTGAGGTTCATAGGGCTTCAGTGACTTGTTCCAGAAGGAAGGGCTCACATCTAGGCTCACACTAGAAATGCACACCATGACAAGGGAAAGTAGAAAATAGGTGAATGGGAGCCACAGAACAAAGAAGGCTTTAGTACTATCCTTGTTTTCTTTCAGACTAACTGCTTCTCAGGGACCAGCCATTGGTTAACAGTGTTTAAGGAGAGTGTGCCTAAAGCAGGACTAATAGTTTAGTTTTGCAATGGTCTCTGGGTGGTTCTGGTTATATGAGGTGTTTGTAACTTCTTTGGCTTACATTTGACACCCATTTCCCTTCCTCACCTCTCCTCTGCCAATGTTGTTTTATGGCTCTTGGCTCACATCTTAGATATTAACTTAGCTTACTTCATGATTTCTGGCTCTGATCATTGGCTGTGCCTATGGACAGATTACTGGCTGAAATCTCAGTGGTTCCCTTGATTCCAGATATAAGGTTTTGGCTCTGATTGAAGGTAATGGTGCTGATACTGGTCTCTTAGGCCTTGTATCAGTAGATAACAGAGAGATGGCAAGTAGAGAAAAATGCAACAGAAAAAAAAAGCTATTTAAAATGCTCTCAAAATATTTAATGGGAAGATTTGGCTACTGGATACCAAATGTCTGTGAATAAGAAGAATGACTGGAAGAATGTTGGAAGAATGGTACCTTTCATTCTTCTGTCTAACTGAGAACTAGTTGTGGGCAGTTTACTATCCTAGCATGGATTAAATAATATAAATTCTTCTTAAACATTCTGTCACCTGGAGTTGGACAGGAGCAGGGACACTAGGAGAAACTGGCATCCACCTCCTAGCCAATCTGAAATCTAGAAAGCAAGGTAAGACTTGTGTGAGGGAGTTATCAAATAAAGAAATCAAGATAGAGAACACTATGCATAGTTTAATCTCGTTGTAAAATAGAACACTGCCCTAGGATGTAATATTGGTTAGGATTCTAACTCATAAGCAGTATGAGTTACTGGCCAGTTGAAGCAGAACCTCTTGATAGCGATTTTGGAAGCAAATTGATAAAAGACTTGGGGCAGTTGCTTTGCATGCCCATTTCTCCCTCCTCTATGCCCTCTCTGCTCTCCTCACCACCACCATGACCTTACTATAGTCATATGCAGTCACTGTCCCATTCCCATCCATGGGGAAAAAACCAAAATTATCTCCCCAATACTTCTCAGTAGATGGAAACTCCTACCTTATGAATTTATTTTTATTAGCAAAAGTACTTTATGTACAATATCTCATTTAATCCTCACAACAAATGTATTTGCAGATAGGGAACATGAGACACAGAGAGTAAGTAATTTGCCCAAGCTCAAACAGCTAGTAATTGGCAGAGCCAAGGGCTCCATAGTCTGTGCTCCTAACCATCTTAACTACTATGCTGTATTGCCCAACTTAGGTGAAAATATGGGAGAGGATGAATATGTTCTTTAACAATAGCTAACATTTATTGAGTTTTTATTATATTCCAGGACATCTACTACATACTTTACAGGTAAAATGTTACTTAAAGCCATAAAATCAATAATGGCAGTGCTGGAATTTAAGCATAGATTTGTCTTATGCTAGAAACTGTATTAACTGTCCTGCTATACTGATAAAAAACAAATGAAAACAAACCCCAGCTACATTTAGTCTTCTAAGTAAACCTAAAATTATAAATTCAGATATTGAAAGGCAACTTTTGGAAAATTTTGAGAGAGTAACAGAAATGAACACACATCACTTGAGGACTTGGTGTAGGGGAGGTGTGTTACAATGGATGCATACTGGGTCATCTGGGACATGGGACACTAGAGTTGGAGTCCTAGATCTGATGCACCACCTCTTCCTCTCAACATCTGGATTTCTTTTCTGCAGAGCTCTATGCAGGACCATGGTCCTCTGTAAACCACCACCCTAGTCCACAGCCTTCTTTGGATTCCTGGATTAATTATCATGTGTACCTGCCAGCATATAATTAATTACCTTGAATTCTTTATTGTTGTCTCCCTCACCCATTTTTCTGTAAAATTTTAAACCCTGTGAGCTTAAACTTTTTTAAATAAAAAAAAAATTTAAATTTTTATTAACTATCCTGACTCTCTTACCCCCAACAACTGCCATTCCCAGCCTCTGATAACCATCATTCTACTCTCTATCTCCATGAATTCATTTGTTTTAATTTTTAGTTCGCACAAGTAAGTGAGAACATGCAAAGTTCATTTTTCTGTTCCTGGTTTATTTCACCTAATGACCTCCAGTTCCATTTGTGTTTTTGCAAATGACAGGATCTCATTCTTTTTATGGCTAAATAGTACTCTATTGTATGTATGTACCACATTTTCTTTATCCATTAGTCTGTTGATGGACACTTAGATTGCTCACCTTTTTTTTTTTTTTTTTTTTTTTTTTGAGACAGAGTTTCGCTCTTATTGCCCAGGCTGGAGCGCAATGGCCCAATCTCAGCTTACCTCAACCTCTGCTTCCCTGGTTCAAGTGATTCTCCTGCCTCAGCCTCCTGAGTAGCTGGGATTATAGGCATGCACCACCACGCCTGGCTAATTTTGTATTTTTAGTAGAGACAGGGTTTCTCCATGTTGGTCAGGCTGGTCCCAACCTCCTGACTTCAGGTGATCTGCCCACCTCAGTCTCCCAAAGTGCTGGGATTGCAGGCATGAGCCACTGCGCCCAGCCTATTTTTGTTTTTTATGAAGGTGTTTTTTTGGGTAGATAGTTGTTAAATTTAGTGTTCTTGTGTGGAGGACAATCAGTGAAAGATTCTATTTGGCCATCTTGCTCCACCTCTTCTAAGCTTAAATTGTTTAATACATAGTTGACATTACACATAAAAATATGTCCCCAAATATATGCCTCAAGGACATTCTTTTATGCCCATATTATCCTTTTCTTATGTCTTTTGTTATTTATTTCCCATATTTTACTATATTTTAAATGATTGTCCTCTTTTTCTTTTTGAATAATTATTCTTTTATATCCATAGGTTTATTTGTGTGTGTGTGTGTGTGGGGAGATGTTGTATTATATTATTGCTTTTTATGGCATATTTCTAATTACAATTTCTGTAGGTTTTTATTTTTATTATGTCAATATAGAATTTTATATTGTTATAAATTTTCATATATGTTGAATTATGTGAAGTATTTGCAGTTATTATATTACTCTTTTGTATGTCTTTTATGCTTCTACAACTAGACTGTACATTTTTTAAGAGCAAGACCATATTTATTAGCTCTATCAGCTTATGTCCTGGTATCTTTATCTATGTGTAGTCCCTTTAGTGAGAACTGTTAAAAATATTTGCAAACACTTAACAGTTATAAATTTTGTGCTGCTCTTGTGTATTTTTTTGTGCCTAACTGTTTTTCTCTTTGAAAATGACATGCATTTGTCGTTCCCAGAAAATAAATCTATTAAGATAGATATGCTGATTTATTTGGGGGGACATGTTAATATTTTTATTTAAAAAAGGAGAGAGAAAAGAAAGGTACTGGTACCTGTATTAGCCTTTATTAATACCAAAATAAACACTAGTAAATACTTGAAAATGCCCATGATCACCAAGAGACTACTTTTTCTTTATGCCAATGAGAATGAAAGAAAATGTATAAAAAGAATGGGCAAGTAGAGAATTTTTGAAAGTTTGAAAGTAGTGAAGAAATTTATTTCAGATATATATTTATTTAGACTTCCAGACATCTGCTGATCCTGAGAGCGAAAAATTCACAGTTCTTCTTAGTAGAATTGAACACTTAAAAAAATCTATTCTGGGTAAGATACCATGTAAGACTCTTACTGCAACCATTGTGGAATTCTAAAGCTGAAACTTGTATAATGGTCTTTACTGGTATGTTACAAGGATTGGTAAACTATGGCCCATGGGCCAAATCTGGCCTGCTTCCTGTTTTAGTATGGTCTGCAAACTGAGAATGGTTTTAACATTTTTAAATGATTGAAAAAAATCAAAGGAAGGATAATATTTCATGACATGTGAAAAGTATATGAAATCCAAATTTCAGTATTCATAAATTGGAACACAGCCATGCTCATTCATTTACATATTGTCTATGGTTGCTTTTATGCTACAACAGCAAAGTTGAATAGTTGTAACAGAGCCCATATGGCTCACAAAGCCTAAAATAATTACTATCTCCCCTCCAAAAAGGTGGGTAGCAGACTGAGGCAGAATTTCTTTCCTGTTACCTTTTATTTCTTCCCTTGCCCCCATTTCCAAGTAAGCTCTATTCTTCTTTCTCTTTCACACATCCCCACCCAACTCCACCTTCAAATTCACAAACACATATATGTTTGTGAAAAAAAGAAAAATCAAAGTCTTTCATTATTATGACAGTTACTGGTTGCTCTTAGTTTTTAAAATCATATTTTCTTTTACTGCTTAAAATATAGAGTTTGGATCATCTTGGAAAGAGCTGAGGATCTCAGTATGTAGGCTCTCCATTTGGCAATACCTAAACGAAGTGCTAAGACTAGTCAAGAGGAGTGAATATGAAAATGAAGCTTTGTTGGCTGGTATTGGGAAATTTGGATCAGATCCAAAAGTTTGAGTGCCATTTTTGGCTACCATGCTGGGAATCCTGTTTTGCTCCTTGGTACAGGAAACGTTTAGGGGTGAGACTCCAAACATTCAGGTCTTTGTGAGGAAATGGAAGTGACAACACAAAACTAGAGGCTCAGTTTGGAGGAGAAGCTGAAACTGATTCAAACAAGATTTCATTAACTAATTTGGGGAACATTTGAAGCTGTTTTGAGCTATACAATTCCCCCCTTTTCTCATCTCTACTGGCACTCTGAGAATCAGATCACCTGGGGAAAGCAGATTTAAAAAATTCCAGATGGTGTGTGTGATGCTCCAGCTGTGGAGAATCTCTCCCAGTCAGGCAATCTGCCTTTCTGCCGGAACCCTCTAAAACTGTGCTGCCCATTTGTCATGCTTCTCCAATTGCAGCCTTCTGGATAGCTTCTCTTTGCCTTGTCTGACTCTTCCTTTACAGTTTTTATCATTCCCCTCCATGAGCTAATGTAGTAACATCCCTTCACTGGCTATAAATCCATAGAAGAACCCAATATAAAATATGGTTTTGCGAAGGAAAATTGGAAGACATCTGTTTTTTTTTAACCCATAAGATTCAGCGTTCACTTGTCTTGTAAGACAATGTGACTGTTTGTGCATGAATGAAAAGAAAAGAAACAGGAAGAGGGGCGGGAAAGGATAGCATGAGAGTGAACAGAAAGAATTCATGCGTGTATTTTTGCAGCCAGCTGGACAAAATAAGTTCATCACCATGTCAGCTTGATTAGAATCCTGGGTTAATGTTGGGAAAGGTCAGTCTTCCTGACTTGAATGAACTTGATGGGTCTACTGAGGAAGCAACTGCTTCTGGATTGGACCTGGTTGTTGTCTTGTTGACAAACTGAGTGTGGAGTTATCCCCAACTTATGGTGGCAATGTCTGAAAAGCTTATAGGCATTTTTTGATCTCCACAGAGGTCAGGTGGGTTTTTCTTGGAAGTTTAGCATTGTTGGGCGGTGGTTAAGGGAAGAAGCAGATGACAGATCAAATCCCATGCTGTTGCCTACCCTCCTTTTGTGTATATTCACAAACAAATTCTGAATATACCTTTCCTAATCTGTAGAGTATTAAATGGGAGGATTTTAGAATCTTTCATTTTAGCTATGTTATGGTCTGTAGTTTGGTTCAGGTAAGGCACATGAGTCACTTGCTGTTATTTTATTTAGTGCTTGGTACTTACTGAAATCTAGATACAAAATTACATAAATTGGTAGGAACTGAAAGTTTTTCCCATATTGTAACTTTAAAAAATTGAAGTAAAATTTATATGTGGTAAAATGCAAACATCTTACATGTACAATTTGATTAGTTTTGATAAAATTATACACCTATGTAACCACCACCTCAGTCAAGATCTAGAACATTTTCATCACCCAGAAAGTCCCCTTATCATTTCTTTCCAGCAAATCCTCACCTCCCAAAGGCAACCTGTCACTATAGATTATTTCACCTGTTCATATACTTCATACGTACTCTTTTGTTTCTTGTTTAAGCTTAACCTAACGTTCTCAATACTCATCTACTTTGCTGTATGTATCAGTAGTTCACTTAAAAAATTTCTGGGTTGTTTTCCATTGTATGAATATCCTACAATTGATATATGATTTCTCATGTTAACTTCTAACTTGTTTTCAGTTTTATAGAGTAGAAAGTTTTGATTATGATAAAATCCAGTTTATCAAAATTTTATTTTATGGTTAATGCTCTCTGTGTCCCATTTAAGAAATTGTTGTCTACTCCCAAGGGCATAAAATTTTTTCTCCTTTGTTTTCTTCTACACATGTAATAGCTTTAGCTCTTACGATGAAGTTTATGATCCATTTCACATCAACTAATTTTTAGGGAGATTAATATTCACTTTTCCCTTATGTTTATTCAATTGTTCCAGCAACATTTGTTGAAAAGACCACCCTTCCCAGAACTTAGTTGAGGATTTGGGCTATTGGTTTATAACCTTTTTTTCTTCTCAGATTAACAGCTTGTCAGATTTTTGCATCAGGCTTAAGCAGTCTCATAAAATGAGGTGAAAGCATTCTTTTCTCCTTTATTTTCAGAAAGCATTTGTGTACTATTGATGTTAAGCCTTCCTTCAAGGTTGAATTTACCAGTGAACCCAATTGCACCTGAAGTTTTCTCTTTGGGAAATTTTTATTATATATTTAGTTTCTCTAATATGTATGGGAATATTCAGATCTGTTTTTTCATGAGTTAATTTTGTTAAGTTGTAGTTTTTTTTTAAAGGAATTTGTTCATTTCATTTAAGTTACCAAATGTTTTGCCATAAAGTTGTTTATAATAGTTCCATATTGTTCTTTTAATGTCTATAGGATCTGTAGTGATGTCTGCTTTTATTCCTGATATTGTTAATTTGTGTTCTTAAAGTCTTTTTCCTTATTCTTGCTAGGTGCTTATTAGTTTTATTAATTCTTTAAAAGAAAAACTTTGGATTTTATTAATTTGTTCTATTGTTTGCTGATTTCAACTCTGATCTTTATTATTCCTGTCTTACTACTTACTTTGGATTTAATTTGCCCTTCCTTCTCTAGCTTGTTAAGGTGGAGATTTAGATAATTGATTTTAAATATTTTTCTTGTCTCTAATATAGGCGCTTAAAGCTGTAAGTTCCCTTCTTCAAACACTGTTCTGGCTGCATCCCACAAATTTTGATACATTATGTTATTATTATTCAGTTAGAAATACATTCTAATTTTTCTTCTGATTTCTTCCCTGACCCATGGGTTATTTAGAAATATGTTATTTAATTTGTAACTACTAGGAGATTATCTAGATATCTCAGTATTATTGATTTTCAATTTAATTTTGTGGTAAGATAACATACTTGTGAGTTTCAGTCTTTGGATTTTAAGGTTTACAGTGGGTGTTTTTCACCAAAATTGGGAAATTTTTGGCCGTTATTTTTTCCAATATTTTATCAGCTCCAGTTTCCTTCAGGACTCAATTATATTAGGTCATTTTATATTGTTCCAAATATCCGTGAGGCTTTTATATTTTCCAATAATTTCTTCCCTCTCTTCTTCAAAGTGTATTATTTTTATTGACTTGTCCTCAAGCTCACTTCTCTTTCTTCTACAACCTGCTTTTAAGCCCATCTAGTGAGTTTTTAATTCCAGTTCTAGTATTTTATTTGGTCCCTTGTATGTGTATTTAGTTGCCATTTCTCCACTGTTAATCTCTTAACTTACTAAAACTACATTTTCCTTTAATTCTTTACATATTTACAATAGCTGCTCGAATGTCTTTGTCTGCTAAGTCCAACATCTGGGCCATTTCTGATTTGGTTTCTGTTGACCAATTAAAATGCTTTTTTGGTTTATTTATTTATTTTTGACTATGGATAACATTTTCCATATATAGCTGGTATATGTTTCTTATGTATCTGGTGAATTTTTAATTGAATACCGACATTACAATTAAAAATATTGTAGAGTAGGCCGGGCACAGTGGCTCACACTTGTAATCCCAGCACTTTGAGAGGCTGAGGCGGGCAGATCACAAGGTCAGGAGTTTGAGACCAGCCTGGCCAACATAGTAAAACCCTGTCTCTACTAAAAAAATTCAAAAAATTAGCTGGGCATGGTGCTGGGTGCCTGTAATCCCAGCTACTCAAGAGGCTGAGGCAGGAGAATCGTTTGAACCCAAGAGGCGGAGGTTGCAGTGAGCCAAGATTACACAACTGCACTCCAGCCTGGGCCACAGTGCGAGACTCCGTCTCAAAAACGAACAAACAAACAAAAAACAATAAATATTGTAGAGTAGTTGGATTCCATTATCTTCCTCTGAATAGTATTGATTCTTATTTTAACAGGCAATTCAGTTACTGGGTGGTCACCTTAAACTATTGTGGGCTTGGTTTTATGCTTTGTTAGTACAGATCTGTGGAAGATCTGTGATCTTGAGGTGTTTCTTCAGGTCCCTCTATTTTAATAGGACTTAACTTGCAAACTGTGTCTCTGTTGTGGATCTCATCAGTACTTGGTTTCAGACCTTGTTAGTGTGGATTTAGGGGAGATCTAAACTAGAGCTTGGCTTTTACTTCTATAGTGTAGCATTTTGATGTCTCAACTGAATGCCAGCAGTGTTATTAAAGTTATTAACAAGATCGCTCTGTTCTGATAGGGCCAGGAACTCTGCTTTTACTCTAACATTGCTTTTCTTCTAATATCTCTGTTCCCTTCTCAACTCTGTAATATCTGCTATCTGATAAACCTAGCACTATCTAACTGTGAATTAAGTTAGGAATCACATGCAATTTTCCATGTAAACTCCTGGGTCTCCCTTCTCTTCATAGCCACCTTTTCTCTGATGTCTTGTCTCGTAGATTACAGTGACTTTCACCAGCCTGAACTCTAATTTCTGCTGCCTCAGGTCAGTGGGATCACTTTGATCTGCTAAGACTGCAACTCTTGACCAGGCACAGTGGCTCACGCCTATAATCCTAGCACTTTGGGAGGCCGAGGCGGGCAGATTGCCTGAGCTCGGGAGTTCGAGACCAGCCTGAGCAACATGGTGAAACTCCATCTCTACTAAAATACAAAAAAAAAAAAAATTATCTGGGCGTGGCAGCGTGCACCTGTAGTCCCAGCATTCGGGAGGCTGAGGCAAGAGAATTGCTTGAACCCAGGAGGTGGAGGTTGCAGTGAACCAAGATTGTACCACTGCACTCCAGCCTGATGACAGAGCATGACTCTGTCTCAAAAAAAAAAAAAAAAAAAAAAAAAAAAGACTGTAACTCTCTGTACTTAATTCAGGAAATTGTGTCCAGTAAGAGCTAGATGCTCACATCATTAGTTTCCTTTCTTTCAAGGGTTGTAATCATGTCCTATCTATTGCCCACTCCCTGAAAATGGTTTCAGCAAATATTTTGTTCAAGTTTATAGTTGCTTATGTCAGGAGGGCTGGTGTAGTACCAACATGATTGGAAGTGGGATTCTAGGTGTCGTTTTGTTGTTTCCTTTGTCCTGTCTGTTTTGTTTTTCTTCTGTTTTTTAAATTCCTGCTTTATTTTGGGCTAATCAAATCTTTAAATGTTTTATTTTAATTCTTCTAATGTCTTTTTAGCTATAACTTTTTGTACTGTTTTTTAGTGGTTGCTCTAGAGATTACAATATGGGTCTTCAACTTATCACAATCTACTTAGAGTTAATATTATACTACTTCCATACAATGGAAAAGTTTTGCAACGGCATAATTTTATTTAACTTCTCACCCATCCTTTTTGGTACTGTTGTCATGTATTTTACATTTACATATATTATAATCCCCACAATATAATATTATAATTTTTTCATTAAACTACCAATTTTTATTGTGGTAAAAATAAATTATAAAATTTATGATCATAACCATTTTTAAGTGTATAGTTTAGTAGTGTTAAGTATATATAGGCAGTTTGTTTTTTTTTCAAGAAATTAATAAAAGATGGAAAATACCATCTGTTAAAATTATCTATATATTTATCATTTCCAGTCCCCTTTATTTCTCTTTATATGTTTGAATTTCCATCTGGTATTATTTCTCTTCACCAGATAACTTCTTTGGCATGAAGTGTGTGTTTTTTCAAGATAAATCCTCTCTGCATTTGTTCATATGGAGATGTCTTTATTTCACTTTCATTTTTGAAGGGTATCTTACCAAGCTATAGAATTCTAAGTTGATAGTTTTTGCTTTTTATTTTTTAAATGTCTTACTTTCCTCTTGGCCTTTTCTTCTTTACAGTGAGGAGTCAGTTTTCCTTTGCATCATTCCTCCTTTATATGTGATGTGTCATTTTGCTCTGGCTGCTGTCAAGATTTTCTTATTACCTTTGGTTTGGCTATTTTACTATGTGCTGTGTGTGGTTCTCTTTATGTTTTTCCTAATTTGGTTTATTGAGCTTCTTGGATCTAAAAGTCAATGTTTTTAAATCAAATTTGGGAAGTTTTCATCCATTTTTTTTTCATAATTTCCCCCCACAATTTCATACTTTTCTCTTTTTGAGATTCTAATTACACATATGGCCAACTATTTGATATTGTTAACTCTATTGAAACTCTATTCATTTTGTCCTGTCTTTTTTTCTCTGTGGTCTTTAAGGTTGTTCTATTGTTCTGTTTTCAAATTGGTGACCTTTTCTTGGGGATGGCTTCAGTCTTCTATTAATCTCATCTATTTACTTTTTTATTTCACATGTTGTACTTTTCATTTCTAGAGTTTCCACTTGGTTATTTTTTATAATCTTTTTTACTTAGATTTTCCATCTTTTCATTCATCATGATCATTCTTTCCTATAGTCCTTGATTATGTTTATAATATCATCTTTAAAGTTCTTGTCTGTATTTGTAACGTCTGTGTCAGTTTGGGGTTTCTTTGTATTGACTGCTTTTTCTTTTAATTATGGGTCACATTTTTATTACCCTGTAGAGTAATTTTTATTGTAACTGGAAATTATATTTGATATACCCTGGAGAATCTGGATTTTGTTCTTGTTCCCTAAAGAGTGATTTTTTTTTTTTAATTTCAAGCAGACAGCATAGTTATTGGCTGATCACCTTAAACTAGTGTAGACTTTATTTTACACTTTTCTAGAGCAGGTCTGTTTTCATTTTTCTTTTATTCTTAGTGTGAATCTATAGTCCTGAGACATAGTCTTTACTCCTATGGCATTACTACTTTCTGCAGACACACTGGAGAATCAAAGATGTTTATCAAAACTCTTTAACTTGACAGGATTCAAACTTAAAACACACTCTCCCTGAATTAGGTAGCAGCTGAAACCTCTGTTCAGACTTTTCAGCTTTCCAACTGTTGCTTTACCAGACTTTTTGGAGTCTCACAGTTTGGAAGTTAGTTTATACTTAGATTTTATACTTAGATTACAACTGTATGCTTACAATTTATGCTTAGTTCTGGTAACTCCCTTTTCTATGGCTTTTTCTTCTCCTGGATTTCCTATCTCAATTACTAGCTTCTTTGCCTGCCCTGAACTCTGTGTCCTGGGGATTTCTGTACCATTTGGCACAGACTGATGAATGCCCTGAATAGAGTATTGGGTAAGTTATTATTTATAGGTCTTTCTTTTTTTTGTTTATGTGCTAAATCAATGCTGCATGGGAAAAATGGAGAATATTTTACAGGGATATTTTGGAAATATTGCAGGTTCTGTTCCAGACCATTGCAGTAAAGCAAATATTGCACTCTGTCGCCCAGGCTGGAGTGCAGTGGCGCGATCTCGGCTCACTGCAATCACTGCCTCCTGGGTTCATGCCATTCTCCTGCCTCAGCCTCCCAAGTAGCTGGCACTACAGGTGCATGCCACCATGCCCTGCTAATTTTTTTGTATTTTTCTGTCTTTTTAGCAGAGACGGGGTTTCACCAGTGATATATATTTTTTTCACTGAATTGTTCACTTTGTGCTTTTTTATTGGATATTAACAAATGATAACTGTATATATTTATGGGGTACAAAATGATGGTATGATATTTTTTCCATACACACACACACACACACACGATTGAATCAAGCTAATTAACATATCCAAACCTCAAATATTTGTTATTTATTTCTGCTGTGTAACTTAAACATTGTACCGTTTGACTAACATCTCCTTATTATCCCTACTCTGCAGCCTTTGGTAACCACCAGTCTGCTCTCTGCTTCCCTGAGTTCGATTGTTTTAGATTTCATGTGGAATTTGTCTTCCCATGCCTGGCTTATTTCATTTATACTAATGACCTCCAGGTTCACCCATGGTGTCCCAAATGACATAATTTCCTTCTTTTAAATGGCTAATTTTTTCTATTGTGTATATATACCACATTTTCTTGGTGTCCATTGGTTGATGGATACTTAGGCTGATAGACACTTAGGTTGATTCCATAACTTATTGCAGTAATTCCACGTTTATTGCAGCGTTATTGTGAATATGAGAGAGCAGTTATCTCTTTGACATACATAATTCATATCCTTTGTATATATACCCAGAAATAGGATTGTTGGATCATATGGTAGTTCTATCTTCAGTTTTTAGAGGAATATCCATACTGTTTTCCATAATGGCTGTATCAATTTATATTCCCACCAGTAGTGTACAAAGGCTCCCTTTTCTCCACATTCTTACCAACACTTGTTATCTTTTCAAGTTTTAGGGGTTTTTTTTTTTTGAGACAGAGTCTCACTCTTTTGTCTAGGCTTGAGTCCAGTGGTGCAGTCATACCCCACTACAGCCTCAGACTCCTGGGCTCAGGTGATCCTCTCACTTCAGCCTCCCAAGTAACTGGGATTACAGATGCATGTCACCATGCCTGACTAATTTAAAACACTTTTTTTGTAGAGATGAGGTCTCACTATGTTGCTCAGGCTGGTCTTAAATTTCTGGCCTGAAGCAATCTTCCTGCCTTGGCCTCCCAAAGTGCTGGAATTATAGGCCTCAGCCACTGTGCCCAGCTTACATTTCCTTAATGACTGGTGATGTTCTCTATATTTTCATGTGCTTATTAGCCATTTATATATAGTGAAATGTCTGTTCAGTTCCTCTGCCCATTTTTAATTGGACTGTTCATTTTTATTATTAAGTTGTCAGAGTTCATTATATATTCTGGGTAGAAGTCCTTTATTAGATAAGCAATTTGCAAAAAATATTTTCTCCTGGTCTATAGCTTGTTTTTAAACTTTTCTAAATGTTGTTTTTTGAAGAGCAAATGTTTTTTATTTGATAAAATCCTTTTAATTATTATTTGTTAATAATTATTTATCTGGTATATCTTTATTATACCCTTGCATTTGTAGTATACTTTTGCTGGAGCTAGAAACTTTGGTAGACAAGTTGTTTTTTTTCCCTTGTACTTTGAATATGTCAGTCTACTGCCCTCTGTTCTCTACTGTTTCTAACTAGAAGCTAGCCTTTAATTATATTGTTATTCTTCTGTGTATAATTAAGAGTTTTTCTCTTGCTTTCAAAAGTTTACTTTGCCTTTGTCTGTCAAAATTTGACTGTGATACTAGGTTTGGATCTCTTGATGTTTATCTTACTTGGGGTTCTTGAGCTTTTTCAATATTTAGTTTTTATATTTTATCGTTTTGGAGATACTTTCAGCCCCTGTTTCTTCAAATATTTTTTCTGTTCCCTTTCTCTTTGCTTATTTTTAGAAAATATTATGTTGTAATGCTAATGTTTTAAAACACTGGAATAAATGAAAAGATCAATGGCATAGAGTATAGAAAAGAACTATAAAATATATGGGAATTTCTTTTAACTTCAACTTTTACTTTAGATATAGGGAGTACATGTGCAGATTTCTTGTATGGGTATATTGCATCCAGGTAGTACACATAGTACCCAACAGGCAGATTTTTCAAGCCAAGCCCTTCTCCGTTCTTCCCTCCTCTAGTAGTCTACAGTGTTTATTTTTCCCATGTTTATGTCCATGTGTGCTCAATGTTTAGCTCCCACTTATAAGTGAAAATATATGGTTCTTGGTTTTCTGTTCCTGTGTTAGTTCACTTAGGATTATGGCCTCCAGCTCCATCCATGTTGCTGCAAGTAACAGGATTTGATTCTTTTTTATAGCTGCATAATATGCCATGGTGTATATGTACCATATTTTCTTTATCTAGTCCACCACTGATGGATACCTAGGTTGATTCCAGGACTTTGCTATTCTCAATAGCACAGTGATGAACATAGAAGTACATGTGTCTTTTTGTATAATGATCTATTTTCCTTTGGGTATATACCTAGTAATGGGATTGTGGGGTTGAATGGTAGCTCTGTTTTAAGTTATTTGAGAAACCTCTAAACTGCTTGCCACAGTGGTTGAACTAACTTACATTCCCAAAAACAGTGTATAAGCACCCCCTTTTCTCTACAGCCTCACCAATATATCTTGTTTTTTTGACTTTTTAAAAATAGCCATTCTGACTGCTTTGAGATGGTATCTCACTGTGGTTTTGATTTGCATTTCTCTAATGATTAGTGACAGTGAGCATGTTTTCATATGTTTCTTGGCCACTTGTATGTCTTCTTTTGAGAAGTGTCTGTTAATGTCCTTTGCCCCTTTTTGAATGGGATTGTTTTTGCTTGCTTATTTTTTTTTTTTCAGTTTGAGAGCAGGTACTATTTATTAACTGACCAGCTTAGAAAAATAAAATGGGTGGTCTTTTTCTTCATTCCACCTTGTGGAGAAGATACTTTGAAGGGCCACAGGAAGTTATTTGCTTCTTTGAAGCATTTTCCAATAGTATAGATCTCATGAATCAGATCCTCCGTGCAGATGATGCCATATTTACCGAGAGATCAAGCAATCAAAGGGTTATCTGTCAAAGCAATTTGCTTCTTATTGATTTTGCCATAAGCACGCTTGTAGATTAGTTCATTTACTGACTTCATATTTGGGTACCCCCATGCAATATATGGTTCTATAGTCCACAGCATATTAATTGCAGCCTTGTTGAGCTTCGCAAAGGTTTCATTGAAGACTTGATGAAGGCAAAGAAACGGAAACATCTTTCGGACCTTTGGGCTAACACCATCGATACCTCTGATCCTGAGGACAAACGCCAGTTTGGGTTCTGAAGGTACATTAAAGTTGCCAGCTTTTCTTGCCATCCTCGCCATTCAAATTTCAGTTCTGTACATCTGCCTATATTCCTTGTGATAGTGCTTTGCTTTTTTGTAGATAAGCTTCCTTCTTGCCTTTTGAAGCATCCTTTGGGCAAACTTCTTTCTCAGGCACTTGATCTTCAGCTCTGTGAAATTCCTTCACTTTTTCCTAAGGGTTTCTGGCACAGCAGGAACCGTCTTCTTCTTCTCTTCTACACCATCCATGGTTCCAGCCAGAAAAGAGCTGCTTGTTGATTTAAGTCCCTTATAGATTCTGGCTATTAGACCTTGGCATATGCAAAGTTTGTGAATATTTTCTCCTATCGTGTAGGTTGTCTCTTTAGTAATAGTTTCTTTTGCTGTGCAGAAGCTCTTCTGTTTAATTAGGTCCCACTCATCAATTTTTGTTTATGTTGCAATTGCTTTTGGGGACTTAGCCAAAAATTCTTTGCCTAGACCAATATTGAAAAGTGCATTTCCTAGGTTTTCTTCTAGGATTTTTATAGTTTGAGATTTTCCATTTACATTTTTAATCCATCTTAGGTTAATTTTTGTATATGGTGAAAGGTAAGGGTCTAGTTTTATTCTTCTGCATATGGATAGCCAGTTATCCCAGCACCATTAATCAAATAGGAGTTCCTTTCCCCATTGCTTGTTTTTGTCAGCCTTGTCAAAGATCAGATGGTTGTAAATATGTGGCTGTATTTTTGAGTTTGCTACTCTGTTTCATGGATCTGTGTGTCTGTTTTTTATACCAGTTCCATGCTGTTTTGGTTACAGTAGCCCTATAATATCATTTGAAGTTGGGTAGCATGCTGTCTCCACATTTGTTCTTTGTGCTTAGGATTGCTTTGGCTATTTGGGTTCATTTTTGTTGTTATTCCATATGAATTTTAGAATATCTTTTTCTAATTTTGTGAAGAATGATGCTGGTAGTTTGATAGGTATAGCACTGAATCTGCAGATTCCTTTGGGCAGTATGTCCATTTTAATGATATTGATTCTTTCCATCCAGAGCATGGAATGTTTTTTCATTTATTTGATTTATTTCAGCAGTGTTTTGTAGTTATCCTTGTGGAGATCTTTCACCCCCTTAGTTAGCTATATTCCTAGGTATTTCATTTTCTTTGTGGCTGTTGTAAATGGGATTGTGTTCTCAATTTCACCCTCAGCATGGACATTATTGGTGTTTGGAAATGCTACTGATTTGTGTATATTGATTTTGTATCCTGAAACCTTATTAAAATCATTGATCTTTTATAGTAGCCTTTTGGGGAGTCTTTAGGGTTTTCTAGGTATAGAATCATATCGGCAGCAAAGAGAGAGAGTTTGATGTCTTCTTTTCCTATTTGTGTTTTATTTCTTTTTTTCTTGCCTGATTGCACTGGCTAGCACTTCCAGTACTATGTTGAATAACAGTAGTGAGAGTGGACATTGTTGTCTTATTCCAGTTATCAAGGGGAATGCTTCCAGTTTTTGCCTTTTCAGTATGATGTTGGCTGAGGGTTTGTTATATAGCTCTTACTATTTTGAGGTATGTTCCTTCAGTGCTTAGTTTGTTGAGGGTTTTTATCATAAAGACATTTTGGATTTAATCAAAAGCTTTTTCTGTATTTATTGAAGTAATCATATGGTTTTTGCTTTTAATTCTGTTAATGTGGTGAATCACATTTATTGATTTGCATATGTTGAACCAGCCTTGCATCCAAGGAATTAAAGCTTACTTGATTCTGGTATATTGACTTTTTAATGTGCTGCTGGATTCAGTTTGTTAGTATGTCATTGAGGATTTTTGTGTCATCAGGGATATTGGCCTAAACTTTTATTTTTTCACTGTGTTCCTGCCAGGCTTTGGTATTAGGCTGATGTTGGCTTCCTAAAATAAGTTAGGGAGGAGCCTCTCCTCTTCAATTTTTTGGAATAGTTTCAGTAGGATTGCTACCAGTTCTTCTTTGTACATCTGATAGAATTCATCTGTGAATCCATCTGTTCCAGGGCTATTTTTGGTTGGTAGGTTTTTTAAATTACTGATTTAATTTCAGAGTTTGATATTGGTCCATTCAGGGTTTCAATCTCTTCCTGAGTCAATCTTGACAGATTGTGTGATTCCAGAAATTTATTCATGTCCTCTAGATTTTCTAATTTGTGTGTATAGAGTTGTTCATAGTATTCTCTGAGGATATTTTGTATTTCTATGGGATCAGTTGTAAAGTCATTGCTGTCTTTTCTTATTGTACTTACTTGGATCTTCTCTTTTTTCATTGCTAATCTAGCTAGCCATATGTTAATCTTGTTTATTTTTTTGGAGAATGAATTCTTGTCTTCATTGATTTTTTCATATGGATTTTTGCATCTCAATTTCATTTGGTTCTTCTGTAATTATTGTTAGAGAGGAACTGCTAGCTTTAGGGTTGGTTTGTTCTTTTTTCTTCTAGTTCCTTTAGGTGCAATGTTCGATTGTTAATTTGAGATCTTTCTAACTTCTCAAAGGCATTTCCTCTTATACTGTTTTAGCTGCATTCCAGAGATGTTGGCATGTTTTGTTCCTAATTTCATTAATTTCAATGAATTTTTTAATCTCTGCCTTAATTTCAGTGCTTACACAGGAATTATTTGGGAGCAAATTGTTAAATTTCCATGTATTTGTGTAGTTTTGAGATATCTTTGGTTTTTGTTTTTATTGCACTGTGGTCCAAGAGTATGGTTGATATTATTTCAATTTTTTTGATTTTATTGAAGTTTGGTTTATGACTGTGCATGTGGTTCATCTTAGAATATGTTCTGTGTGCATATGGGAAGAATGTATATTCTGTCATTGTTGGGTGGAGTGTTCTGTAGATGTCTATTAGGTCTAATTGGTTAAGTGTTGCATTTGAGTCCATAGTTTCTTTGTAAGTTTTCTGCCTTGATCTGTCTAATGCTATCAGTGAGGTGTTGAAGTCTCCCACTATTGTTGTGTGGTTGTCTTAAGTCTTTTTGTGGGCCAAGAAGAACTTGTTTTATGAATCTGAGTGCCCCAATGTAAGTGTGTATATATTTTAGGATAGTTAAGTCTTCTTGTGTGCTTGTAGTCTTTATCATTATGTAATGCCCTTCTTTGCCCTTGTTATTTTATACTGGTTTAAAACTTATTTTATCTGATATAAGAATAACAATTCCTGCTATTTTTTTTGTTTGTTTGTTTTCTGTTTGCATGGTAAATGTTTCTCCATCTTTTTACTTTGAGCCTGTGGGTGTTGTTACATGTGAGATGGATCTTTTGAAGACAGCAAATGGTTGGGTCTTGTCTTCTTATTCAGCTTGCCACTTTATGCCTTTTAAGTGGGGTGTTCAGTTCATTTACATTCAGCGTTACTTTTGAAATGTGAGATTTTGATTCTGCCATTATGTCGTTAGCTGGTTGTTTTGTCAGCTTGATTGTGTGATTGCTTTATAGTGCCTGTGGCATATGTGCTTAAGTGTGTTTATGTGGTAGCAGGTGTTGTTATTTTGATTCCATGTTTAGCATGCCCTTAAGGACCTCTTGTAAGGCTGGTCTAATTGAAATGATTTCTCTCAGTGTTTGCTTGTCTGAGAAGGATTTTATTTCTATTTCACATTTCAAGCTTAGTTTGGCAGGATATGAAATCTTACTTGGAATTTCTTTTCTTTAGGAACACTAAACAGAGGTCCCCTGATTTCTTCTGGCTTTTAAGGTTTCTGCTGAGAAGTCTCCTGTTAGCCTGATGGGGTTTCCTCTGTAAGTGACTTGACTCTTCTCTCTAGCTGCCTTTAAGATTTTTTATTTTGTAGTGAATCTGATGACTATGTGCCTTAGGGATAGTCATATTGTATAGTATCTAGCCAGGGTCCTTTGTATTTCTTGGATTTGCATACCAACTTCTCCAAGAAGATTAGGGAAATTTTCGTGGACTGTATTCTCAAATATATTTTCCAAGTTGTTTATCTCTCTCCTCTCTCAGGAATGCCAGTGAATCATAGATTTGGTCTCTTTACAGAATCTCATATTTCTTGGAGTTTTTTTTATTTTTAAAAATTCTTTCTTCTTTATTTTTATCTGATTGGGTTGATTTGAAGAGCCAGTCTTTGAGCTGTGATTCTTTCCTCAGTTTGGTCTATTCTACTATTAATGCTTCTGATTGTATTACAAAATTCTTGTAGTGAATTTTTCAGCTCTAGAAGTTCAGTTTGGTTCTTTGTTAAAATTACTATTGTATCTTTCAGCTCTTGGATCATTTTACTGCATTCCTTGGATTGGGTTTCAACTTTCTCCTGAATCTTGATGAGCTTCCTTGCCATCCAGATTCTGAATTATATGTTTGTCATTTCATTCACATCCAACTGTTTTTGTTTGTTTGTTTGTTTGTTTTTATGAGATGGAGTCTCACTCTGTCGCCCAGGCTGGAATGCAGTGGTGCAATCTCAGCTCACTGCAAGCTCCTCCTCCTGGGTCCCAGATTCATGCCATTCTCCTGCCTCAGCCTCCCTAGTAGCTGGAACTACAGGTGCCCACCACCACGCCCAGCTAATTTTTTGTATTTTTAGTAGAGATGGGGTTTCACCGTGTTAGCCAGGATGGTCTCGATCTCCTGACCTCATGATCCACCCGCCTTGGCCTCCCAAAGTGCTGGGATTACAGACATGAGCCACCATGCCCGGCCTCCAGCTGTTTAAGAACCATTGTTGGGGAGCTAGTGAACTTATTTGGAGGGAAGGGGACACTGGCTTTTTGAATTGCCAGAGTTCTTACGCTGATTTTTTCTTATTTCGGAGGGTCGGTGTCCCTTTAACTGTGGTGTAAGTTGAGTATAGTCAGTTGGCTTCGTTTCTGGATGTTTTTAGTGGGTCAAGGCTCTGTGTGGGGTCTGTTTGTGGCTGAATTCTTGTCCTTAGTTTCACAGGGATGTATATTAGCAAAATATTTTTGGTGGTGTTGTTTGGACTGTGATCCAGTAGATGGCGCTTAAGGCCAATAGACTTAGTCTTGTGGCTCTTTTATAGTTTCTGACATTTGCAGCCCTGCTCTGTATTGCAGTGTGGAGAGAGGTGACCCCCTCAGCAGGTCCACTCCTAGGCCTCTGGAGAGTCCCCTCTGATCACTGGGACTGCACCTTCATTTCTTTTGTTGAATGTTAGGTGAGGGGCCACGGGGCTCTCTCTGGCAGAGGCAGTGGCAGAGATAAGCCACACCTTTCTCGGTGGGCCCTTCCGAGGGAGGCATGCACTGCTCCCACGGCAGTCCACAAGCCAGCCAGACTCACCCTTTTTTGTGCTCTGAGTGTGCACTGCTCTCCGGCTCCAGTGCTGGTCATAGATCTTGGCTCAGCACTCCCAAGCTTTGCACTGCAGCCCTGTGGTGAACTCAGGCTTTTTGTTCCCCCTTATATTGGGGGCAGCAGGAATGGGGACCGTAGTGGTTGGTATGGCAGAGGGACTGTCTGGGAACTCCACCCCAGAGAAATGCCTCTGGGAATTCCACCCCAGAGAAATGCAGAGCTGCTTCTGCCAGTTGGGATAATCAGCTGTGGGTGGGCAGCTGTGCTGTGGGCCCAAGCCAGGGACGCCTTGTCTGGCCAAGGGTGGGGCAGGGGTCAGGAGTTTACATGGAACACAGTCTGGCCTCTTCTCCATAGGACGGCTGTCGTGGTGTGCTGTCGGTGCAGGAAAGTAGTCAGGCTCTTGGTTTCCTCCCTAGCCTGTTGGGAGGAAGGGCAGGGACCAGGGCAGAAGCAATAGGAGAGGGCCTGCCAGTTGTCTCTAGGGACTTCCACCCCAGAGAAACACTGAACTGAAGTGATCAGGTGGGAGTGTGGTGGCTATGACTTGGGTTTTTATACCTAAAATTAAAAACTATACATGTGAAGGTCTGTGTGTACAAATATGTGTGTATGTAATATGTGTGAGGAGCAGTGAACCATATGGAAAACTGTCCAGCTGTCTTTTCATATGGTAGCTGCAGCATGTTGGAGGCTTGTGACTGTTCTCAGGCTCTTAGCTCCCTTCCCAGCCTCAGGGTAGCAGGGACTATAGAGGCAATCACAACGGGCCTGTCGGTTATCTCTGTGAGCTCCATCCCAGAGAAATGCAGGGCCAGAGTGCTTAGGTGTGGGTGGGATGACTACACTGGGGGCCCAGGCCAGTTGGCTGTTCCTGGTGAGGTGCAGCAGAGGTGAGGCCTGCAATCCGTGCACTCCTCAGCACTATGGATGCGGCCCCTACCCTAAGGGCACATGAGAGTGCCTGGCCTCTGTTGTTGGTGAGGCTAGGGAAGCTGGTGCTGGGGTGTTCAGGAGTCCAAGGCCTGTGGGGCTCAACCTGGGTTTGAGTGGGTAGTTCTGTTCAGACTCCAGGCAGCTCTCTGTGTTAGTTTGGAGTCCCAGAGGGATTGGGGGTTGGGAGGATTGCCCATACCCAAGATTGCAAAGATCCATGGCAGAAGTATGGGTCCCCAGGGGCTCTCACTCATTCACCCTTCCCTAGAGGTAGGGAGCCTCCCCTGGTTCTGCTGACAATCCTGGGTGGGCAGCTGTTCTGCCTCGCTCCTCTCTGCTCCTTGTGGGTTGCTGTTGCATCCTTTATGAATCTCAATGTGGCCTCCTGGATGATCCACTTGAAGAGCCTGTTTACTCACCACTCTGTTCTCTGTGAGAGCAGTGTGCACTAGCTACTTCTAGTAAGCCATCTTGGAACTTCCTTTGGGAATTAGTACATAAAAAAGGTTGTGACATTTCAGATCAATGTGCTGAATACTTGACTATGCAATTTTTTTTTTTTTTTGAGATGGAGTCTCGCTATGTCACTCAGGCTGGAGTGAAGTGGCGCGATCTCTACTCACTACAAGCTCCGCCTCCCAGGTTCATGCCATTCTCCTGCCTCGGCCTCCGGAGTAGCTGGGACTATAGGCACCCGCCACCACACCTGGCTAATTTTTTTGTATTTTTCGTAGAGACAGGGTTTCACTGTGTTAGCCAGGATGGTCTCGATCTCCTGATCTTGTGATCCGCTCGCCTCGGCCTCCCAAAGTGCTGGGATTACAGGCGTGAGCCACTGCACCTGGCTTGGCTGTGCAATTTTAAGAATGTAAATTTAGATTTTATTTTCTATTTCATATCACATATAAATTCCAGATGAATTAAGAATCTAAATAGAGTTCCTTTTGTAACTATAGAGATGTTACTATACTATAGAGATGTGGAAGTTTTTTTTATTTTTGGGTATAAATATTCAAGTCATAAAACATTGAAATAATGACATAAATGAGCGGCAGATTTGATTGCATAAAAGTACACTTCAGTTTTACAAAATGATATGTAAAGTTAAAATGATATGTAAAGTTAAAAGATGAAAAACAGATTAGAAGAAAATGGATACGAATATAGAAGACAAAGTGTTGGTGAACATGTGTCAAAATGGACTCTACTGGTGAGAATATAAATTGGTATACAAATTAAGAGATACACTCTTAATAATCCTAAATCTAGGACTCTATTTCATAGAAAAGTACCATGAGTATATTAATATACATTTTCTTTATAGCATACTTTAAAATGACAAAATATTAGAAATAATTAAATGTGCATTAATAGAGTAACGATTAGGTAAATTTTGGTATATCCATTCAATTGAAATACATACAACTATTAAAAAGAATGCAGTAGAACTATATGTGCTGATATGGAAAGATGCCTGTGATATATTTTAAAATGAGAAATGCAATTTGAAGAATTATCTGTGTAGCATTACCCGACCTCTACAAAAAGAAAACTGTACCTATGAAGGTCTATGTATACAAATATGTGTGTATGTAATCAATAATCTATCTGGATAATCATAGAAAAATTATGGAAGAGTGAATATTATACAGGCAACAGCAGTTACATATAGTTTTAAGGGATGAAGGTAGACATTTGTACTTGAAAATCACTTTCAAAGAATAATTAAGGGTGAGTAAATATACAGCCCTGACTCTGGTTATTTTTGTTTGGCCAGGTCAGAAGTGAGACAGTTGGATTAAAGAGCTGACTTCTTTCCTTTCACTCTTAACATTAATTTTCCCTTTCTACTGATTGATTCCAAGCCTCCCAGAGACTATTTCCATTTTACTTGTTCCCCTTCCTTGTGCTATAATCCCTAGCTTGGACCTATAATCCATTGCAATATGATGATCTTATTGAAGACTTTCTATGATTACACCGATAGATAATTATACACATATATTTGATGACTTACTCTGTATCTGCAAAGGCCAAACAGAACATCACAGACCAGAGTACCAGCTGCTTCAAAGATAAAATGGCAAATATATATTATAATATGATGTTATATATAATATATAATATACACACATATATTTATATATTTAATATCCTAATAGTCTTCATTTTTAAAGGACTTTACATAGTGATTTTACATGGACTATCTTAGTTGATTATTCCAGTAGTTCTGCCAGTTGGGAAAGGCAAGTATTCCTATTTTAAAAAGAGGCTTGGCATGGTTGGTGTCGTATTCAAGACAGTTGAGATAAGTGGTAGCAAGGAGTGAAAACTTAGATCTATGTATCTACTCAGAATGAGAGAATGACCAACAGGACATGAGATAACTCCAAAATTTGGGCAGAGCACTGGCTGGGAAACAGAAGCCTATGGCTTTGAACATTTCATTTTACCTCTTCAGATTTCTGCTTCACACTATTGTAAAAGATTAGTCAGGGTGGCAAACTCAAAAGTCTTTAAGGATTAGACAGGATTTTAAATGAGTGGAGCACAGAGTATAAAGTTATAAAGCAGTGGAAACTAGTAAACTACAGCTGATACGCGCCCTCTGAAGACTGATACTTAAAAAAAAATGTATTGTTGCTGCCAATTGAAGACATTCTGCTGGCCAGATCCAGCCTATGGGCTTCTGTTCTGGTTTGCAATTTCTAGGTTAGTTGATTTCTTTTCAACTCTAAAATTCTCTTATTCTTTTTATAACACAGAAAAGCGATTGAATGAGGGAGGCAATTGGTAGAGGATATTAAACTTATATAATGATATTCAAAAACTTTTTATTTGGAAGCATTTTAGTGATAAGCAATATACAGGAAGTTGCAAAGATAATAGAGAGCGGTCTCCTATATCCTTCACCCGGCTTCCCGAGTTAGTTACATCTTGCATAACTGTAGTATAATATCAAAACCAGGAAGTCGACATTGGTATGAAGTGTGTGTATAAATTCTATGTCATTTTTTCATATATATTAATATATTTGTATAGCCACCGCCACAGTCAAGATACAGAAATATTCCATTGCTGCAAAGATCTCTTCTTGTTACCTTTTGATAGTCACACCTACTTCTTTGCTTCCCCCCAATTCCTAAACCCTGGCAACAACTAATCTGTTTTCTGTCTCTATAATTTTGTCACTTCAAGAATGTTATATAATTGAAATCATATAGTAATTGACTTTTTGAGATTGTCTTTTGTTTGTCAGCATAATGCTCTTGATAGTCATCCAAGTCGTTATGGTTGTTAATTTTTCATTTCTTTTTATTGCCAAGTAGTATACCATGGTGTGGCTGACCCCTGTTTGTTTAACCATTCACCTGTTGTCAGACATTTTGGTACTTTCCAGTTTTTGGCTATTGCAAATTATGAGCAATTGTGTGCATGTTGTTGTGAGGACATAGTCTTCATTTCTCAAGGATAAATCCTTAGGAGTATGATTGCTGGGTGGTATGGTGAGTGTATATTTAGTTCCTTAAGAAACTGCCAAACTATTTTCCAAAGTGACTATACCATTTTCACACTCTTACAAAATGTTTCTTTGCATTCTTGCTAGCATTTAATATTGCTACTACTTTTTATTTCAACTGTTGGAATAGATATGTAGTGATATCATCATGGTCTTAATTTGCATTTCCCTAATGGCTAGTGATATTGAACATTTTTTCATGTGCTTATTTGTCGTCTGTATCTCCTTTTTGATGAAATATCTGTTTATGTCTTTTGCCCATTTCTAAGTGGGTTGTTTGTTTTTTTACTGTGAGTTTGGAGAAATTCGATTTGGCTTTATATTTTATAATGCTATTTTCTTTACTTTTCAGGTTTTTCTTATTTTTTAACCTAATAGGCAAGGTATTATTGAATTAATCATTTCCCTCATGTCGTAGAACATTATCATCATTGGTTGATGCAAGTCTTCTCTCATTTTATTTCTTTATTCCTTTTAATCCCTGTACTTTACTCTTATTCCTTTCTCCTTCTTATAAATCACAATTCTAATATATTAATATTATGTACATATATGTATGTATTCTTGCAAGTTTGTTTACACTTTGCATTTAATTGATGTCCTTTGAATTATATACCATGTTTCTATGTTTTTAAGGTTAATCTATATAGCTAAATGCTTTTTTAAACTTTTAATTTCAAACTAATTTTATACTTAGAGTTGCTAAGATAGTACTCTTTACATATATGTGTCACCAGCTTCCCCAATATAATCTTGTATAACTATGGTATGATTATCAGAACTAAGAAAGAGATATTGTATAATACAATTAACTGCAGATTTTATTCAGATTTCCCCAGCTTTTCTACCAATGTCCTTTTTGTGTCCCAGGATCTAATACAGGATACCACATTAAATTTAGTTGTCATATTTCCTTAGTCTCTTCTAATATGTGGTAATTCCTTGCTCTTTTCTTCTTTCATGACCTTGACAGTTTCAAAGAATACTAGCCAAGGAACGTCCCTCAATTTGGGTTTGTCTAGTGTTTTCCTATGTTTAGACTGAAGTTATGGATTTTTGGGAAGTTTACCACAGATATGATGTGCCTTTCTCTTTACATCATTTCAGAGGGTACATAATACCAGTATTTCTTCTTCTTAGTGATACTAATCTTGCTCTTTTAGTTACTGCGGTGTTTGCCAGGTTTTTTCTCTGTTAACTTACAATTTTCCCCTTTCTTTGACTATTCATTAGAAGCAAACAACTAAGCAACTGAGTAAGTATGCTCACTCTAAAGAGGATGGGAATTAAGCTTCACCCCATGAAACGAGGAGTATGGAGGGATTTCTGGACATATGTTAAAACCACCATAGTAATTAATAAGTATCTTGGGCAGAGATTGTTTGAAGCTATGAAAATATCCATGACCTCTTTAAACTTTTACCCACTAATTTAAGCATGCATTTGTGGACCTTGCCTGTAGCAATTATTATTGTGGTGTTCTAATGCTGATTTTCATTTATTTCATTCATTTTACCTTTATAATTTGAAATTCTTCTGTAAGAAAGAGTTAGTTGTCCTTTCTTGCTCATTTATTCATTTATCCAATTTTAAATTTTGTATCACTAAGGACTTAGGGATATTTATTTTATTCTTTAGGTAGTGATTCAATACTAATATTATTTATTTTGTTTCTCAAATCGTTCCAGCTTTGGTCATTGAGAATTCCTTCAGGTTGACACCTGTGTTTTTTAGATATGTCTCATTCTTATTGTTTTGAGCACCACCTGTCTTTCTAGCAACACAAGATGCTCCAGGCTCATCTATATTTTCCCCATCTTGATTTCCTTGGAATTAACTATTTCTCTAAAGATCCCTGGTTTCTTTTATTGTAGAATCATATTTATTTATTTTTATTTTATTTAGTTTATTTATTCTGAGTCAGGGTCTTGCCCTGTCACCCAGGCTGGAGTGCAGTGGTGCATTCATAGTTCACTTCAGCCTCCAACTCCTAGGCCCAAGCAGTTCTTCCACCTCAGCCTCCCAAGTAGCTGGGACTCTAGGCACATGGTTCTATGCCTAGTTTAAAAAAAAATTTTTTTTTTGTAGGAACAGGGTCTTGCTTTGTTGCCCTGTCTGGTCTTGAGCTCCTGGCTTCAAGTAATCTTCTGCATTGGCCTTCCAATGTGCTGGGATTACAGGCATAGGCCACCAGGCTCAGCCTAGAGAATGGTGTTTAGAGACCACTATCTGGATGTTAAATGTGCTTATTGCTGCTGGAGTGTCACTGCATCTTGGTTCTCTCATCGGACAAAGCTAGAAAGTATTGTACAGTCATGCACTGCATAATGACATTTCTGTCAATGATGGACTACATATATGATGGTTTATGAGAAAAATTCCTGCCTGAAAAATTCCTATCACGTAATGACATTGTAGCTGTCATAACATTGTAGCACAGTGCATTACTCATGTGTTTATAGTGATGCTGGTGTAAACATCATCTGTTGTGCTGCCACTTGTATAAAAGTATAGCTAGCACATAAAACTATATACAGCATATAATACTTGATAATGATAATAAATGATTATGTTACTGGTTTACGTGTATACTATGCTTAGTATTTTAAGCACACTCTTTCTAGTTATTAAAAGAAAACTAAGTGTAAAACAGCCTCAGGCAGGTCCTCCAGAAGGTATTCCAGAAGAAGGCATTGTTATCATAGGAGATGACAGCTCCATGCATTATTGCCCCTGAACACCTTCTAGTGAGACAAGATGTGGAGGTGGAAGACAGTGATATTGATGATCTTGATCCTGTGTAGGCCTAGGTAATATGTGTTCGTGTGTTTGTTTTTAACAAAAAGTTTAAAAAGTTAAATTAATAGAAAAACGTTTATAGAATAAGGATTTAACAACACATTTTTTGTATATTTTTTGTTCGTGTTTTAAGCTAAGTGCTATTACAAAAGCGTCCAAAAGTTAGAAAAATGTAAAAGTTTATAAAGTAAAAACGTTAAAGAAAGCTACGGTTAATTTGTTATTGAAGAGAGAAATACTTTAACAAATAAATTTAGTGTACCCTAAGTGTACAGTGTTTATAAACTCTACAGTAGTGTACAATAATGTCCTAGCTCTTCACATCTACTCACCACTCACTCACTGACACACTCAGGGAAACTTATGGTTCTGCAAGTTCCATTTGTGATAAATGCTCTATAAAGGTACACCATTTTAAAAAATCTTTTATACCATATTTTTACTGTATCTTTTCTATGTTTAGATATGCTTATATATACTCACAATTACCATGTGTTAGAATTGCCTATAGTTTTCAGTACAATAACATGCTGTTCAGGTTTGTAGCCTAGGAGCATAGCCTAGGTGTGTAGGAGGCTATAACATCTAGATTTGTGTAAATACACTCAATGACATTTACACAACAAAATCACCTAACTATGCATTTCTCAGAACATATCCCTTTGTTAAGTGATGCATGAGTGTATGTTTACTAACGTATATATATATACACACATGTGTCTGTTTTTCTATATCTGTGTATTTATGTCTCTGTGTACACGTATCATGTAATACAGGTAGAATCATTTGTCACAGTTTGCATTTCATCTTCCTCTGACATTGTGGTGAATTAAAAAAATTAGAAACAATAAGCTTTACTCTTGGTGGTGTACAGTTCTATGGGTTTGATGAATTTAGACAGTCATGTATCCACCCCCGCTATAGAACAGTTCTATTATTCACTAAATTTCCTCATGGTACCTGTTGATAGTTTATCTTTCCTTCACTCCAACCCATGGCAGCCACAGATCTGTTTTTTATCCTCATAGTTTGCCTTTTTCCAACGTCATATAAATGGAATCATACAATACATAGGTTTGTATATATACAATACAACCAGGCTTTTGGATCTGGTTTCTTTCATTTAACAAAATACATTTATTATTTATCTATGTTGTTGCATAAATCATAGTTTGTTCCTTTTAATTGTTGAATAATATTCTATTATACGGAAGTGCCACCCTTTGTTTACTCAGGCATCTATTGAATTGCATTGGGGATCATTTTCAGTTTTTGCAGTCATGAATAAAGTTGCTAAACATATGCACATATAGGTTTTTGGTGAGCATGTTAAAACTTCACTTGCATTTGATTCACTCTACTTTGGAGTGCAGAGTGAGATTTCCAGGTCAAATGTAAGTGTGTGTTTATAGGAAACTGCCACACTGTTTTCCAAACTGACTGTACCATTTGCATTTCTACCAGGAGTGTATAAGGATTTTGGTTAGTCTTTGTCCTTTATAGCGCCTGCTGTTGTTGCTGTTGTTGGTTTTTTGTGTTTTTTTTTTTTTGAGACGGAGTCTCTGTCACTCAGGCTGGAGTGCAGTGAGTGGCGCCATCTTGGCTTACTGCAAGCTTCACCTCCTGGGTTCACGCTATTCTCCTGCCTCAGCCTCCTGAATAGCTGGGACTATGGGCGCCTACCACCATGCTTGGCTAATTTTTTTGTATTTTTAGTAGAGATGAGGTTTCACCGTGTTAGCCAGGATGGTCTCGATCTCCTGACCTTGTGATATGCCCGCCTCAGCCTCCCAAAGTGCTGGGATTACAGGTGTAAGCCACTGCGCCTGGCCTGTTACTGGTTTTTTAATGCTTTTCTAATAGGTATATAGTACTGTATCATTGTTTTGATTTGTGTGTCCCTAATGACTGTTGTTGAATGTCATGTCATATGCTTATTTGCCATCTGTATATCTTTTTTGGCAAAGTGTCTATTCATACTTTGGATTTTAACTTAGAAATCATATTTTGCCTTCTTTTAAAATAAATAATTTTTTTGAAGAAAAATTAGAAAATACAAATAATCTCCCCCCAAAAGGAAATAGAAAACATTTCACCACCCAGTAATAACCATATTGTTACATATCTTTCTAGACCTTTTTCTATTTGTAAATAAGAAATATATATGTATCTAATCAAATGCACATTCTGTCTATTGTTTTCTACATACCTTTTTGAAACTTCAGTGTTGTAGTAGCTGGAAGAATGTCACCCCTCTCCTCCATTCCCAATATCCATGTCCTAATTTCTGGAAATCTGTGAATATGTTAACTTACATGGCAAAGGGGAATTTAAGTTGTAGATGAAATTAAGGTTTCTAGTCAGTTGACCTTAAAATACAGAGATTATTTTGGATTGTCTAGGTAGATCCAGTGTAATCACAAGGATCCTTAAAAGTGGAGGACCTAGGCAGAAGAGCAAATGTGAGAGATTAGATGTGATATGAGAAGGACTTGACTTGTTGCTGGCTTTGAGGATGGAGGAAGTGGCTTATGAGCCAAGGAGTGTGGACAGCTTCTAGACACTGGAAAAGGAAAAGAAATAGACTCTCCCTTAGAGCTTCCAGAATGGAATGCAGCCTTCCCAATACCTTGATTTTAGCCCACTGAAATCCATTTCATACTTTTCCATTTATATAAGACCAGTTTGTATTGTTTAAGCCATGAAGTTTGTGGTAATTTGTTATAGCAGCAATAGAAAACTGAAACAAGTGTCAAGATAATTTTTCTACATCAATATGTTCATCCGCTATAGGTTTTAAAAAAATTATAAAAGCAGAGGCATAAATAAATATTAAAATAGATAACATGGGTTTGAAAGGGATGGGGCAGGGAGTAAGTGGGGATCCTGGGTTACTTCAGTGGAATCCTTAGTGTTTCATGGAATTCGTGTTGAAGATTATTGATTTTTAATGATTGGATGATGGTATGATTTTCTGATTTTCATGTACTCATAGTTTCTTATTTGACGATTTTTTTTCTTTCCACCCCTTCTTTAAGCAGTGGGTGAACAGAGGGGACATCATGATCTCAGGAAGTAATTGCCAATTGAAGACATTTTCTAAATATTGCCCTATGTGCAAATGTGTGTCTGCTGAATCTAGATACAACAGCTGTTTCTCACCTTCTTACTGATGTCCTCCAAACATTCAGCAGGATCTGTAAAAAACGCCTTTCAATGTCATATTTATGATGTGGCAAGTGGAGATTGAGATTATTGTGCTTATATTTAAGCGAGATATATGTGGTGTGATTGATGTAGACATTCAAACTAAAACTAAAAGCCTAGGTTGATTCATGCATATTTTGTGAATGTTGGGATTTCTCTCATGCTTAATAAGGTAGCAGAAATCCCAGGAACAAAAATCCCTAATAGCTTGCCATATTTGAACTTGGCTGGTATTTTCTATATAAACGTAAAAAGTGCTGAGCCAGTTCCTTTTTGATTGCTAATATTTCACATTTACCTTAGAGATGGACTTACTGACTTAACTGTTTATCAATGTGGTTGAGGACTTTCACAGTCTTTCCTGCTGTGTCTTCCAATATTACACTGTAGATAACCCAAATATTATCAAAACTGGTTGTTTTCTGTTTCCCATAACTAGTTGTATCTTTTCCTTTACTCAACTTTGAATTCCTCCCACTACTTAGAATTCTCTCCAATCATACCTCCATTTTAGTGTACTGAAAGTTCAAGCATTTTAAAAATCCAGGCTCAAATTCTATCCCTTATATGAAATGTTTTCTTATTCCCTCTGAATAGGAAGAAATGTGTCTATCTCATAGAGAGGACTGTGCTGTGTATTATGGAAATTTGAGTATTCACTAACTCCTTGAGATAGGGAATTTCTGATTCTTTTCATTCCTCTAGGACCTAGTAAAAATTTTAGTTTCAGGGGATAATGCATAGGGTTATATGAGATTAATATTAGAGTAGAAAAACTAAGACTATGGACATGGTACCCCACATAGAAAATTCTTCACATTAAACATTTTTTTAATTTTAAATTTTGTGGGTACATGGTAGGTATATGTATTTTTGGGGTACATGAGATGTTTTGGTATGGCATGCAAGGTGAAATAAGCACATCTTGGAGAATGTGGTATCCGTCCCCTCAAGCATTCAGCCTTTGTGTTACAAACAATCCTATTATACTCTTAGTTATTTTAAAATGTACAGTTGAATTACTATTGACTATAGAAACCTGTTGTGCTATCACATACTAGGGTTTGTTTATTCTTTCTATTTATTTTGGACCCATTAACCATTTCCTCCTTCTTCCTGCCCTCACCACCTCACTACTCTTTTCAGCCTCTGGTAACCATCTTTCTACTCTCTCTGTCCATTAAGTCCAATTGTTTTGATTTTTGGATTCCACAAATAAGTGAGAACATGCGATGTTTGTCTTCTGTGCCTGTCTTATTTCACTTAACATAATGATCTTCATTTCATCCGTGTTATTGCAGATGACTAGATCTCAGTCTTTTTATAGCTGAATGGTACTCCATTGTATATATATGTACTACATTTTCTTTATCCATTCATCACTTAGGTTGCTTCCAAATCTTGGCTATTGTGAATAGTACTGCAACAAACTTGGGAGTGCAGATGACTCTTTGATACACTGATTTTTTTTCTTTGGGGTATATAGCCAGCAGTGGGATTGCCGGATTGTATGATAGCTCTATTTTTAGTTTTTTGAGGAACCTCCAAACTGTTCTGCTTAGTGGTTGTACTAACTTACATTTCCACCAATAGGGTACAAGGTTTCCCTTTTCTCTGCATTCTTATCAGCATGTGTTATTGCCTTATGGCTAAAAGCCATTTTGACTGGGGCGAGATTATATCTCATTGTAGTTTTCATTTGTATTTCTCTGATGATCAATTATGTTGAGCACTTTTTCATATGCCTGTATGCCATTTGTATATCTTCTTTTCAGAAATGTCTGTTCAAATATTTTGCCCATTTTTGATTGGATTTGTGGGCAGCAAGCCACCCAGGTGCCGAGGCAAGAGACCAAGGACATGAGCTGTTCCAGTATAATAAAATATAAAACAAGAATAGTTATACCAGATATAGATCTTAGATACGATTATATGCGAATATCATTAATCATTAGTTGGTAGTAATTACTCTTTATCCCAATATTATAATAATCCTCGCTCTATAATCATAACCTAGGAAAAACCAGGCCATACAGAGATAGGAGCTGAGGGGATGCAGTGAGAAGTGACCAGAAGACAAGAGTGCGAGCCTTCTGTTATGCCCAGACAGGGCCACCAGAAGGGCTCCTTGGTCTAGCGGTGACACCAGTGTCTGGGAAGATGCCCGTTGCCAGGCAGACCGTGGTCTAGTGGTAGCGAAAAGTGTCAAGGAACAACATCCGCTACTTAGCAGACTGGGAAAGGGAGTCTCCTTTTCCCCCGGGGGAGTTTAGAGAAGACTCTGCTCCTCCACCTCTTGTGGAGGGCCTGATATTAGTCAGGCTTGCCCGCAGTTATCCGGAGGCCTAACCGTCTCCCTGTGATGCTGTGCTTCAACGGTCACACTCCTAGTCCGCCTTCATGTTCCATCCTGTACACCTGGCTCTGCCTTCTAGATAGCAGCAGAAAATTAGTGAAAGTACTAAAAGTCTCTGATATGCTGAAATAATGGTGTAAGCTGTCTTTCTCTTTGTCTCCTCTCTCTCTCTGCCTTGGCTGCAAGGCAGGGAAGGGCCCCCTGTCCAGTGGACACGTGACCCACGTGACCTTACCTATCATTGGAGATGACTCACACTCTTTACCCTGCCCCTTTTGCTTTGTATCCAATAAATAACAGCGCAGCCAGACATTTGGGGCCACTACCGGTCTCTGCGCATTGGTGGTAGTGGTCCCCCGGGCCCAGCTGGCTTTTCTTTTATCTCTTTGTCTTGAGTCTTTATTTCTACACTCTCTCGTCACCGCACATGGGGAGAGACCCACCGACCCTGTGGGGCTGGTCCCTGCATGGATTATTATATTTTTCCTATAGAGTTGTTTGAGCTCCTTATATCTTCTGGTTATAATCTCTTGTCAGATGGATAGTTTGCAAATATTGTCTCCCATTCTGTTGTTTGTCTCTTCACTTTATTGATTGTATCCTTTGCTGTGCAGAATCTTTTTAACTTGATGTGATCCCATTTGTCCGTTTCTTCTTTGGTTGCCTATACTTGTAAGGTATTGCTCAAGAAATCTTTGCCCAGACCAATGTGCTAGAGATTTTCCCCTATCTTTTCTTGTAGTAGTTTAATAGTTTGAGGTCTTAGATTTAAGTCTTTAATCCATTTTGATTTGATTTTTATATATGGTGAGAAGGACCTAGTTTCCTTTTTCTGCATATGGACATTCACTTTTCTCAGCACCATTTATTGAAGAGACCGTCTTTCCCCCAGTGTATGTTCTTGGCACTTTTGTCAAAAATGAGTTCACTGTAGGTATGTAGATTGTTTCTGGGTTCTCCATTCTGTTCCATTGATCTATGCGTCTGTTTTTAATGATAGTATATTGCTGTTTTGGTTACTGTATCACTGTAGTATAATTTGCAGTCAGGTAATGTGATTTCTCCAATTTTATTCTTTTTGCTTAGGATAGCTTTGCCTATTGTAGGTCTTTTGTGGTTCTATATACATTTTAGGATTGTTTTTTCTATTTCTGTGAAGAATGTCATTGGTATTGTGATAGGGATTGCATAGAATCTATAAATTGCTTTGGGCAGTATGAACATTTTAACAATATTGATTCTTCTGATCCATAAATATGGAATATTTTTCCATTCTTTGATGACCTCTTCAATTTCTTTCATCAGTGTTTTGTAATTTTTATTACATTTATCTTTCACTTCTTTGGTTAATTCCTAGGTATTTATTTGTGGCTATTGTAAATGGGATTACTTTTTAAATTTCTTTTTCCCATTTTTCACTGTTGACATATAGAAAATACTACTCATTTTTGTATGTTGATTTTGTGTCCTGCAACCATACTGAATTTATTAGTTCCAATAATATATTTTAGTGGAGTCTTTAGTTTTTTCCAAATATAAGATCATGTCCTCTGCAAACAAATATAACTTGACTTCTTCCTTTCCAATTTGACTGCCCTTTACATCTTTGTCTGGTTGCTCTAGCTAGGACTTCCAGTACTATGTTTAATAACAGTGGTGACAGTGGTTATCATTGTCATGTTCCAAATCTTAGAGGAAAGGCTTTCAGTCTTTTCTTGTTCAGTATGATACTAGCTGTGGGTCTGGTGTATGTGGCTTTTATTACATTGAGGTATGTTCCTTCCCCAGTTTTTTGAGGGTTTGTATTATGAAGGGATGGTAAATTTTCAATTAATTTTCAACATCAATTGAAATGATCATGTGGTTTTTATCCTTCATTTTGTTGATATGATGTATCATATTGGATGATTTGCATATGTTGAAACATCCTTGCATCCCAGGGATAAATTCCACTTGATCATGATGAATGATCTTTCTGATGTATTGTTGAGTTTGGTTTACTAGTATTTTGTTGAAGATTTTTGCATCAGTATTCATCAGAGATATTGGCCCGTAGTGGTGGTGGTGGTGGTGGTGGTGGTGGTGGTGGTGGTAGTGGTGGTGGTGGTGTTTGTCATGTGTCTTTGTCTGATTTTGTTATCAGGGTAATCCTGGCCTCATAGAATGAGTTTTGAAGTATTCCTTCCTTTCCTATTTTTCAGAATAGTTTGAATAGGATTGGTTTTAATTCTTCCTTAAATGTTTTGTAGAATTCATCAGTGAAGCCATCAGGCCCCAGGCTTTTCTTTAGTGGGAAACTTTTTATTACAACTTTGATCTTGTTATTTGTTGTTGGTCTGTTCAAGTTTTGGATTTCTTCTTGATTCAGTCTTGGTAGGTTGTGTCTAGGAATTTGTCCAGTTCTAGATTTTCCAATTTATTGGTATATAGTTACTCATAGTAGCCACTAATGATCCTTTGGATTTCTGCAGTATCACTTGTAATGTCTTTTTTTTTTTTATTTCTGATTTTCTTTATTTGGATCTTCTCTCCTTTTTTGTCAGTCTGACTAAAGGTTTGTCAATTTTGTTTAACTTTTCAAAAAAACAACTTTTGGTTTCATTGATCTTTTGTATATTTTTTCATTTCAATTTCATTTATTTCTGCTTTGATCTTTATTATTTATTTTCTTCTACTATTTTTGGGTTTAGTTTGTTCTTGCTTTTCTAGATACTTAAGATGCATTATTAGATTTTTCATTTGAAGTTTTTTTCTTGTGTGATGTAAGCACTTATAGCCATAAAATTCCCATAGTACTTCCTTTGCTGTATCCCACAGGTTTTGGTATTTTGTGTTTTCATTATCATTTGTTTTCAAGAAAATTTTAAATTTTATTCTTAATTTCTTTACTGACCCATTGATCATTCAGGAGCATATTGTTTAATTTCCATGTATTTATACAGTTTCCAAAATTATTCTTCTCCTTAATTTCTAGTTTTATTCTATTGTGGTCAGGGAAGATACTTGATACTATTTCAATTTTCTGAATGTTTTAAGACTTGTTTTGTGACCTAACCTATGGTTTATCCTTGTGAATTATCCATGTGCTGAGGAAAATAATGCGTATTCTGCAGCTGTTGAATAAAATGTTCTGTAAATATCTCAGATCCATTTGATCTGTAGTGCAGATTAGTTCTGATGTTTCTTTATGGATTTTCTGTCTGGAATATCTGTCCAATGCTGAAAGTGTGGTGTCGAAGTTTCCAGCTATTATTGTATTGAGGACTCTCTCTCCCTTTACCTCTAATATTAACCTTTTTGTACTTATATATCTAGGTGCTCCAGTGTTGGGTGCATATATATTTAAAATTTTTATGTTCTCTTGCTAAATTGACCCCTTAATCATTATATAGTACTTTATTTGTCTCTGATAGTTTTTCTCCTGACATCTGTCTGATAAAGTATAGTGACTCCTGCTTTTTATTGGTTTCCACTGGCATGGAATATCTTTTTCCATCCCTTTATTTTTAGTCAATTTGTGTGTTCATAGGTGAGGTGTGTTTCTTGTAGGCAGCAGATCAATGGTTCTTATTTTCTCATCCATTCAGCCAGTGTATGTTTTTTTGATTGGAGAGGTTAGTTCATTTACATTAAATATTATTATTGATAAATAAGAACTTACTCCTGCCATTTTGTTATGTGTTTTCTGGTTGTTTTGTGGTGTTCTCTTCCTTCTTTTTTTTCCTTCCTGTGTTCCTCTAGTGAAGGCAATTTTCTCCGCTCACATGATTTAGTTTCTTGCTTTTTATTATTTTGTATCCATTGTACGTTTTTTGGTTTGAGGGTAACCTGAGGCTTGCAAATACTATTTTATAACCTATTATTTTAACCTGATAATTTTTTTTTAACTTTTCTTTTAGGTTTGGGGCTACATGTGAAGGTTTGTTACATAGGTAAATACATGTCACAAGGGTTTTTTGTACATATTATTTCATCACCCAATGTTATTTCATCACCCAGGTATTAAGCCCAGTACACAACAGTTATCTTTTCTGCTCCTCTCTCCTCTCCCTCTTCCTACCCTCCCCACTCAGGTATACCCAGTGTCTGTTGTTTCCTTCTTTGTGTTCATAAATTCTTATAATTTAGCTCCCACTTATAAGTGAGAACATGTGGTATTCAGTTTTTTGTTCCTGTGTTAGTTTGCTAGGGATTGTAGCCTCCAGCTCTATCCATGTTCCTGCAAAATACATGATCTTGTTCTTTTTTTATGGCTGTGTAGTATTCCATGGTGTATATGTACCACATTTTCTTTATTCAATCTGTCATTGATGGGCATTTAGGTTGATTCCATGTCCTTGCTATTGTGAATAATGCTGCAATGAACATTTGCATGCATGTGTGTTTATGGTAGAATGATTCATATTCCTCTGGGTATATACCCAGTAATGGGATTGCTGGATTGAATGATAGTTCTGCTTTTAGCTCTTTGAGGAATTGTCACACTGCTTTGCACAATGGTTGACCTAATTAACATTCCTACCTTAACACTATTTGCATAAACAAACAAAGGA
This sequence comes from Homo sapiens, assembly GCF_000001405.40. Lineage (NCBI taxonomy): Eukaryota > Metazoa > Chordata > Mammalia > Primates > Hominidae > Homo > Homo sapiens. The sequence goes on along the minus strand of NC_000010.11, from coordinate 99,025,216 downwards.
GCAAAAAGAAAACCAATAAAAACTCTACACCTTAACTTCATCTCTCTGCTTCTTAGCTTTTTGTTGTTTCTATTTATGTCTTATTGTACTATGTCTTGAAAAGTTGTTGTAGTTATTATTTTTTATTGGTTCATTGTTTAGTTTTTCTACTTAGGATAAGAGGAGTTTACACACTACAGTTACCATGTTATAATATTCTGTGTTTTTCTGTGTACTTACTATTATCAGTGATTATTTATTGCTTTCTGTGATTATTTATTGCTCATTAATGTCCTTTTCTTTCTGATTGAAGAACTTCCTTTAGCATTTCTTGTAGGATAGGCCTGGCATTGGTGAAATCCCTCAGCTTTTGTTTGTGTGGGAAAGTCTTTATCTCTCCTTCGTGTTTCAAGGATACATTACTAGACATAATATTTATTCTAGGGTAAATGTTTATTTTCTTCAGCACTTTAAATATGTCTTGCCATTCTCTTCTGGCCTGTAAGGTTTCCACTGAAAAGCCTGCTATTAGACATGTCGTATATTATTTGTTTCTTTTTTCTTGCTGCTTTTAGGGTCCCTTCTTTATCCTTGACCTTTGGGAGTTTGATTATTAAATGCCTTGAGGTAGTCTTCTTTGGGTTAAATCTGCTTGGTGTTCTATAACCTTTTTGTACTTGGATATTGATATCTTTTTCTAGGCTTGGGAAGTTCTGTGTTATTATCCCTTTGAGTAAACTTCCTACCCCTATCACTTCTCTGCTTCCTCTTTAAGGCCAATAACTCTTAGTTTTGCCCTTTTGAGGCTATATTTTATTTTATTATTTGTGCATCCATTGCATGTTTTTTGGTTTGAGGATACCCCGAGGGTTGCAAATACGATTTTATAACCTATCTAGATCTTGTAGGTGTGCTTCATTGTTTTTTATTCCTTTTTCTTTTGTCTCCTCTGTGTATTTTTAAATAGCCTGTCTTCAAGCTATTTCTTATGCTTGATCAGTTCTGCTATTAAAGGACTCTGATGCATTCTTCAGTATACCAATTGCATTTTTCAGCTCCAGAATTTCTTCTTAGTTGTTTTTAATTATTTCAATCTCTTTGTTAAATGTATCTGATAGAATTCTGAATTCCTTCTCTGGGTTATCTTGAATTTCTTTGAGTTTCCTCACACAGCGATTTTGAATTCTCTTTCTGAAAGATCACATATCTCTGTTTCTCCAGAATTGGTCAGCAGCACCTTATTTAGTTTATTTGGTGAGGTCATGTCTTCCTGGGTGGTGTTGATGCTTATAGATGTTCTTTGGTGTGTGCACAGTGAAGAGTTAGTTATTTATTGTGTTCTTCACTATCTGGACTTATTTGTAGCTGTCCTTCTTGGGAAGGCTTTCCAGATATTTGAAAGGACTTGGGTGTTGTGATCTAAGCTGTATCTGCTTTTGGGGGCACCCCAAACCCAGTAACACTGTGGTTCTTGTTGACTCATAGAGGAACTGCCTTCATGGTCTTAGACTAGATCTTGAAGAATTCACTGGATTATCAGGCAGAGACTCTTGTTCTTTTCCCTTATTTTCTCTCAGAGTCTCTCTCTCTGTTCTGAGCAACATAAAGCTGGAGCTGGAGTGACACAAGCACCTCTGTTGCCACCATTACTATGACTGTGCTGGGTCAGTCCTGAAGCCAGCATAGCACTGAGTCTTGCCCAAAGCCTGTTATATCCACTCCCTGGCTACTCCTATGTTCATGCAAGGGCCCTGGAGCTCTACAATCAGCAAGTGGCAATGTCAGCCAGGCCTGTATTCTTCTTTTCAGGTCGGTGATGTCCCCCAGTCCCAGCTAGGTCCAGAAGTGCCATCCTGGAGTTAGGGACTAGAGTCAAAAACCTTAGAAGTCTACCTAGTGTTCTATTGTACTGTGGCTGACATGGCACTCAGACTACAAGATGCAGTTCTTCCCACTCTTTCCTCCCATTTCCAAAGACAGAGGAGCCTCACCCCATAGCCACCGCCACCCCAGGCCACAAGGAATACTGCCAGACTTTTGCTGATGTTCCCTTAAGACCCACGGGCTCTTAAGTCAGTATGTGGTGAATGCTGCCTGGCCCAGGACTCACCCTTCAGGGCATTAGTTTCTCCTCTAGCCTAAGGCAGGTCCAGAAATGGCCAAGAGTCAAGTCCTGGAATCAGGGACCCCAAGAGCCCACTTAGTGCTCTATCCCACTGTGGTTGTGCTGGTACCTAAGGTGCAAGACAAAGCCGCCTTTACTTTTCCCTCTGTTTTTCTCAAGCAGAGGGTGTTTTACCTTGTAGCCAGCACAGGTGGTAATGTGGTACATCTTACCTGAAGCCAGCAAGTCTCAGAGGCTCACCCAAGGCCCTTGATTATAGTACCTGGCTATCGCTGCTAGTTATTCAGGGCCCAAAGGCTCTTCAGTTAGCAGGTAATGAATGCTGCCAGGGCTGGGTATTTTTCTTCAAGGCAGGGGAATCTCTACTGGCCCAGAATGTGTCTAGAAATGTCATCTGGAAGTAGGGCCTGAAACGTGGACCTCATGACTCTGATCAGTGCCTATCCTGCTGTGGCTGAGCAGGTATCCAAGATGCAAGACAAAGTCTTCCCTACTCTTTCTTTTCTCCTCAAGTGGAAGGAAGGGATCTCTTACGGAGCCTTGAGCTGTGCAGCCTGGGGTTAGGGGAAGAGTCGTGCAAGCACTTCCTTGTCTTCTCCAGCTTGTGTCTCAGTATGTCACATGCCCCCTCAGTCCACTGTGTCTGGGCCTAGTTTAACACTAGGATTTGCCTAAGAGTTGCAGTCCTTATGGCCTAGACTGCCTTTCAAGTTTATTTGGAGACACAGAGTGCTGTAGCCCTCCCTGGCAAGGTTTGCAGGCACTCAAGTTCAGACAGCTGGGATTGGTGATTCCCTTCTGGCTAGGTCTAGTTTAAATGCTCCCTCCGTGGGTGGGCATCAGCTGAGTTTGGTCCAGTTTTCTTTTCTTCTTTATCAGGATGGCACTGAGTTCAATTTCTCAGAATTTCTGTGTTCTTCCTCCCCTAGTGCCCAGAGAAACTCTCTGCACCAAGCTGCCACTGCTGGTAGGCAGAGAAGGGGTGGTGTCAGAGATTCAGGCTGTATTTTCTATCTCTTCAGTGCCTCTTTCAGTGATATTAAGTTAAAACCAGGTTGTGGGGTGGGGGGAGGGGGGAGGGATAGCATTAGGAGATATACCTAATGTAAATGACGAGTTAATGGGTGCAGCACACCAACATGGCACATGTATACATATGTAACAAACCTGCATGTTGTGCACATGTACCCTAAAACTTAAAGTATAATAATAATAATAAAAAAACAGGTACAATGAGTGCCTCCCTGATTTTTGGTTCTCATGAAGGTGTTGGGGTTTTTTTTTTTTTTTGGTGTAGATAGTCATTAACTTGGTGTTCTTCCTTCATATATAACTGTGTGAGGAGGTGATGTCTGCAGCTGCTGTAGCCATCTTGCTATTATTAAGGCACAAGCCTGAGGACAAAAGCCAATGTTCTAAGGACATCAGAGAAGAAATTGGAAAGGACTTGCATTATACCACTAAGCTACTCAATTAATCAATCCTTAAAACACCTTACTTTGTCTTCTCTTTTTATGTATTACATTTATGTATTTTTTTTTTCTTATTTGCTGTTGTGTCATAATTAATTTAGAGTAGGACCCTTAGCGAGACGCTCTATATCTTGTCTTGCCTAAACCATCAAGCAGGCAATAAATATGGTGACCAGGAACATGAGCTTTGAAGTGAATCAGATTTATATTTAAATCCCGGCTCTGGTCTTTTATAAGATGAGTAACCTTGGATGAATTATTTAACCTTGCTGATCTCTTTTTTTCTCATCTATGAAATAAGAGTAATAATTTTAGCTGTTTTACAGTGTTATTAGGGTTAATAATGCATTCACACCCTTCACATAGTATCTCTTACATACTAAGTGCTCAATAAACTCTTATTATTAATGTTTATAAGTGCAGATTGATGCCATTGTCCACACCATTTATGCATTAAGTAAATATTGATTAGGGACCTAGTTTGTAGGTTGAGTGTTAAAGACAGCATGCTTCTCTCCTATGGAGACAGGTGTGTAAACTGTAAAGCTTTTAATGGAGGGATCAGATAATTTCGAGTTCTTTACTGCTGTGTCTTCCAAGACCTGGAAAGGAATAAATGGACCATCTTGTCCTGCTACTTTAACTTTGGAGATAATGCTTCAGAAAGCCCTGTCTCTACTCTCGTAACCAATAAATATCATCCTCTGCCATAGTTTTCCAGAACATATCCATGGCCTGTGTGTTCCCTGGCCCTGTAAGTTGGCCGGCTCACCATTTTCAGGTAGTATTTATGAAAAAGCTGGTGGTGATTTTAGAAAATCACCTAGAATGTCTCCCTTCACCTGTCCCCAGGTACATCTCTTTTTCACTGTGGGTAGGGATCATGAAAGGCTAGGTGGACACTGCTGTATTTCTTGTACTAGCATAGTCTTGTGTGTTCTTCACAAAAGTTTAGAAGACCTCCATTATGACATTCACCACCCTCCCTCAACACATACACTTGCATACACACTGCCCTTCCCTCAGGTAAACCTCAGCAAAGAGCAAAGCATTTTAAACTTGCAAAAGGAGGTAAAAAACTTGGAAAGTCCTGCTCTGGAGAAGCTGCTATGAGACTGCCTTGGAAAGGGAATGTCAGATCATCTTTCAGTCCAGGGAAAGCACACTGAAATGCACTAGGATACAGAGTAAAAGAGAACTGGGCTGGGAGCCAGGAGACCAGTATTCCATAACAGACTTATGATGGGACCTTAGAAAGTCACTTCACCTTTCTATGTCTGTTTACTCATCTCCAGTTAACAACTATACATTCGTTGAATAGTTATTTAATTTATTTAATAATTATAAGTAGTTTATGAATTATATATTTATTTCAATAATTACCTATTTGATTATTTAATTAAATATCTCCAGATCAGAGACTACGTCTGGTTCTATTTGGTATTGTAACCACTAGTATAATGCCTGATGTAGAGTAAGTGCTCAATAAGTAATTATGAAAAATTTATGACTGAAGAAATGAATCTGATAGGAATGAGCTCTGGGAGAGGATCCTGAAGGTCCCTTCCTATTATATAAATAAAGGGAAAGTTATGTTTCCTCACATCCTCTTTAGTATAAAACTGAATAGGCTCGGTGCGGTGGCTCACACCTGTAATCCCAGCACTTTGGGAGGCTGAGGTGGGCAGATGACTTGAGGTCAGGAGTTTGAGACCAGCCTGGCCAGCATGGTGAAACCCCATCTCTACTAAAAATACAAAAATTAGCCAGGCATGGTGGTGCATGCCCGTAATCTCAGCTACTAGGGAAGCTGACGGGGGAGAGAATTGCTTGAATCTGGGGGGCAGAGGTTGCAGTGAGCCAAGATTGCACCACTGCACTCCAGCCTGGGGGACAGAGTGAGACTCCATCTCAAAAAAAAAAACAACAAAAAACTAAATAGTGCTTCTTTGAAAAGGAATACACCTGCCGTTGTATTTGAGAGGGGGAAAACCACCTGAAGAAACTGGAAGCACTAGAATGAACTTTTGAGGAAAATCTGGCTATTTTGACTCTACAAGAGTGTATTTGGCAAAGCCTGAAGGTATATACATGTATGTACTTATCTTAAAAACCAAGGTAGAATCATATAAAGGTAAGACCATTACCTTGGACTATTTAGTGTCAATCAGAAATAAGAGAAAGTCCAATTCTTCATGTGTTGAAATAAATTTGGGGGCTTCCATAAAGGGTTGTAGGGAAACTAAAGAATTCTGCAGGAGAAATTAACTCCCATATAGTGAGATGCCTCTGATGCAGAGGACATCTTGAAGTAATATGCAACACTTGATGACACCTCTTCAACACTTAGTAAATCTGACCTTTCCTTTCATCTGTCGTTATGCTGAATCACATGGCCCAGCAAGCAGCTAACACATTGCAACCAAACTTCACAATTGCAGGCTGGGAACATGTGCTTCCTTACATTGATTAGTGATATTACCAGTGTTTAAGCCCATTTCCTGTCACCTTGGAGGATGGAGGTTACTTGACAGGAAGTCATTCTGCTGTCATCCAGCAGGGCTGCCAATGAATTCTTTAAACTTGTCAATGAGTAGAAACGCAGCCGGCTTTACTCTGGCTTAAAGCTTTTGCATATGTTGAGTATGCATTTAGTACATCATGGAAGCACCTAGTTTTGATACTAATGGAATGTGCATTTCTTTGAAATTTCTAAATTCCCAAAGCTTTAGGCAAATGCTGACATGAAAACTGTTTTAGTTAAAAATGAGCTTACTTTATGCTTAAAGGGTCATTTTGCATTAGCTGTGTCTTCGAGTCGATTTTGAAAAATCACCTCTTTGAGGAGTGGGCAAAAAAGGAGTCCCAAGAGGTAGTCCATTTCCTTTAATAAATTCAAGCAACTTTTTCTTTGTATTGAAGATATTATTTGTCATACATTTTCCTTGTCATATTGAGCATTCCCAGACCATCATTTAAAACAGATTGGTAATTTGGCCCTTAATTTTGGCACCTGTACATCTTTTAAAGCTCTGGGCTGTGTTTGGAAACTTTACTACTCTGTAAGTTAATACCCTTTTAGGGCCTAAACACTACCATTAACAGCAAATTGGCCTCTCAGGATGCTGGATAGAACCATATTTCATATTTATTTGTTTAATCTTTATTAGCCAAAGGTTGTCCAACAGCTCTAAGGGAGTGATTTGCCCATGAGGCTTGGAAGCATGTTTAAATCTTTCCCTATAACTTCAGGATTGGGAGAGAATACTTGAGGCTGCTTGTAATTCCAACTGCTCTTTCTAGGCAGCCTTGAAAACCCAGCCGTAAACTACTCCCATTCCCTGGCCTTTAGGCCTAGTAAGTCTAGATTTTCATACTAGAGGAGACCACAAAGATCATGTGGTCAAAACCCCTTATTTTATAGGTGGGTAAGCTGAAGTCCAAAGTGGGGAAGTGATTAAGCTGCTAGAGTTTTAAGTTATTTCTCTTCCCAGGGGATATTTGCTTTGTAATAGAAGTCTTCTAACAAAATCTTCAAGAATCAAGGGAACAGATTCCTACTGATGAGGTTTCATGAACTGTTAGGTGGTAAGGAGCTATTCAGAGACAGGGAAGCTCTTAAGTAGGTACATATTGCTTTTACTTTTCCTCTTTATTATTACTAAACCCTCCTCTGCTAGGGTAGTAAAAGTTTTTAAGGTTAAAGAGGCTTCAAGAAGCTTCCTTCCATATCATGTCAGAGTATCTTTATTTCAGGACAGTGCCTAAGCATGGTGCCTGGCATGAAGTAGGTGTTCAAAAATGTGTATTGAAAGCATATATCAGAGTCACTTTAAAAATGTCAACATAAGGAAAAGTAATATTCTTTTGAAGAAAGAGCATTATTCTTAGGAGTAAAGAGTCCCAACTCCTAATGGTAGCCACGTCAAGTAACAGGCTTTGAAATTGAGGTAGTAATAAATAGGCTATCAACCAAAAAAAGCTCAGGAGTAGACAGATTCACAGCCGATTTCTACCAGACATACAAAGAAGAACTGGTACTAATTCTACAGAAACTATTTCAAAAAATTGAGGAGGAGGGACTCCTCCCTAACTCATTCTATAAGGCCGGCATCATCCTAATACCAAAACCTGGCAGAGATCCAACAAAAAAAGACAACTTAAGGGCAATATCCTTGATGAACATTGATGCAAAAATCCTCAACAAAATACTGGCAAACCGAATTCAGCAGCATATCAAAAAGCTTATTCACCACTTGATAGTAGGCTTCATCCCTGGGATGCAAGGTTGGTGCAACATACACAAATCAATAAACATGACTCACCACATAAACAGAACTGAAGACAAAACCACATGATTATCTCAATAGATGCAGAAAAGGATTTCCATACAATTCAACATCCATTCATGTTAAAAACTCAATAAACTAGGTATCGAAGGAACATACCTCAAAATAATAAGAGCTATGTGTGACAAACCCATAGCCATCATCATACTGAATGGGCAAAATCTAGAAGCATTCCACTTGAAAACTGGCACAAGACAGGATAGTCTCTCTCACCACTCCTACTCAATATAGTATTGAAAGTTCTGGCCAGGACAATCAGGCAAGAAAAAGAAATAAAAGGCATGCAAATAGGAAGAGAGGAAGTCAAACTATCCTTGTTTAAAGATGACATGATTCTATATCTAGAAATTTCCAGTCTCAGCCCAAAAGCTTCTTAAGAAGATAAACAACTTCAGCAAAGTCCCAGGATACAAAATAAATATGCAAAAATCACTAGCATTCCTACATCAATAACAGTCAAGCTGAGAGCCAAGTCAGGAATGAACTCACATTCGCAATTGCCACACACACACACACAAAATACCTAAGAATGCAGCTAACTAGGGAGGTAAAAATCTCTATAAGGAGAACTACAAACCACTGCTCAAAGAAATCAGAGATGACACAAACAAATGGAAAAAGATTCCATGCTCATGGATAGGAAGAATCAATATGGTTAAAATGGCCATATTGCCGAAAGCAATTTATAGATTCAGTGTTATGCCTATTAAACTACCATTGACATTGTTCACAGAACTAGAAAAAAAAACTATTTTAAAATTCATATGGAACCAAAAAAGAGCCTGAATACCCAAGGCAACCCTAAGCAGAAAGAACAAGGCTGAAGGACTACCTGACTTCAAACTATACCACAGGACTACAGTAACCAAAACATCATGGTACTGGTACAAAAACAGACACATAGACCAGTAGAACCAAATACAGAACTTGGAAATAAGACCACACACCTACAACTGTCTGATCTTCGACAAACCTGATAAAAATAAGCAATGGGGAAAGGATTCCCTATTCAATAAATGGTGCTGGGATAAATGACTAGCAATATGCAGAAGATTAAAACTGGAACCTTTCCTTATACCATATATAAAAATTAAGATGGATTAAAGGCTTAAATGCAACACTCAAAACTTTAAAATCCCTGGAAGGCAACCTAGACAATACAATTTGGGACATAGGCACAGGCAAAGATTTCATGATGAAGATGCCAAAAGCAATTGCAACTAAAGCAAAAATTGACAAATGGGATCTGATTAAACTAAAGAGCTTCTGCACAGCAAAAGAAACTATTAACAGAGTAAATAGCCTACAGAATGGTAGAACATTTTTGCAAACTATGCATCCAACAAAGGTCAACTATCCAGCATCTACAAGGAACTTAAGCAAATTTATAGGAAAAAAACAAGCCCATAAAAAAGTGGGCAAAGGAAGTGAACAGAAACTTTTTTTTTAGTTTTTATCTATTTATTTATTTTAATTATACTTTAAGTTTTAGGGTACATGTGCACAACGTGCAGGTTAGTTACATATGTATACATGTGCCATGTTGGTGTGCTGCACCCATTAACTCGTCCTTTAACATTAGGTATATCTCCTAATGCTATCCCTCCCCTCTCCCCCCACCCCACAACAGGCCCCGGTGTTTGATGTTCCCCTTCCTGTGTCCATGTGTTCTCATTGTTCAATTCCCACCTATGAGTGAGAACATGCAGTGTTTGGTTTTTTGTCCTTGTGATAGTTTGCTGAGAATGATGGTTTCCAGCTTCATCCATGTCCCTACAAAGGACACGAACTCATTATTTTTTATGGCTGCATAGTATTCCATGGTGTATATGTGCCACATTTTCTTAATCCAGTCTATCATTGTTGGACATTTGGTTTCGTTCCAAGTCTTTTCTGTTGTGAATAGTGCCACAATAAACATACGTGTGCATGTGTCTTTATAGCAGCATGATTTATAATCCTTTGGATATATACCCAGTAATGGGATGGCTGGGTCAAATGGTATTTCTAGTTCTAGATCCCTGAGGAATCGCCACACTGACTTCCACAATGGTTGAACTAGTTGACAGTCCCACCAACAGTGTAAAAGTGTTCCTATTTCTCCACATCCTCTCCAGCACCTGTTGTTTCCTGACTTTTTAATGATTGCCATTCTAACTGGTGTGAGATGGTATCTCATTGTGGTTTTGATTTGCATTTCTCTGATGGCCAGTGATGATGAGCCTTTTTTCATGTGTCTTTTGGCTGCATAAATGTCTTCTTTTGAGAAGCATCTGTTCATATCCTTCGCCCACTTTTTGATGGGGTTGTTTTTTTCTTGTAAATTTGTTTGAGTTCATTGTAGATTCTGGATATTAGCCCTTTGTCAGATGAGTAGATTGCAAAAATTTTCTCCCATTCTGTAGGTTGGCTGTTCGCTCTGATGGTAGTTTCTTTTGCTGTGCAGAAGCTCTTGAGTTTAATTAGATCCCATTTGTCAATTTTGTCTTTTGTTGCCATTGCTTTTGGTGTTTTAGACATGAAGTCCTTGCCCATGTTTAAAAGAAGACATACATGCAACCGACAGTCGTGAAGAAAAGCTCAACATCACCAATCACTAGAGAAACGCATATCAAAACCACGAGATACCATCTCACACCAGTTAGAATGACGATTATTAAAAAGTCAAAAAATAACATATGCTGGTGAGGTTGTGGAGAAAACGGAACACTTATACACTGTTTGTGGGGGTGTAAATAGTTCAACCATTGTGAAAAACAGTGTGGCGATTCCTCAGAGACCTAAAGACAGAAATACCTTTCAACCCAGCAATCCCATTACTGAGTATATACCCAAAGGAATACAAAGCATTCTATTATGAAGACACATGCATGCACATGTTCATTGCAACACTATTCACAATAGCAAAGACATGGAATCAACCTAAGTGGCCATGAATGATACACTGGATAAAGAAAACATCATACATATACACCATGGAATGCAGCCATAAAAAGAATGAGATCATGTCCTTTGCAGGGACATGGATGGAGCTGGAGGCCATTATCCTTAGCAAACTAACACATGAATGGGGAGGACGGTGGCTTGCGAGGCTCGTTGCAGACAACTTGGTGGCAATGTCCACGAGCCAGGTGAGTGTGTGGCAGTAGCAGGGACTCGCGTGTGGCAGGGTGACCTGGGTTTTGGCCTCCCTCTGGTTCTCTGGAAGTGGGCCAGCAACCAGGGCGGGAGCAGCTGCAGAGGCAGAGGCTCCAGTGTGTCTCTCTCTGCCACCCCCTTAGCCTGAGCCAGGGAGGCCAGGCGGTCTGGGTGTCTGGAGGCAGGGTCCACTGCCCGAGAATGGGAATTCTCTTCACCAGGATATGGAGACTGTTCAATCACCAGGAGCACAAAAGTATCATTATTGGGCTGGATAGTGCAGGGAAAACTACCATCCTTTAACAGTTTTCTGTGAATGAAGTTGTACATACATCTCCTACAATAGGAAGTAATGTAAAAGAGATAGTGATTAATAATACATGTTTCCAGCTGGTAGCTCACGCCTGTAATCCCAGCGCTTTGGGAGGCTGAGGTGGGTGGATCACCTGAGGTCAGGAGTTTGAGACCAGCCCAGCCAACATGGTGAAGGCCCGTCTCTACTAAAAATACAAAAATTAGGTGGGCATGGTGGCACGCACCTGTAATACCAGCTACTCGGGAGGCTGAGACAGGAGAATTGCTTGAACCTGGGAGGCGGAGGTTGCAGTGAGCTGTGATCGTGCCAGTACACTCCAGCCTGGGTGACAAAGCAAGACTGTATCTCAAATAATAATAATAATCATAATCATAATAATATACATTTCCTAATGGAGGATATTGGTGGCCAAGAATCTCTTCGTTCTTCCTGAAACACTTACTATACTAACACAGAGTCTGTATAGTTGCTGTGAACAGTACAGACAGAGAGAGGATTTCTGTAACTAGAGAACTCTATAAAATGTTAGCACATGAGGACCTAAGAAAAGCTGGGTTACTGATTTTTGCTAATAAACAAGATGTTAAAAAATGCATAACTGTAGCAGAAATCTCCCAGTTTGTGAAGCTAACATCTATTAAAGATCACCAGTGGCATATCCAGGCATGCTGTTCTCTAACTGGTGAGGGATTGTGCCAAGGACTTGAATGGTTAATGTCACGACTTAAGATTAGATTATCTCTACTGACCTCTTCTCATAGACTTTGTATAAATGAAGTGCTAAACTTTACCTGAAAGCTGCAGCAATTAAAGATTTAGATATATTTATAATCAACTGATTTAAACTTTTTCTATGAGAAGAAAAAGTAAGACCACTTATTTGAAAACAAAGATGAAGTCTCACCTTCCAATCTGCTTTCTCATTAGTTTTTTCCAAAGTAAGTTATTAAAGCTGTGAATCACATTTTTCTCATAATGAATCCTCTCAGGACATTGTGTAGCCCCTGGTAAGTACAAAGGGAGAGGAAGACATTTTGAATTTTGAGAGCTTTATTATCAGTATAACCCTCCCTAGTTGAGTGTTATTCTCTTCTTGGTCCGTTAAGTCAAAATACAAATCAGCACAGATATTCAGTTTCCAGTATTTTAAAATATGTTACATATGGGAAGTATTTTGCATAAGGTTGTATATGTATTGTGTATATACCTCAAGTTCAAGTTAATGGCTTTGATTTAAGTTCTAAAGAAAAGCAAATAACACAAATATTAATAATATCCTTAGGTATAACCATAATGAGATAAGTACTGGCATTGGTGTTAGGTGCCATTTTATACTTTCTCCCTATATTCTCTGTATTGTATTAACCAACCCTCCAAATCATTGAGCTGCTTGTTAAAAAAAAAAAGGAAAAGGAAAAAGCATGATATTGTGTATCTATTTTTTGTTGTTGACCAATCACACAGATGGAAACATAATTCAACAGAATGTGATAGCGATCAGATTCTTGGCTTAGTATTACTAATGGGCAGGATTGTACAATGAGTAATTATCAGATTATTACTTTCAATGGTTCTTATGGCATCTAAATTACTGAATAAATTTTTAATCCATTAATCAGTCTATCATAAATTGTGATTAAAATTATCAAATGAATTATCTGCATTAATTGGAAACTGTTGTGTGAAACATGTCTACTCAGAGAAATAATATTCTATAAATATTATAAAATAATTTAGCTATATTATTTTTAAGTATTAAATTATATGTCAAGCAGTTAAAGTGAATTTCAAAGTAAAAGTAAGGTATGTTTTCTGAACAACATTGATAATTCTTTAATTTGCAAAGTTCTTTTTTATTTTAGGACTGAGAATATAGTGTGAGATTTTTTATTTATGTAAAATTTGTTGTATCTTCTGTAATATAAATACATTGTTTGAGAATTATAAAATGCAAGCATTTTTGAATGCTTTTAAGAATTTCTTTTAAAGATTGATTGATACAATGTATTATTTGTACAAAGAAGTAACTTGACCCAAAATACTCTTTATGCTTGCTTAGAGCATTTTTTTTTTTTTTTTTTTTGAGATGGAGTCTTGCTCTGTCGCCAGGCTGGAGTGCAGTGGCATGATGTCAGCTCACTGCAACCCCTGCCTCTTGGGTTCAAGCAATTCTCCTGCCTCAGTCTCCCGAGTAGCTGGGACTACCAGCACATGCCACCATGCCTGGCTAATTTTTGTATTTTTAGTAGAGATGGGGTTTCACGACGTTGGCTAGGATGGTCTCTATCTCTTGACGTCGTGATCTGCCTGCCTCAGCCTCCCAAAGTGCTGGGATTACAGGCTTGAGCCACCACGCCCAGCCTGTATATCTTTCATGGCTTGAAAATCTGAAGGTTAATCCAAACTGATACGTTTTAGCATATTTAAGAAAAAAAAACTAAATTTCAGCCTTTTAAATTTCAAGAAGATTTTATTGAATAATAGTACATACTATAAGTATTGATCCAACTTTGAAAGTTCCTTTCTGTAAAATGTGAAATACTCAATATCTAAATCTAGATCAGGCATAGGAGATCAGTATTTAACATTGGATGTTTTGTGTTTCATATTTATAATGTTCAAAATGCAAGCATAACATTTAATATTTGTCTACATGGTTTTACAAAAGTAAATCCTAAATTACCACCCCACCAAAAAAAAACCTAACACAGGAACAGAAAACTAAATACCACATGTTCTCATTTACAAATGGGAACTAAATGATGAGAACACATGGACACATAGAGAGGAACACAACACACATTGGGGCCTACAGAGGGGTTGAAGGGTGGGAGGAGGGAGAGGATCAGGAAATATAACTGATGGGTACTAGGTTTAATACCTGGGTGATGAAATAATCTGTACAGCAAACCCCCATGACACAAGTTTAAATATGTGACAAACCTGCACATGTACCCCTGAACTTAACAGTTAAAAAAAAAGACTGATGATTACCGACTTGTCAGTGTTCTGAAATTGTGCAATTAATATTCATCCTCAAGAGAATTTTGTGTCTATTCTCGAGTATTTGACTAATATTTTATTGATTCTTGGCTGGTAAGGGCTAGGATGGGAAAGGAATCCTAGATTCTTAGAGTTAGATGGCTTCTCAGAGGTTATCTGAGCTAATCTACTACCTTGATTTCCCTTTTCAGTAAAGCTGCCAAATTGTTAACCAGGTTTTGCTTAAGCACTTCCAGAATAGGTTGGCCTCTCATACCATGAAGTTGCCCAGTCATCTTTGAATTTACTTAAGAAGTTATGCCTCTAAAAACAAGTTCTTATCTTTATCTATATACTGCCTCTCTTAAAATTTCTGCCCATTTATGGTAATTCTGATCTCTGGAATCAATAGGAGTCAAGTAAATCCCTCTTTCACAAGGCTGCAATTCATGAGCCTGCTTTTTCCCAAGCTCAGGAAAGTATATCATTAACATTATTATTGCTTCTAGGCAAAGGTGAAGATTCTCAAACAGGCTGATTTCATGGTCATTTTTCCCCAAGTATGTTTTATTTACCTTTTATAATGTTTTATGCTAAAGGATTTTCAAAGATAAAAAAATAGAAAATAAACACATTTAATTTACTTCAGGTCTTTTGGCTTTCCAAAACAATGATTGCTACAAGTTTCATTTGATGTCCTCTTTAAGCACAGTAAATCATCTCATTCCTTAAAGAATCTCACTGAGTTTTAGATTATTGGTTTATTGGAGAACAGCTGTGGTCACAACAGAGCGGATTCTAAGGGTCTGCTGTTAGGAATTAAACTAGCTAATTGTTCCCAAACAATGGTCTGTAAATGAATTTCAGTCTATGAAGCTTTTAGCAACTTGGGACAAAATAAGAACCAAGTGACAAGTTTTTATGAAACTAAATTTATTTAATTTTTAAGTTCCAAGTTTATGTCCTTCCTACGTTTTTGTTATTGAAGTTATGAAATGATGTTGATAATTAATGGTAGTTGCTATTTTAAATGTCTTTGTTTTGCAAAAGCAAATGACTATGAAAAAAATGAGCAACTCTATTTTGGTGCCCTGATATTTTTCTTTTTGAAATATTACTGGTCCTGAAATCCCTAAGTATGTGAATCACTGGCTTAGATGCTGTTTGTCTCCTCCCAGGGTTAACATTTCTATAGTCTATGAATTGTGGTTTAATCAGACTTGGACATGAAACCCCTATGGAAACCAGGTGCTACAGGAACTGAAGTTTGGAATTCTACAAGAAACTGGCTGCCTTTTCCCTCTGGTCCACTGTTGAATCAGTACTTCCAGATGGTGGCAAGGAAATGTGGCTGCCAGTAGTAACCCGGCTCTGGAGGGAGACTGAATGCTATCCCTGATGTTCAGTCCTGCTTTTTGTTTGTTTGTTTGTTTTTTGAGACTGGATCTCAGTCTGTCATCCAGGCAGGAGTGCAGTGGTGCAGTAATAGCTCATTGCAGCCTCAAACTCCTGGGCTCATGCAATTCACCCACCTCAGCCTCCTGAGTAGCTAGGCCTACAGGGCATGTACCAGCATGCCTGGCAATGTTTTTTTTTTTTTTTTTTTTTTTTTTTTGTAGACACTGGGCCTTGTTATGTTGCCCAGGCTGGTTGTGAACCCCTGGCTTCTAGCGATCCTCCTACCTCAGCTTTCCAGAGTGCTGGGATTATAGTTGAGCCACTGTGTCTGGCCTCAGTTCTCTTTTAATAGCCTTCAGAACATTTCTAAAAGCTTTTGCACTGAAAAACTACATAATTGAACCAAAAATGCAGATTTTCATAATTCCCCTCAACTGTTGCAAAGTTTTTGGTTCAAACTTGACACAGCAGCAGGAACTTTCAGGTTGAAGTTATGAAAGTGGTTTCAGTTAATAGTAAATTGCAATTCTACAATAATGGATGTTTTTAGAAATAGGACTGAACTCTGTTGTGACAATAAAGGGATCATTTAAGAAAAGCTTATCAAAACTATCTTCAGGGGTGCTTCATTTTATTTCCATTTTAGTCCCTATATACATTTCAGTCCCTTAAGCACTGAGTCTGGCTGCTTTAGAATTGAAACAGATGGACTTGAGGGTTTCTGTATCTAATTTTACAGTAGCATATCTCTCGATTATTGACACATTAAACGCAATATATTTCTAGTTTAGAAATCTGATGCTAATTGGCTTTGGAATATTTTGTTTAAAAACATTTTCCAAATGGGGCTGTGAATTGTTCAGTTTCTTTATTCAGGATTAAAGAAAGCATTAATTCTGCCAGGAAAAGATTGTCCAGTGGGGCAGAAACATTAGAGCCTTGGAGTTTACCTGTCAATCTTGTATTTTCATGTCCTTTGTCTAGAAACAAGCCTACAAGCTAATTGACTTCTGTTTCTTTCCTTTTGGCCTCTCATTTTTCTGAACATAAAGACTCAAGTTAAAACAAAGATAAAATTCCAGGGGAAGCTGGCGTTGATCAAGGTTTGGATTAAATTAAATTAAGTGCTTTTTATTGAACTCAGCAGTATTAGTTATTAAAACCAGAAGGCTTTATCCTTGCTAGTGTAAAAAAAGAAAACAATGACTCATGCTGGGGCACAGATTTTATTGGGAAGTTAAAGCACTCGTTTTCTCTTATTCCATTAAAACTTTTGCAGATAAACACATGTAAACAAGATCAGGAGATGGAAAGCAGTGAGGAGTCAGTCCTTCTGGGCTCTGGTGCTCTATGGGTTCTAGCCTTCAGCTGCAAGAACTTAGAGGAAAAATCTTATCTGGGAAGAAAGCAAGAAGTCATACTAGGATTTTCTTTTTGGACTGCCTAAGTCAGTTGAATTGCCAAAGTGCTTCTCTTTTTCTTGAGTGACTTGGAATTATGCATACAGGGCATGGGGAGAGGGTGGCAGCATCATGTAGCATAAAAAGCATTAGCCAGGAAGTTGGACCCTGAATCTCCGCTTTAGGTCCACTGCTTACAGACTGGTTGGACCTGGGTAAGGAACTTAACCTCACTGCTCCTGCTTTCTCAGATGTGAAATAAGGGGCTAGACTCTAAAGGCCCTGCTCCCATTTTGTCATCTGTTTCTGTTTTGTGTTATGACTGTAGGAGACCATCATGACCTTCAGTAAATATGGCAATTAGACTGGATTCAGAAAACTATGGCCTCCAGGCAAAATCTGGCCTGCCATCTCTTATTTATATATATTTTAATTAACTAAAGTCCAGATTGATGTCAGCAAGATGGCAGAATATGACTTTCCAGTGATTGTCCTCTGCAAAAACATCACTTTGAACAACTATTCATGCATGAAAATTCCTTTACATCAGCAACAGAAGCCAGGTGAGAGATTTCAGCACTTAAGTATAGCACAGAAATAAGAAGGGGCACATTGAAGAGGGTAGGAAAGACAGTTTTACATCACCTGCATCTCTCCTCCTTCAACTCCAGGCAGCAAAGTGTGGAGATAGATACTCTCTCCTTGGGGGAGGGTCAGGGAAGTGAGCATCGGATGCTGCCTGGGACCCCAACACTAGCCCTATCCCAGTAAAACCCAGTGCCACACAAGCCCTCACAGCCCCAGACTCCAGGCTGGTATGTGTGGACTCAATGTCTAGGCTCATCTTGGTGTCAGACCAGATCCTGAAGCTCTACACTCCAGGTCTACCCGGAGGACTTGTTCTATGTGCTACCCTACACCAGGTTGATCCCCACAGTGCTAGGCTCCAGGCCACCCCCAGCAGTGGGCTAGTGTCAATAATCCCAGGCTTCAGGCCTGCCCCAGCACCAGATTGGCCTCTAAAGCCCTGGTCTTCAGGCCAATACCTGTGGACACAGCCTCCAGGCTGGCTTCTGCAGAAACAGGCTCCAGACCCACCTAGCCCCAGGCCAGCTCTGGAAGCCCCAGGCTCCATACTAGTACCTGTAAATTGAGCTTCCAAGCCCACCCTGGCACAAAACAGAATCCTGCAGCCCTTGGCTCCAGGCCTGACTTGCACACTAGGACTTGTGGCTGCCCCGATACCAGGCCTACCCCAGCAGCCCCAGGCCTGAGACTGGTACCAGCACTGAGCTGGCCTCAATGGCCCTGGGTTTCAGGCATGACATAGCACCAGGCCAACCTCTACAGACTTGGGCTGTAGGTTCAACCCTGCATGAGGCCATCCCCTGAAGCCCTAGTCATCAAGCTGGTACCTATAGACCAAACCACCAAGCTGGACATCACAGATATAGGTTCTAGGCCCACCCAGTGCCAGGCCAGCTTCTGGGACCCCAGGCTTCAGTTCTGCCCTAGATTTTGGAGCCTGGAGCCATGATAGCCCATGACTGCCAAAGCCAGGATGGTTGCAGCCCCTTTTCAGGCTTTAATCTCACTCTAGCACCAGGTCATAGCCTCTGGCATCAGATACAAGGCAAGATCCTGTGGATATAGGCTCTGGGCCTGCTCAGTGCCAGACTTGTCCCTGTGGTGCCATCCTCCAGGGCAGTCCTTGTGGCCACAAGGTCCAACAGATCCAGGGTCCAGGCCTGCTCCAACAGACTCTGGTTCTAGACTGGTCCCCATGGATCAAGACTCTAGGACCACCTTATAGATCCAGAACCCAGGCTCACCCTTGTGTCCCATCCCCACTCTAGTTCCAAGCCAGCTCCTGTGGACTCAGTTCCCAGGACCATCCCAGCACCTGGCTGACCCCTGCAGACTTGGGCTCAGAGACCACCCCAGTGCCAGATCAGTTCATGTGGATACAGGCTTCAGGGAAGCCCCTGGAAAAATAGGTTCTAGGCCTACCCTCTGTGACCTAGGCTCCAGGTCTCCTCCTGAGGAACCAATCAACAGGTCCACTCTGGTGTGTTTAGGCCCTAGGCTTAACCCCGTGGAACCAGGTTCCAGGCCCACCCACCTGCTGACCCAGTTACGAGGCTACATGTCCAAAGACTCCAGCAGTAAACCCACCTATGGACAACTTACTCAGAATGCCAGACAACTTACTCAGAATCTCTGGATGGACTGAAAAGGAAGGGCTCTCCCATACAAAGCCAGTCAGCAAAAACTAGAGTGAATTCCAACTTCTTTCCATGTGCAAGCTTCAATGTAAGATAAGAGGAAACATGACAAACCAAGGAGATATAACACTACCAAAAGAGTACAATAATCTCCCAGTAGCTAACCCTCAAAGAAATAGAGATTATGAACTGCCTAAAAAACAGTTCAAGATGATTGTCTTAAGGAAGCCCAGCAAAATTAAAGAAAATACAGAAAAAAATTGTATGAAATCAGGAAAATAGTAAACTACCAAAGTGAGGAATTTAACAGAGAGATTGAAATTGTTTTTAAAAGTCAAACAGAAATTCTGGAGCTGAAAGACACAATGAATGAAGTGAAAAATGCAATAGAAAGCATCAGTAGCAGCATTGATCAAGCAGAAGAATGAATCTGTGAACTTGAAGACAGATTATTTGAAAATATGTAGTCGAATGATAAAAATTAAAAAGAAAAGGAGTGAAGAAAACTTACAGAATTTATGGGACAATGTAAAAAGAGCAAATGTCTGAGTTATAGGATTTCAAGAAGAGAAAGACAAATGGGGTAAAAAGCTTACTGAAAGAAATAGTAACAGAAAACTTTTCAAATCTGGGAAAACACATAAAGATCCAGAGATCTAGGTAAAAGAAGGTCAAAGGTATTCAATCAAATTCAGTTCACACAAGATTATGCCAAGACATATTATAATAAAACTGTTAAAAATCAAAGACAAAGAGAAGATCCTGAAAGCAACAAGGAAAAAGAAGCAGATCACATATAAGGGAGTTCCAATAAGGCTATCAGTGGACTTCTGAGCAGAAACTTTATAGGCAGGAGATAGTGGAATGGTATATTCAAAGTACTAAAGGAAAAAAGAAACCCTGCCAACCAAGAGTACTGTATTCAGCAAAGCTGTCCTTCAGAAATGAAGGCAAGATCAAGACTTTCTCAGACAAATAAAAGCTGAGGGAGTTCATCACCACCAGACCCGTCTTATACAACATACTAAAGGTAGTTCTTCAAGTTGAAAGGAAAGCACACTAATTAGTGATACAAAAACTTATGAAGGTATAAAACTCACTAGTAAAAGTAAGTACACAGTCAAATTTAGAATTATCTAATACTATAAAGGTAATATGTAAATCACATATCTTTAGTATGAAGGTTAAAAGACAAAACTATTAAAAAGATTAATAGCTACAAAAATTTCTTAAGGATTACACACTATAACAAGATGTAAACAGTGACATCAAAAACATAAAATATTGGAGGAGGAATGAAAGTGTTTAGTTTTTTTTAATGCAATCAAATCTTTGGGTTAACAGAGCCTGTTACAACTATAAGGTTTTATGTAAGCCTCAAAGTAACCACAAAGCAAAAACCTATAATCGATACACCAAAGATCAGAAGTAAGATGGTAAAGCATACTTCTAGAGAAAAATCACTTAACTGCAAAGGAAGACAGCAAGAGAGAAAGAAAAGAGGTTCTAAAAACAAAACAAAACAAAACAAAACAAGAAAACAATAACAAAATAACAGTGATAAGCCCTTACATATTAATAATTATCTTGAATGTAAGTAGATTGAATTCTTCTATTAAAATACATAGAGGGGCTGAATGGATTAAAAAAAAGCTGGGCCAACTGTGTGCTGTGTACAAGAGACTTATTTCACCTTTAAGGGCACACAGGCTGAAAGTGAAGCGATGGAAAAAGATATTCCATTCAAATGGAAACAAACAAATGGAAAAGAGCAGGGTAACTATACTTATATCAAATAAAATAGTGTTGAGAAAACTGAATTTCCACATGCACTAGAATGAAATTAAAACCTTGTCTCACAACATATACAAAAATCAACCCAAAATGGATAAAAGACTTAAATTTAGAATCTGAAACTTTATAGTCACTGGAAGAAAATCTAGGGATAAATTGCATGACCTCAAAAGCATAGGCAAAAAGAGGAAAAATAGACAAATGGGATTATATCAAACTAAAAAGTTTCTGCACAGCTAAAAAAAATCAACAGAATGTTGAAAGAACCTATAGGATGGGAGAAAATATTTGCAAACCATCCATCTGGTAAAGGGTTCATATCCAAAATGTGTAAGGAACTCAACTCAATAGCAAGAAGAGAAACTGATTAATAACTGGGCAAAGGACCTGAATAGATATATCTCAAAAGAAGCTATAAAAATGGCCAACAGGCATACAAAAATGTGCTTAACCATCAGAGAAATGCAAATTAACACCACAGTGAGATATCTCCTCACACCTATTAGAATTGCTATTATCAAAAAGACCAAAGATAACTTGTTGGTAAGGATATGGAGTCAAGGGAACCCTTGCATGCTGTTGGTGGGTATGTGTATAATTATTATGAAAAATAGAATGCACATTCCTCAAAAAACTGAAGATAGAACTATCATTTGATGCAGCAGTCTCATTAATGGGTATTCAAGGGAAATGAATTCAGTATATTGAAGACATATCTGCACTGAAATGTTCATTGCAGCATTATTCATAATAGCCATATATGGAATCAATCTAAGTGTCCACAAGCAAATGAATTGATAAAGAAAATGTGGTATATACACACAATGGAATACTATTCAGCCTTAAAAAAGGAGGAAATCCTGTCATTTGTGACAACATGGATGAACATGGAGGACATTATATTAAGTGAAATAAAGAGGCAAAGAAAGATAAATACTGCATAGTATATATGTGGAATCTAAAAAATTGAACTCAGAGAAGTAGAGGGTAGAGTGGTGGTTACCAGGGGATAGGGAGGATGGGAAGATGTTGGTCAAAGAATACAAAATTTCAGTTAGATAGGAGACATATGTACAAAGGATCTATTGTACAACATGGTTAACTGTAGGTAATAACAATGTATTGAGTAGATTTTAAGTGTTCTCATCACAAAAAAGATAGGTATGTGAGGTGATACCTATGTTAATAGCTTAGTTGATCCATTCCACCATGTATACATATTTCAAAACATTATTTTGTATACGTATTTTGTAATTTTTATTTTTCTATTAAATAAAAATATAAAATACTTTTTGATCTGAAAAAATTAACCAAAGCCCATATTTTATAGATATTTACCTAGTTTTTACATGTGTTCATTTTCTGTTCAGGATCTCATCCAGATTTAGTCATCATGTCTCTTTAGGCTCCTCTTGACTGACAGTTTCTCAGACTTTTCTTGTTTTTGATGATGTTGACAGTTTTGAGGAATATTGGTCAGGTATTTTATAAGGTGTCTGTATGAGATTGGTCTGCTATTTTTCTTACAATTTAAACTGAGGTTATAGATTTGGTTATAAGTCACTATCAATGTGACTTATCACTGTTCATGTTGGCCTTTATCACCTGGCTGCGGTAGTGTTTGTCAGGTTTCTCCAGTGTAAAGTTACTTACCCTTCCTCGGTATCCATACCGTAGTTTTTGGAAGGAAGTCACTACTATGTGCAGCCCACACTTAAAGAGTGGAGAGTTATGCTCCACCTCCATGAGGATGGAATATCTACATCAATTATTTGTATTCTGCATGAGATATTTGTCTTTTCTCCCCATTTATTGATCAATTGCTTATTAATAGTGAATATGGATATTTATTTTATATTTTGGGTTATAATATTACTTTATTTTGTTGTTCAAATTGTTCTAGATTTAGCTATGTGGAGCTCTTTCAGTTGGCTCCCATGTCTCTTTGACGTACCTCCTCATTGCAGATTTTTGTTGATGAGTAGTTGCTTTTGCCATCTGTGTTTGTAAATAAAGTTTTATTGGAACACAGCCACAGTTATTATCTTATATATTCTTTATGGCTACTTTTGCACTACAGTGGCAGAGTTAATTCACTGCAACAGAGACCATATTGCCTGTAAAGCCTAAACTAATTACAGTCTGACCTGTTACAGAAAAAAAAAATTTGCTGACTCTTGATCAGAACATTCTCTATGATTTTTAGTAATGTACTGTAGCTTGATGGATTATAATTTCTAGGATTTTAAGATTCAAATTTATGTCATATTTTTTACTCATAACATTATCTTTACCCTAAAGTATAATCATCAATGGTGTGTACCGTCAACAAGCCTTTACTGAACATTCATGGGTTTGTGTGGCTATGGTCCTTTGGCCATTACAGTTTCCTTGCCTGGCATTTGACTAGTTACAAAGTATCTTTTCTGTCAGTAGTTTTTTTGGTGAAAGAAAAAATTTAAAGGTAAAATCTATTTTGTCTTTATTCTTTTTACTAACCTGGACTAAAGTAATTTATGTAATCATGGCCTGAGTTATTTAAATGGCTATGTGCTTGAGAAATTTCTTGTTGGTAGCACTAGGACTACCTCATGGAAGCAGATAAGTAGAGAATTTCGTTACAGTGAATAATGTTGACTAGAGTTTTGCACATGTCCATCAAGCTTATTTTATTGGTAAATTTAGTCAAACTAGAACCAAAGGTTCCAGGAATGAAGTATGAGTGCATTAGCCTACTTCTCTTAAGTGTTCTCTAAGCTATATGCTGTGACCTATAGTGAGAGAAAATAAATCATAAGGCTTCATAGTGGTTTAATAAGTGTAAACATCTGGATTTAAATATAAATCTTATATCAATATGGTTTTCACACTTCAACATCATCATCATTTTCTAATGTACCAAATTAGTAAAGTTGTCAATAGAGGGTGATTAGAGAAATGAGGTTGTTTATTTCAGATAATAAACATATTAAAATCCCAAAGAGACAACATTAGTTTTATAAATTCAAATTACAGTTCAGCTATTTAATAACACAGATAGGAATGGGGTGGACAAGTCTATTACTCATATGCTTTCTTTGGTGTATTGAGACCAATATCCTATATAACACTGTGCACGCAGGGGACAGGACAGGATTTGACCCATGGTATAGCTTAATTCAGGTTGTAGCATAGTGGTGCTTTAAAATAGAATTTTACTATAAAAATAAAAATTAAAATAATGGACTGAAAAAGTTAAAGTTCTCCTAGAGACATTAAGCTTAGCATATAATATAAAACCCCCTTTTTTGTCTTCTACTGCCAATCTTTTCAAATAAGTAATCTGTCTTACATCCTCCATTTTCAATTCACATTCTCCTTAGCTCTCAGAAATCTGCATTTTCCTAATTACTTGCCTGAATCCGAGCTCTTGAAGGTCACCATGACCTCCTAATTGTCAAATCAAATAGTCTTTTCCCAGCCTTAGTGTCTTTGATTTGCATGCAACATTCGATACTGTTTTGCACCTCTGAGTGTATGCTTTGTTTTGTTCTTGCACCCTGTTCTTAGCCATTATCTCTTGTCACTCTATGCAATTTTTCTTGGTGATTTTGTTTCCACTTTGGTTCCACCACTGTAAAGATGATGGACAAATCTAAATTTCCAGCCTGATCTTTCTCTTGGGTAATTGTGTCCACAAAACATTTTCATGAGGCACCTTGAGTTGTCTCAAATTTAGTGTTTCATAATCTTAACCTGTTATTTTTCTTTCTTAAATTTGGTTCCATTCTTCTAAATTTCTTACTTCTGTTAATGATCCCACTATCATCAAGGTTGTCTGGGTCTGACATTTGAGTGACAGTTAATACACACTTTCTCTTGTTTTCCATAGCCAGTAAGTTAACAAGTTCTAATGATTCTCTCCTCACACTGCCTTTTTTTCCCCCTGCTCTGCCTTTTTATAAATGTTACACTTACTAATTAGTGTCTACTGCATGCCAAGGATTGTTTTTATTTTTATTTTTCTCTCCATTCTGTCCTAGTTTGCCATTTCACATTTGCACTGCTAAAACAAACACCTCAGACTGG
This sequence comes from Homo sapiens, assembly GCF_000001405.40. Lineage (NCBI taxonomy): Eukaryota > Metazoa > Chordata > Mammalia > Primates > Hominidae > Homo > Homo sapiens. The sequence goes on along the minus strand of NC_000010.11, from coordinate 98,999,970 downwards.
TTTCTCTATTCTTTCTCCACTAATTCATCTATCATACTGCAAATTCACTTTTAAGATGATATTTCTTAAAAGCGAATTCAAAAATGTCATTCAAAGAACTATAGTGGCTCCCCATTATCAAGAAAATAAGGCAACACTGTTAAGCTTAATGGTAAAATCTTTGCATGATTTTGTCCAGGCCTATCTTTGGAGTGTTAGTTCCCTCTTCTTTTCTATATAATCTTTCCTTTAAAGCAAGCTTCCTCGTTGCCCACTTAACTGGTCTTTTGTTTGGGCTTTTCTGCTTGAAAATCATGGTAGAGTCTAGTCTGCCTACCTAAAATGCTTTTCCCGTTCCTCTCCACAGAATATCCTTCAATTCCCAGCTCACATCTCACTTCCAATGAGATTACTTCATTGCAGACTGGCAACATAAAAAAGCAGCATGGTGCATGGGAAGAAAAACAAGAGATTTGAAGTCAGAGGACTTACTTCTAGTCTGCACATGAATGACTTTGGATAAATCACTTTTGCCTGGCCAACCATTGTTTCCTCATCTATAAAAATAAGAGTATACAATTACTTTCACAAGGATGTTGGGAAGATTAAATAAATAGGCACACGTAAGCTCTTCAGGCACCTGGAAATTGCCCACAAATGTTTGTTGCATCTGAGTTTCCAAAATCAAATTGCAATAGCATTGTTTGCAAAACTCATATTTCCTCCATATATTTATTGCCCATTATGATGAGTTAGCTCCTTCTGATCTCTCTTTTTCTCTCTTTACACACACATGCACACACACACACACACACACACACACACACACACACACGTAGTCTATACCACTTAGCAGTGTGCTTTGGGCCAGTAACTGAGACATTATTTCATTTGATGGCATTAGTGTTTTAGTGCAATAATTTCTCTCCTTTTCTATAAACCTCAGTCATTCTAAGAAACCCCTCTCCTCTTACATACAAACCCATATACTTGGATCCAAGCAATAATAGATAAATGTAATTCCAGCCTTATATGGAATTCCATCTCTAACTTGGCTTGCCCTTCGGGCAGAATTGAAGGGGAATAATAACATGTCCTTTGATAAGGTTGGAGTCTCATTAGTATGCTTTGGGATCCAGGAGGTGTCTCTACAGCCTCATATGCCTTGTGAAAGAGTAGAGTATACCTTTTGCATGGGTAGACCTTTTATTTTAGTACAGAACTCTGGGTACTGGGTTTTCTTTACCTGGCTTTTTAAATAGTGAATACATGAGTATAAAGGGGGAGGCATGGAAATTCAAGATACAAATTCTTATGTAATCCTGAGAGTGATGGAGGAGTTGCTGGAGGACTGAGTGATCTGGTTCACTTCCTGTGTTTGGAAAAAATGATTTGAGGTCTAGCATCCAGAAAAGTTTGGAACTAAATGAAGGAGAACCTACGTTTCCAGGGAGCTAAAGCCAAGGTGTGATGATTATTTACAGGCATGTCGATGCCCTTCTTACAAGAAGCCTTCTTAGGCAGATACTACCAGCCAAAATCACATGAAGAAATCCGTGGTCTTCTTAATCTCTTCTACATCTAGAATTCTCTTCTAGGATTAATGAAACTAGTTGAGCTTTCATCAGGAAGATACTTTAAGACTATCACAGGAAAAACCACTGAAAATTTTCTTCTTTAATTTGGCAAAACAAAATGAAAAGTATTTGAAAAGAAAATGAAAAGGAGAATATTTTCATGATAATGTATTTGACTGTAGTCCCTTAACCCAAATCACAACTTTCTCTTTTCTATTTGCCTGTGATGAAATATATCCAACTAAGTGTTGGCTTGAGCTTCTGACATGAAGATAAAGACCTTTTCAAATTTCAGCACAGCTAAACTTGTATGTAGTGTAGTACCTGGAATGGAGACTTCAGGAAGGAATGTTTTGGGCATGGCTAGTGGGAGCATTTTTCCTGTTGTATTAGAAATGCCACCAATGGAAGGAAAAGGTCACTGTGCTGTGGGACATACCTTCTGTGAGATGAGGCTCTGACCACTAATGACACTTGTGCTTTTCATTACGACAGATGTGTTAACCACATCGTGCTGGTCATGCTCCAGCCCAAGCCATTGTAGCTTTCTGCTTCTGCAACCTTCCTCGTCTTCACTTTGGTTGGCTGTAGAATTCTTTACTTCCTGTCCTAAATTTTTGTGAGGTGTCATGGCTGTTAAACAGCTGCCATGTTGCAGGCCAGATGTGGCTGCACTTTAGTGCGCATGAAATGTTCTTCCTATAAAATATTAGATAGTTTAAAAATCTGTTTTGAAGGTTTGTAAAACACTTAGGATTCCTTCAGATAAGAGGGCTATTTGTATATTCTTAAATTGTGTGTGAAATTGTGCCAAAGTATAAAATACAAATGCTGGAAATATTGCAGTCCCTTCAGTCTCCTGTTTACGATAAGTTGCTATTTTGAACGGAATAAATGTATATAATCCAGTTAGACTTTCAAAATCTATAACAAGCCTTCTAATCAAAGGCCTCTAAGATGTAGTCATTGCATTGAGTGTGGAGTAGAAAGGTCTGTTTTGGCTGGGCACAGTGGCTGAAGCCTGTAATCCCAGCAGTTTGGGAGTCTGAGGTGGGTGGATCACGAGGTCAGGAGTTCAAGACCAGCCTGGCCAATATGGTGAAACCCCATCTCTGTTAAAAATAGAAAAAAAAAATTAGCCGGGCATGGTGGCATATGCCTGTAGTCCCAGCTACTCTGGAGGCTGAGGCAGAAGAATCACTTGAACCCGGGAGGCGGAGGTTGCAGTGAGCTGAGATCGCTCCACTGCACTGCAGCCTGGGTGACAGAGTGAGACTCTGTCTCAAAAAAAAAAAAAAAAAAGAAAGGGTCTGTATTGACTAAAGTAAGGACATTAGGGACAGGAAATAAAAAGGAATAAATACATACTTAAATTATTAAAAATTTTTTTATTGAGATATAACTTACACACAGTGAAGTGTAAAGGTCCTAAGTGATCAGTTTTCACAAATGCCTACTCTTGTGTTACCCCAACACTATCAGCACCCAGTACGTTTTCATCATTCCCAGAGAGTTTCCTTATGCTCCTTCCCAGTCAGCACTTACTTAGTCCCAATTCTAAGCAACCACTCATCTGATTTCTATCACTATAGATTATGTTAGACTATTGTAGAGCTTCATATATATAGAATCATGTAGCATGTACTTTTTTGTGTCTGGCTTCTTTCACTTGGCATAATGTTTTTGATATTCACTCATGATGTTGTTTATATAAATGCTTCATCCCTTTTTTTGTTGCTGAGTACTGTTCCATTAAATGAATATACCGCAGTTTATCCGTTAACCTTTTGGTGAATGTCTGAATTGTTGATGGATATCTGAATTTACTGACTGTAAAGTATTTGGTTATCATGAGTAAAGCTTCTATGGACACACCTAAGACTTTTTATAGACATAGATTTTCGTTTTTCTCATAAAAATATCTAGGAGCAGAATTTCTGAGTCATAGGGTAGCTAGAGATATGTTTAATGTTTTAAGAAACTGCCAAACTATTTTCCAAAGTGGTTCTACCATTTCACACTCTTACCAACAATATATGAAAGTTCTGGTTGCTCCATATCCCCACCAACATTAATTTTTTTACTGATTCTAATGGGCGCTTAGTGTTATCTTGTTATTTTAACTTTTAATTTTCAAACAATTTTGGATTTGCAGAAGAGTTGCAAGTTCCCATAAACCTTCACTCAACTTTTCATAATATTAACATTTTATATTAATGAAAACTAATACATTGATAGGTTGGTCAAAATAAATTATAATTGTTATAATATCATTAACCAATCTGTAGATTTTATTTAAGTTTCCTTAGTTTTTACCAATCTCTTTTTTTGGTTTTAGGATCCAATCCAAGATATGACATTGCATTTAATTTGTCAAAACAAATTATCATTGTTATAATATCGTTAACTAATCTGTAGATTTTATTTGAGTTTCCTTAGTTTTTACCAATGTCTTTTTTTGGTTCTAGGATCCAGTCCAGGATACCACATTGCATTTAATTTCAGTATGCTTTTAATGTGTGCTTTCCTGCTGACTAATCATGATCACCTTTTCATGTACTCATTGTCCATTTATAGATTTTTCTTTTGTAAAGTGTCTGTCCAAGTGTCTTGCCTGGTTTTCTTTTGATTCTTTTTTGAGGGGGTTGATTATTGGCTTTTTATTTACTGATTTTTAAGAATTTCTTATTTGTTCTGGATATAATTTTGTCAGATATAAGTGTTGTATTTTTTTCCTTAGCCTATTACTTGTCCATTTATTTTCTCAATGGTGTTTTTTGATAAGTAGAAGTGAATAGAATATTTATCTTAAGGGGGAAGTATAATAGGGTTCCTATGGAGCAGAAAGAGAACTCAGGTTTAATATTTTAAAAATTTATCCGGAGAGGAGAATAAATGGTGACTTTTTCAAAGAGGTAGGTTGAACTAAGTTTTTCTGGACACTGAAAAAACAAACCTGAAGGGGGATACATCAGGAATGGGCCTAATATTACAGCAATAATAAAAATAGTAATTGGTAATACTTGTTGTGTGCTTACTATGTGTAGCAGACCCGTTGCTTATTGTTTATAGGCATCATCAAACTCATAAGGTAGAATTATTATTATCTACATTTAAAGGTAAGGAAACCAAGGCTTAAAGATGGTAAATACAATTTTGGGAGACAAGATGGCTGACTAGATGCAGGTAATATGTACCTTCTCCATGTAGAGGAGCCAGAATAGTCAGCAGATATATTTTGAACAGATCATTTAGGAGAGAATGCTAGGATTCACCAGAGAAGAGATGGGAAGCACCAGAAGCAAGTAAGGAGAGGGTTCGAAGCACCTTCCTCAGCCAGGAACAGACTGAGAGTTGGGAAAAGCTCCTGGACATGGGGAAACAGTGATAGAGAAACCCCCAGGAATCAAAAATGGGCTTTTGCAATCTTGGCTACATGAGAAACCATAGACCCACTAAGGTCTTGGCCCAAAGGTGCTGTTTTGAGAGTTTAATGCTGGGCTGCACCCTACCCTTGGCTTGACTTTGGGCTGATGTGGCTATAGCCACCACTCTGCCAAGGAGGGACAGGGAAACCAGGTTATCCTATGCATATCTAGGACAATACCCACTACCCTACAACAGGTTGCTTTGAGACTAAGATGTGAGTGGACCACAATTCCTACAGCCTCTTGTCCATGCTGCTTGCTTGGGAGGGAACCCACCGTCTCTGGTCCCATCACCAAGGGACCTGAGAATTCAATACTGAGCTGTGCCTCACTCTTGGTCTGAGTTTGGGCTGACATGGCTATAGCCACTGTCTGGCCAAGGAGAGACAGGAAAACCGGGCTTTACTATGCATATCTAGGACAAGATGCACTGCTCTGCAGTGGGCTGCTGTGAGACTGAAACATAAGCAGACCACATGCCACATAGCTACTTGCCTATGATGCCTGTTTGGGAAGGGTCCCATTCTCCCTGGTTGCAGGCCCAAGGAGCCATTTTGAGAGTTTAATGCTGGGCTGTGCCCTGCCCTTAGGCTGAATTTGACTTGATGTAGCTGCAGCTGCTGTCTGGTTGAGGAGGGACATGGAAGCTAGGCTCTCCTATATATACCTAGGACAATACCCACTGCCCTCCTATGGGCTGCTGTGAAACTGAGACCTGGGCAGATTACAGTCCCCACAGCTTCTTCTCCATGCTGCTTAACTGAAAGGAGGTGCACCTTCTGTGGTTATAAGCCCACAGCTGGTATCATTTCCAGAGTTTAACACTGGGATTTTCCCCACCCTCAGGCTGAGTTCAAGGTGATGGCAAGAAAATGGTGAATTAAGAGTTTAAATACAGGCAGTCTGACTTCAAAGCCTTCATGCTTAATTTCTGTGCTATTCTGGCAGAAAGAAATATAATAGTGAACTTCAGTGTGGCTACCAACATGGAAACCAAGAGCTATGGAATACTGTTCTGGATGTCATCATTGTGGCAAAAGAAGTATGTTGATAATCTCTGGAAAACTCTGTTTTATCCTTATGTAAAACTGGTGCCCTTCTATCTAGGACACCATGTATAATTTTTGGGTCACTATACTTCAAAATTATGAAATCAGAAAGGTCAACTAATATAGAGTGAGGAGGAAGTGTGATGGTGTTAGAGATGCTGTTCAGGAAAAAATTTATACAGATTGGAAGTGATGCATGAAGCTGAAAGGGAATGTAACCAATCCATTAAAGTATCCAGAGTATGGACAACATGAGCATAGTCTTAGTTGCTGGATCTCAGTACTATAGCATTAGAGGACCAACACTGAAGCTTCCTTAATAAATGGAAGCTTAACTAAAAGGAAATAACTCTTTTACATAATTTCTGGAATGTATTAACTGAAGAGGTAGTGAAGAGTAAAAATAAAAATATATTCAAAGTAAAGTTTCAAAGGTTTAATGAATGGCAGTTCCATGAGTTAGTGGAACTATATACTATTATGGCAGTCAAGGGAAACTAGGCTGTGACAGGGACATGCCTAAACTTTGAAGTTGATGTCCAAGAGGACAACCATATTCAATTTTAACAAATCATTGTGATACTTTAGAACGTTGTATATGTCTGAGCAATTTGTCTTTTCCAGAATATGAAATTGTATGTTTATGTTGTTATACATGCAGTTCTCTCTGGCTCAGATGCCGTAGCCCTCTTCATTTTTTAAGGCCTAGCCAAAAGGCATCTCTTATGTGAAAGCTTACCCAGCATTTCCAGGCAAATAGTTACTCCCTGCTCTATGTTCCTTGTAATTTACTCTATTTTAGCACTGATCACAGTATTTAGGAATTTTACAGCCTAAATTTTTACTGATGAATGACTGGATGGAGGGACCATGGCGCTAACTTAATATATGAGAAATCATAGCGATCAAAGAAATCAAAGAAGGGACAAGAAAATACAATTCTTCTATGTACTCAGAACTAGAAACTGGATATTGGTTAACTGTAGAAATTCCCATAACTATTATCCCCATTGTGAACTGGGACTCAAAGAAGTGAAATAATTTGTCCAAGGTCAAACAGCTGCAAAGAATTATAGCCAGGATTGGAACCCAGTGCTGTCTAACTTCAAACCCTGTGCTTCTGGCCAGTACAGTATGAAGGTGTTTTGATTCCTGCATCACATTTTAACTTACTGTACACATGGCTACCATTGAGAATACTTGTAGGGAAGAAAGATGTTATTTCTTTCTTTAAGTACTTTGTGCCTCCTTTATAGGCATCATTCTGCTATTTTTTGTATATAATTTCTTGCATAATAAGATCCTTGACTGCAAGACTTTTCTTTGTGCTTTTCTTGACAGATCTAGCCCAATGCCTTGTACATAGTAGGTACTCAATGAAAACCTGTAGAATTGAATTAAATCCTACTGTGCTTCAATGATTCAACACAGAGGCTGAGCTGTGCCTTGGAAATCAAACCCTCATGGCCTCAGCTTCCCTGTTGATCTCCCCAGTAAATGATTAGCAGCAACATAATCACATGCCTGTGTTCTGGAAAAAATTAACATTTTCTATTTTAAAATGTCTTATTTTGGTCCTTTTAGAGAATTATTACTAAGAAATTCTATTAAAAACCCAAATCAGTTACTATGAAAAAAAACAACTATTTAAATTATAGGACAAGTCCTAAAGAAGGCAGAAAGCTAAAGGGAAAAGGGGCTATTCTAGTTTCTTAAAGCCCAGGGGAACAATAAAGTATTTTATCCAGTGAAATATATTTTTGTCATTTTTAACATTTCTTTTTAAAAGTTGCCTTACATATGAGTTTATCCTGTTTTTGTGAATATATAGTCACATTTTGTCTCTATCCTTAAGGAAATTAAAATTTGATTGGAAAGACAAGATAAGAAAAATATGCAATTGATTCATTTCTACATGAGTGGAAAGGCATTGGTGCTATATGGCTTTAGAGAAAGGTATGTGGAACTGATAAAATGAAAATGGTGATTGAAACCTAGAATGGTCAGGGAGGGTTTTGGAGACAGTGGAGCCACCTGGGAGAAGCCTGCTTCAGACCTGCTCCTAGCCAGTTTTATGTTGGTGGAGCATGACTTTGCTAACTGGGTTTACTTTACTTTCATGATCATTAACCCAAAATAGGTGTTGGTGATGCCCACCAATCTTACTGTTTTTTTTTGTCCACCACGCATTCTCCTATTCTCTTCACTTTCTCTTCTCTCTTCAAAACCTACAGCACTTAATTTCCCTCCTTTATCCTTTACTTTCATTGACATATATACATGGATCCTTTTAAACCTAAGTTGAACCATGTGACTCTGCTGCTCAAAACCTGTTAGTGGCTTCTCATGTCCCTCAGATGAAAGCTACCATCTTGCAGTGACTTACAAGGCTATAAAGTCTGCCATCTACCACCCACTTTACTCCCCACTGTCTGCCCACTCTCTGACCTTTCTTCTCCTACTCTCTTATTTGTTATATTCATTGGCCTCTTTACTCTTCCTTAAAATACAGAGCATGCTCTAGTGTAAGGGCCTTTGCATTAGCTGTTCTCCTGCTTGAAAATTTCTTCCCTCAGATGCCTGTGTGGTTTCTCATTTCCTTCAGGCATCTGTTCATATATCAGAGAGGCTTTTTCCTGGCCGTCTAAATAAAATACCAGTCCCCACTCTGACCTCAGCACTTTCTAACTCCTTTATTTCTCTTCACATTTTATGCTTGTTTAGCAATTTATTGTCTGTAACTTCTTCTTTGAATGTAAGGAACTTTGTTCTGTGTTATATTCTTAGAGCCTATGTGTTATAACACTTGATGAATGGATGAAGTAGACATTTTTAAAAAATGGGTAGCCATTTGATAGATGAAGGCTAGTTAGGTCACTTCACATTAGGGAAATGGTATGAGAAAAAAGTGGAGGTGGGAATATGCATGATCAATTATAGAGACAGTTAATAGACCAGTATGATTGGGGCATGGGGTTTGATTTGGGAAATGGATGGATAAAATTTAGGATGTTATGTTAGAATATACTGGGAAAAGTTCTGAAGAATAAACTAAGACATTTTGTGTGTATGTGTAGGTAATGTGAAATGATTGCAGAAGAATGGAGCATGCCTTTCTTGCTATTAAATAGGATAGACTCTATTAGGCACATCCCATAGAAGCTAACAATGTCTCCAATGTCCCTGTTGCTAGAGCTCCAGGATCTAAGCTTGGCTATTTTGGAATATAGATGAACAGATTTCAATTAATTTTCATTTTAGAGATGGAAGACTCATTTGACATCATGTTGTTCAAGCTACTATCATGGTATTATAAGTGCTTTCATGGTAAAGACCATTGTTTAGCACACGGGTCCCCAACCTCCAGGCCACAGACCAGGACCAGTCCATGGCCTGTTAGGAATCAGGCTGCATAGCAGGAGCTAAGTGGCAGGGTGAGCGAGCGAAGCTTCATCTTTATTTACAGCCACTCCCCATCACTTGGCGTTACTGCCTGAGCTCCACCTCCTGTCAGATCAGCAGCAGCAATAGATTATCATAGGAGCACAAACCCTATTGTGAACTGCTCATGTGAGGGATCTAGGTTGTGTACTCCTTATGAGAATCTAATGCTTGATGATCTGAGGTGGAGCTGAGGCAGTGGTGCTAGTGCTGGAGAGTGGCTACAAATACAGATTAACATTAGCAGAGAAGTTTGACTGCACAGAGACCATAATAAACCAATTTCTTGCAGACTGATGTCAAAACCCTATCAGCAAATGGCAAGTGACAATTAAGCTGCATCTGTTGGCAGGTGAGTTGATGTACTTGAGTTGTACAGCTGCATCTGGTGGCAGGCTTTAAGTCAGAATCTGACACTTGTTTTAATCTCCACATGGCCTGCCCATTACTTTTTTTACTTCTTTTGTTTGCGCCTCTTTCTAACACTGTGCACTTGTCTCAATCACAGTTTTGGTACGCCCACAAGCTAACTCTAGGCAAAATGAGTAAAAAACAAACATCACTAGGGAGCTTCTTTGAAAAGGAGGAAAAATTCAGTGATGAGACAGCAGAAGACTCTAAGAATGCCAACAAAAGAAAGCTGCATTTAAATGAAAATACCAAGAGTCCTACTTAAATTATGATTCATTGCAACAGGTGATATACATTCTCCAAGCCTGCTTTGTATACTGTGTGGCAATCAGCTATCCAAAAAAGGCCATGAAATATTCAAAACTGCTTCGCCACATGGAGACCAAGCATCCTGGATTAAAAGACAAGCCTTTTTGAGTTTTTTTTCTTTTTTTTTTTTATTATACTTTAAGTATTAGGGTACATGTGCACACCGTGCAGGTTTGTTACATATGTATACATGTGCCATGTTGGTGTGCTGCACCCATTAACTCGTCCTTTAACATTAGGTATATCTCCTAATGCTATCCCTCCCCCCTCCCCCCACCCCACAACAGTCCCCGGTGTTTGATGTTCCCCTTCCTGTGTCCATGTGTTCTCATTGTTCAATTCCCACCTATGAGTGAGAACATGCAGTGTTTGGTTTTTTGTCCTTGCGATAGTTTGCTGAGAATGATGGTTTCCAGTTTCATCCATGTCCCTACAAAGGACATGAACTCATCATTTTTTATGGCTGCCTAGTATTCGATGGTGTATATGTGCCACATTTTCTTAATCCAGTCTATCATTGTTGGACATTTGGGTTGGTTCCAAGTCTTTTCTGTTGTGAATAGTGCCACAATAAACATACGTGTGCATGTGTCTTTATAGCAGCATGATTTATAATCCTTTGGATATATACCCAGTAATGGGATGGCTGGGTCAAGTGGTATTTCTAGTTCTAGATCCCTGAGGAATCGCCACACTGACTTCCACAATGGTTGAACTAGTTGACAGTCCCACCAACAGTGTAAAAGTGTTCCTATTTCTCCACATCCTCTCCAGCACCTGTTGTTTCCTGACTTTTTAATGATTGCCATTCTAACTGGTGTGAGATGGTATCTCATTGTGGTTTTGATTTGCATTTCTCTGATGGCCAGAGATGATGAGCATTTTTTCATGTGTTTTTTGGCTGCATAAATGTCTTCTTTTGAGAAGTGTCTGTTCATGTCCTTTGCCCACTTTTTGATGGGGTTGTTTGTTTTTTTCTTGTAAATTTGTTTGAGTTCATTGTAGATTCTGGATATTAGCCCTTTGTCAGATGAGTAGGTTGCAAAAATTTTCTCCCATTTTGTAGGTTGCCTGTTCACTCTGATGGTAGTTTCTTTTGCTGTGCAGAAGCTCTTGAGTTTAATTAGATCCCATTTGTCAATTTTGGCTTTTGTTGCCATTGCTTTTGGTGTTTTAGACATGAAGTCCTTGCCCATGCCTATGTCCTGAATGGTAATGCCTAGATTTTCTTCTAGGGTTTTTATGGTTTTAGGTCTAATGTTTAAGTCTTTAATCCATCTTGAATTGATTTTTGTATAAGGTGTAAGGAAGGGATCCAGTTTCAGCTTTCTACATATGGCTAGCCAGTTTTCCCAGCACCATTTATTAAATAGGGAATCCTTTCCCGATTGCTTGTTTTTCTCAGGTTTGTCAAAGATCAGATAGCTGTAGATATGTGGTGTTATTTCTGAGGGCTCTATTCTGTTCCATTGATCTATATCTCTGTTTTGGTACCAGTAGCATGCTGTTTTGGTTACTGTAGCCTTGTAGTATAGTTTGAAGTCAGGTAGCATGATGCCTCCAGCTTTGTTCTTTTGGCTTAGGATTGCCTTGGTGATGCGGACTCTTTTTTGGTTCCATATGAACTTTAAAGTAGTTTTTTCCAATTCTGTGAAGAAAGTCATTGGTAGCTTGATGGGGATGGCATTGAATCTATAAATTACCTTGGGCAGTATGGCCATTTTCACGATATTGATTCTTCCTATCCATGAGCATGGAATGTTCTTCCATTTGTTTGTATCCTATTTTATTTCACTGAAAAGTGGTTTGTAGTTCTCCTTGAAGAGGTGCTTCACATCCCTTGTAAGTTGGATTCCTAGGTATTTTATTCTCTTTGAAGCAATTGTGAATGGGAGTTCACTCATGATTTGGCTCTCTGTTTGTCTGTTATTGGTGTATAAGAATGCTTGTGATTTTTGCACATTGATTTTGTATGCTGAGACTTTGCTGAAGTGGCTTATCAGCTTAAGGAGATTTTGGGCTGAGACGATGGGGTTTTCTAGGTATACAATCATGTCATCTGCAAACAGGGACAATTTGACTTCCTCTTTTCCTAATTGAATACCCTTTATTTCCTTCTCCTGCCTAATTGCCCTGGCCAGAACTTCCAACATTATGTTGAATAGGAGTGGTGAGAGAGGGCATCCCTGTCTTGTGCCAGTTTTCAAAGGGAGTGCTTCCAGTTTTTGCCCATTCAGTATGATATTGGCTGTGGGTTTGTCATAGATAGCTCTTATTATTTTGAGATATGTCCCATCGATACCTAATTTGAGAGTTTTTAGCATGAAGGGTTGTTGAATTTTGTCAAAGGCCTTTTCTGCATCTATTGAGATAATCATGTGGTTTTTGTCTTTGGTTCTGTTTATATGCTGGATTACGTTTATTGATTTGCTTGTGTTGAACCAGCCTTGCATCCCAGGGATGAAGCCCACTTGATCATGGTGGATAAGCTTTTTGATGTGCTGCTGGATTTGGTTTGCCAGTATTTTATTGAGGATTTTTGCGTCGATGTTCATTAGGTATATTGGTCTAAAATTCTCTTTTTTTTTTGTTGTCTCTCTGCCAGGCTTTGGTATCAGGATGATGCTGGCCTCATAAAATGAGTTAGGGAGGATTCCCTCTTTTTCTATTGATCGGAATAGTTTCAGAAGGAATGGTACCAGCTCCTCCTTGTACCTCTGGTAGAATTCGGCTGTGAATCCATCTGGTCCTGGACTTTTTTTGGTTGGTAGGCTGTTAATTATTGCCTCGATTTCGGAGCCTGCTATTGGTCTGTTCAGAGACTCAGCTTCTTCCTGGTTTAGTCTTGGGAGGGTTTATGTGCCGAGAAATTTATCCATTTCTTCTAGATTTTCTAGTTTATTTCCGTAGAGGTGTTTATAGTATTCTCTGATGGTAGTTTGTATTTCTGTGGGATCGGTGGTGATATCCCCTTTATCATTTTTTATTGCGTCTATTTGATTCTTCTCTCTTTTCTTCTTTATTAGTCTAGCTAGCAGTCTATCAATTTTGTTGATCTTTTCAAAAAACCAGCTCCTGGATTCATTAATTTTTTGAAGGGTTTTTTGTGTCTCTATTTCCTTCAGTTCTGCTCTGATCTTAGTTATTTCTTGCCTTCTGCTAGCTTTTGAATGTGTTTGCTCTTGCTTCTCTAGTTCTTTTAATTGTGATGTTAGGGTGTGAATTTTAGATCTTTCCTGCTTTCTCTTGTGGGCATTTAGTGCTATAAATTTCCCTCTACACACTGCTTTGAATGTGTCCCAGAGATTCTGGTATGTTGTGTCTTTGTTCTCGTTGGTTTCAAAGAACATCTTTATTTCTGCCTTCATTTCGTTATGTACCCAGTAGTCATTCAGGAGCAGGTTGTTCAGTTTCCATGTAGTTGAGTGGTTTTGAGTGAGTTTCTTAATCCTGAGTTCTAGTTTGATTGCACTGTGGTCTGAGAGAGAGTTTGTTATAATTTCTGTTCTTTTACATTTGCTGAGGAGTGCTTTACTTCCAACTATGTGGTCAGTTTTGGAATAGGTGTGGTGTGGTGCTGAAAAGAATGTTTATTCTGTTGATTTGGGGTGCAGAGTTCTGTAGATGTCTATTAGGTCCACTTGGTGAAGAGCTAAATTCAATTCCTGGATATTCTTGTTAACTTTCTGTCTCGTTGATCTGTCTAGTGTCGACAGTGGGGTGTTAAAGTCTCCCATTATTATTGTGTGGGAGTCTAAGTCTGTTTGTAGGTCTCTAAGGACTTGCTTTATGAATCTGGGTGCTCCTGTGTTGGGTGCATATATATTTAGGATAGTTAGCTCTTCTTGTTGAATTGATCCCTTTACCATTATGTAATGGCCTTCTTTATCTCTTTTGATCTTTGTTGGTTTAAAGTCTGTTTTATGAGAGACTAGGATTGCAACCCCTGCCTTTTTTTGTTTTCCGTTTGCTTGGTAGATCTTCCTCCATCCGTTTATTTTGTGCCTATGTGTGTCTCTGCATATGAGATGGGTTTCCTGAATATAGCACACTGATGGGTGTTTACTCTTTATCCAATTTGCCAGTCTGTGTCTTTTAATTGGAGCATTTAGCCCATTTACATTTAAGGTTAATATTGTTATGTGTGAATATGATCCTGTCATTATGATGTTAGCTGGTTATTTTGCTCGTTAGTTGATGCAGTTTCTTCCTAGCCTTGATGGTCTTTACAATTTGGCATGTTTTTGCAGTGGCTGGTACTGGTTGTTCCTTTCCATGTTTAGTGCTTCCTTCAGGAGCTGTTTTAGGGCAGGCCTGGTGGTGACAAAATCTCTCAGCATTTGCTTGTCTGTAAAGTATTTTATTTCTCCTTCACTTATGAAGCTTAGTTTGGCTGGATATGAAATTCTTGGTTAAAAATTCTTTTCTTTAAGAATGTTGAATATTGGCCCCCACTCTCTTCTGGCTTGTAGAGTTTCTGCCAAGAGATCAGCTGTTAGTCTGATGGACTTCCCTTTGTGGGTAACCTGACCTTTCTCTCTGGCTGCCCTTAACATTTTTTCCTTCATTTCAACTTTGGTGAATCTGACAATGATGTGTCTTGGAGTTGCTCTTCTCGAGGAGTATCTTTGTGGCGTTCTCTGTATTTCCTGAGTCTGAATGTTGGCGTGCCTTGCTAGATTGGGGAAATTCTCCTGGATAATATCCTGCAGAGTGTTTTCCAACTTGGTTCCATTCTCCCTGTCACTTTCAGGTACACCAATCATATGTAGATTTGGTCTTTTCACATAGTCCCATATTTCTTGGAGGCTTTGTCTGTATCTTTTTATTCTTTTTTCTCTAAACTTCCCTTCTCGCTTCATTTCATTCATTTGATCTTCCATCACTGATACCCTTTCTTCCAGTTGATCGAATTGGCTACTGACGCTTGTGCATTCGTCACGTAGTTCTCGTGCCGTGGTTTTCAGCTCCATCAGGTCCTTTAAGGACTTCTCTGCATTGATTATTCTAGTTAGCCATTCCTCTAATCTTTTTTCAAGGTTCTAACTTCTTTGCCATGGGTTCGAACTTCCTCCTTTAGCTCAGAGTAGTTTGATCGTCTGAAGCCTTCTTCTCTCAACTCGTCAAAGTCATTCTCCATCCAGCTTTGTTCCATTGCTGGTGAGGACCTGCGTTCCTTTGTAGGAGGAGAGGCACTCTGATTTTTAGAATTTTCAGTTTTTCTGCTCTGTTTTTTCCCCATCTTTGTGGTTTTATCTACCTTTAGTCTTTGATGATGGTGACGTACAGATGGGGTTTTGGTGTGGATGTCCTTTCTGTTTGTTAGTTTTCCTTCTAAGAGTCAGGACCCTCAGCTGCAGTTCTGTTGGAGTTTGCTGGAGGTCCACTCCAGATCCTGTTTGCCTGGGTATCAGCAGCAGAGGCTGCAGAACAGCGGATATTGGCAAACAGCAAATGTTGCTGCCTGATCGTTCCTCTGGAAGTTTTGTCTCAGAGGAGTACCTGGCCGTGTGAGGTGTCAGTCTGCCCCTACTGGGGGGTGCCTCCGATTTAGGCTACTTGGGGGTCAGGGACCTGCTTGAGGAGGCAGTCTGCCCGTTCTCAGATCTCAAGCTGCGTGCTGAGAGAACCACTACTCTCTTCAAAGCTGTCAGATAAGGACATTTAAGTCTGCAGATGTTTTTGCTGCCTTTTGTTTTGCTATGCTCTGCCCCCAGAGGTGGAGTCTACAGAGGCAGGCAGGCCTCCTTGAGCTGCCGTGGGCTCCACCCAGTTCCAGCTTCCTGGCTGCTTTGTTTACCTACTCAAGCCTGGGCAATGAGGGTCGCCCCTCCCCGAGCCTGGCTGCTGCCTTGCAGTTCGATCTCAGACTGCTGTGCTAGCAATGAATGAGGCTCCATGGGCGTAGGTCCCTCCGAGCCAGGCGCAGGATATAATCTCCCAGTGTGCCATTTGCTAAGACTGTTGGAAAAGCACAGTATTAGGGTGGGAGTGACCCGATTTTCCAGGTGCCGTCTGTCACCCCTTTCCTTGGCTAGGAAAGGGAATTCCCTGACCCCTTGCACTTCCCGGGTGAGGCGATGCCTTGCCCTGCTTTGGCTCACGCCGAAGTTTGAGCTTTACTTCCCAGCCACAAAAGACCCCCAACCTGGGAAGGAATGGACCCACGACCCATTTGTGAATAAGCCAGGTAAATTGACTTTGTCTGTGCTAGAAGAGGATCAACTGCTTGAGATCGCAAATGATGGTGGCCTTAAAAATAAGTTTGAGACAATTTCAAATCTCCATACGTTGTGGATTAAAGTCAAAGTGGAATATCCCGAGATTGGCAAAAAATCACTGAAAAGCCTGCTTCCATTTCCAACATCGTATCTTTGTGAAACAGGGTTTTCTGCAGCGACAGCAACCAAAACGAGATTACGGAGTACACTAAACATAAGCAACACACTTCTGGTTTCACTGTCTCCCATCATCCCCAGATGGGACCATCTAGTTAGAGGAAAACAAGCTCGGGGCTCCCACTGATTCTACATTATGGTGAGTTGTATAATTATTTCATTGTATATTACAATGAAGTAATAATAGAAATAAAGTGCACAATAAATGTAATGTGCTTGAATGATGCCGCAACCATCCCCTGCCTTCCAGTTCTTGGAAAAAATTGTCTTCCATGAAACTGGTCCCTGGTGCCAAACAGGTTGGGGACTGCTGGTTTAGCACATTGTCTGGCATTTAATAGTAGCCAGTAAATATTGATTATATGAACAATATTTGTTGAGTAGAAACTAATTTGAAAGAATTTGTATGACCTACCTTAAGCTCAGCCAATAGAATGTCTCCCGAACTAGTCTTGGCAGTTGTTTTTCATGTTTTCTAGAGAACAAGTAATTCAAGTGATCAGCCACATAGTTCAAACTCGAGACTTGACTTTTTCACCTCAATAATTAACTATCAGAATTTGACATTATTTGTTTTATTAGAGGTAAATAACTAAATGAGATAAACTTTGGATTAAAATGAAATAGATTAGTACAGTAAGCACAGTTTATTTTCCTTGTGACTAGTTTCCTATCCTCAGTTGATTGCTTATTAGGATTATAATCTTATCTAGAATGCATAGTGAATGTTCTTTGTCAAAATTAACTTTATTTGGGACTTCACTTGGTTACTTACTGGCAACTTTGCCATTAGAAAGCCATATCTGTTTTTAGCTGCTTAAAAGCTCCCTTTTCCTGATTCTTCCTTCATATCAAGAAGAGATAAAAATTTATTTGTTTTACTTTTAGATATCAAATGTTCAGTGACTTTAAAAACTGAGCGAGATAGGAATTTGAATCGATGAGAACCTTGTGTTAGAAAACCTATTGAGTTTATAAAACTTTCTTTATAAAGCTTTCTGTTACCCCTAGATCTTCCATCTGTTTTATTGTGTTGTGTGTGTATGTTTTGAAATTAACTTAAATATCTTCGAACCTGGCAGTTTTACCTTTATTTCTCTTCTCACTGCTCCAGATTCCTCACAAGAGAGCATCTCTTTGGGTAAATTCCATAGCAGTTGAAAGAGAGCTTTCGATGACACTGTTCAGATCAGTGGGAGTTTTTGTTTTTCTGACAGGTGATCTTTTATATCTTTACCTGAATTTCTGATGGAGGTCAAGGCTTTTTTCTCTAAAAAAATTATTTAAAAATGTATGTTGAACGAGGAGAAACAAAATCTAATTTTTGAAAAAAAAAAAGGATAGAGAACTATTTTCTCATAGTAATAATTTGGAAGCAGTGCTTTAAGATTAGCATGGGGTTAGTGACTAGTCAAGTGGATAGTTTAAGAAAAAGAGGCCAGTAAGGAGGGTATTGCATTGTTCCAAGACTCAGTTATTAGGGTTACAGGGAACTCAGTTATTAGGGATTGGGGTATTAGGGAAATGGGAAAGAATATATAAGTGTAAAGGTAGGATTGACTTTTCTAGAGAGTAGTAAGGGAGAAATACAAATAGCTGTAGAAATAAGGCATTCAGGAGGGAAAACCAGTTTTAGATATATTGAGGGGTTAGAAGGGGAGAAGGACAAGGAGGTAGAAATAGCTACCAGATAGGTGATCAATTGGACAAGAAGCTAGAAGAGATATCAATTTCTGAAATAGAGTTATTAAATTTCAGGAGTCTAGTGTCCTTTTATGCAAAGACTGGATTTTTCAGTGGAGACAGAACAAGGAGAAGCAGGAGGAATTAACATTCTTGAACCTGTCTGTAAACATATATCATGCCAACTTTTCATAAATGTTATTTCAATGATTCTTACACTAAGCCTATGAGGATATGAGCCTCCCTTTTTAGATGAGGATGTTAAGGGACTTGTCCAAGCTCTTACAGTGAGTGCACTTGGTAGAGCCAGAGTTAAACTCCAAAGCCATACTCTTCCTATTTATATCACATTGACTCTGACACCTAGACAGGGAAAAATTGGAAAGGAACTTTGGAGGTAGTAATTAAGAAATGCATAGGTATAAGGCAGATGGAGAGCATAAAGGAATTAAATTGTTTTAAAAAGAAAACAGAGTAGCTCAGGCAGGTAAGAATTTGACTGTTTCACCAGTAATATTTTATTCAAAACCTGGTTATATAAGTGTAGAGTTGATTCTACATGAGATTTATTTCAGTTTTCTGGTAGCTGGTATGCTCGAATTTTTCTCTTGATATTTCATCTACTTAATATGTTGGAACGTTGCCATGTAACATAAACATATTACCATCTTTGGCTAGAGATTCCATGAGAGATAGCTACTAAAATTGTGAGAATTTAGAAAGATTCTTATTATAATATCTTATCATACTCCTGACTAGTAACCAAACCATGGCAAATATTGAGCCATAGAGGAAAAATATTTTGATTTGGCAACCAAAATACATAGCTCCGACACATAAATGTTGTCTTTACTGTTTATTTAACGTTAAAAGTTGAGCTATGCAATAATATTAGATTTGATCATATGAAATTGCCAATTGTTAAATCGAACTAAATATGGCCTGAGAAAGCGTCCATACTTCCATATTTGAGTCTTCGTGGACAAACCGTAACCTAACTTAGTAGGTAGACAAGACTGTAAACCTAACTTAGGAGTATGCTACTGTAACAACAGCTGTGTATCAGTCAATCCCAGCGGCCAGACTTCAATCACTCATACACTGCTGACTGTTCGAACTGTTCAAATAAGGCAAAAGCCAAGCTGTAACCAATCCAGATGTTCCTGTACTACACTTCTGTTTTCTGTATGTCACTTCCCTTTTTTTGTCTATAAATTTGCTCTGACCATGAGACATCCCTGGAGTTTCTCTTAATCTGCTGTGATTCTTCAGGCTGCCTGATTCATGAATTGATTTTTTTTCCTTGCTCAATTACACTCTGTTAAATTTAATTTGTCTGAAATTTTCCTTTAACACCAATATTCCATGATTTTTAACAACAGTAATAACAAAATAATAAACTTTATTAACATTATTAAATCTTTATGATGTACTAAAAGATTAACATAATTATTTAATTCTTAAAGCAAAATTGTGAGATTGATATTATTTCCTCTTTTTAGAGATCAGGCTAAAAAATGTTAAGAGTTGTCCAAGGGCACTTAGGTTGGATGGTAGCAAAGTTCGGGTTTTAGCCAAGATCTCTCTGACTTTATATGTCCTGCGTTGTAGAACACTAGGTTGATTCCTTATGGGGAATTACAAACATGAAGATACATTTAATAATAATTACTGGCCTGCAGCGTTCATCTGACATAGAATGTGTTAGTTTCATTTCAACTAAGCCATACAAAAATGGATATCCACTCTAGCTGCTTGTGAGTTCCTAATGTGGCTTTGAATTTAGAATAACCCTTTTTATCCTTTCTGAGGCCAATCCAATATGGCTTTTCCTCATTCTTCTTGAAAATTCCTTCTCTAACGCTTCTGCTTTTGTTGCTTAAATATCCTTTGGAAAATAGGGAAGATGTTTGAAACAGCATATCAATAAGAAATGATTTATTTCCTTTCTATTTGTTGTTCTGTAGTAGTTCTGTACTATAAAGTTGCAGCAAACACTGAATTAGCAAATACAGAGCCATTGCTACTAGGAGAAATACACGGTTAAGTTTCTGGTCACATTTTTAATCAACCAATCAATACATAACCTTGTTTAGTAAATGTTTCTGTTTAAAAACACCTCTTTAATATGTCTTTTGTACAAATAATTAACTGAATACAGTATTCCTTTATAATAAAGCACTAGCTGAAAAGGATGTAATTTTTTCCAAACCTTGAGTAATGTGACTATAAATTTCTTTGGTTTTCAGCCTCACAACAATGCTGTGCACTATGCTTATTTTTTAAAAAATAGGTCATCATCTCATGAACCCACAAATTTAGCCACTTTTTCATCTTTTCCATAGCTTCATTATGCACTGTAGATGTTATTTTAGCACTGTCTGGTGTGGCCTCTGGTATCAATTACCAAATTTCTTCTTTCTTTTTCTGGATGTGTTGTATTGTTCATTCATTAACATTGAATTCATGGCCAGCAGTACCCTAGCTCGTGCCTGAAGGAAGGTTTACCTCTAGCTGGTGCCTGAAGGAGGTTTACCTAACACACATATTTTCTCCATCAGGCCTATCACAGCCTTCTTGCACTTAGAAACACTTGGCAACACTTAAGCACTGTGCTTGGAAGCCATTTTAAACAGCAGAATCACCAACAAAAAGCACAAAAATGTAAAAACGGTGGCACTAAATAGGCCAAGAAAAGAACACGTGTTCGCAGTTCAAGAGCTGAAACAAGAAGGCAGAGCATCTCCTTGTTTGACCTCAGTTGGGAACATGCATGTCCAGCGACTCCAATTTTTTACCTTTCTGTGTATGTCCACAAATGACCAAGTGTCGAGGATACTGACTTTAGGGTTACAAATAAATTTTATCAAGTAGACAAATATGCAAATGCAGAATTATCAAAAACAAGGATCAACTGTAATTAGATTTATTGCAAACCACAGTTTTGTATGCATTGCAATTTTCAGGACTTTTATGATGCTTTGAAGGAGTTAGCAAGAATGTAGTAATTAGTAAGAATAAAGTTGTCACATGCTTTAATACTGTATATTTCTCAGAATACCTACGTAAAGAAAATTTTTAGATTTATTATCAGGTTACTATTAGCCATATAGAAGCTGAAGTAAGTAATTATTTTCAAATCACAGAATAAGCTACCAGTTGGCTAAAATGCAACTGTGGCAAAACAGTACTGGATTGCTAGGGTTTTGTTGTTATTGTTGTTTTCATTTTTGTTGGTACTACCTAATACTTGTAATTAATATTATAACAGAAGGAAAACAAGATTCATTCTAAATTGATAATAGGAATAGCTAACCTAGAGTTAATGGTAGCAGAGTCTGTGAAGCAAGTCTCTTCTCTATGACTTCATTACAAAACAAATAATAAATAACAGGGATTTTTTTTAAAGGCCTGCTTATAGAAAATGATTCCTTCGAAACCATAGCCTTTTAAAAAAATTTATCTCCTATGCCCACTCAAAGGTACATGTTTATTTAATACATACTTATTGAAGGCTTTAACAGTATTTTCAGTTTTTAACATTTGCATAACAAATCTGATAGTAGTGATTAAAATCTCAGGCTGTGGAATTAAGCGTGTTTCAAATCCTGGCTCTACCTTGTACTAGCTATGTGGATTTGGGCATTATATTTATTGTCTCCGAGTTTGTTTTCTCCATTTGAAAAACTGGTGAAATAATAATACATTATTTCATACATACTGTAAATATATGAAATATAATCATGGGTATATAAAATATATGAGATCTATATTTTAAATATACACCATAAAAATTAGTATATAATTTATATACATAAATAATTTTTAGGTTGTAAGAGTTAAATTCATAATCTGTATAAGATACATAGCACTTTCTAAGCATTTTATAAAAAGTATATATTATTATTATAAAAAACCTGTTTTAAATGAGAATACAATAACTTTTGACTCTTCTTGTGGAAAGGCAGAGAGGCAAAAGTTATTGTAGTCTCATGAAAGAATATAATGGAAGACACTATGGAAGACAGTGTTTATATCACCCCTGTTATTTATTATTTGTTTTATAATGAAGTCCCAGAGAAGTTAAGTGGACTTGCTTGCCAGACTCTACCACTGTTAAATCTGGGCCAGCTGTTCCTCTTATGAATTTACAATGAATCCCATTTTCCCACTGTTATTGATTACAAGAAAATGTAATAAGTCACTTGAAATGACATATGGGCCAAGATCATATTTGTTGTCTTTGTGGTTCCTGGTTGCCCACCTTATTGCCTAGTACCTCCCCAGTGTACATCCACAGTGTGTGATTATTGAATAAACAGGTTAAATGCATAAGGTCACACAGTTTTTATGTTGTAAATCAGCCTTTTTGTTTTCCATTTCCACTTTTATTTTCCAATGTCATTGCCATTCTATCTGCACATCATAGGCACTACACTAAATTGATAAAGGAAGGGCTACAAAGATACATAAAACACAGTTCCTGTACAAGGACCTTCTAGTCTATCACAGATAGCAAATGGATGGTTTCCTATGGTTGCTATAGCAAATTACCACAAACATGGTGATATAAAACAATGGAAATGTACTCTCTCACAGTTCTGGAGGCCAGAGGTCTGAAATCAAGGTGTCAGCAGGTCCAGGCTTCATTAGAAGGCTCTTGAGTAAATTCTATTCCTTGTCTCTTACAGCATCTGGTGACTCTAGGCATTCCTTGGCTTGTGGGTGCATCACTCCAATCTCCACCTGTCACATTGCCTCCTCTTCTTCTATCTCTTTTCCTCTGTGTGTCTTTTATAAGGATACTTGTTATTGGATTGAAGGCCTGCTCATATTGTCCAGGATGATCTCATTTCAAATGCTTAATTACATCTGCAAAGCCCATTTTTTCCAAATAAAGTAACAGTCACAGTTTCCAAGGATTTGATATGGATATTTTGAATGACTTTTTTTTTTTTTCGCTTACCACGGATAGCAACAATTGTCAGTCCGTTTTTATGAGGGAACAAACTGTTCCTTACTTCAGGTGTGAGGAATGATTATGTTGCCAATTATAAGCAGAGAGATGGTAGTATGTACAAAACACAGCTCAGGTTAAGAATTGTATCGTTAGAGTATATTAAATTCTGAATATCTTCCCAACCACCCATGCTAAATTGAGAAATTTAATATGCAGCTCCCATCCCCACCCCTGGAAGGATAGTGGAATGCAGGCTCTGGAATTAGATTACTTGGCTATAAATCCCTCATCCTATCCCCATCATTTACTAGCCACATGGCCTTAAATAAGTCTTGCCTGTAAAATTGGAATTATAATTGTACTTGTTGTGAGGATTAAATGAGCTAATACATGTAAAACATTTAGAACAATACCTGGCACATAGTAAGCACTTAATATGCATTAACTATTATTAGCTATTGCTATACTTGCCTTTGTTGGAGATATAGGAGAAATATATTATAGTAAATATATATATGTATAGTCTCTTTCCTTGAGGTCTCTAATATCCTGTAGAGGAGACAGGATGAACATAGCTGAGTTCTGGTTGTAGAATGATATACCAAAAGTCTATCTCAGAGATCGTTGTATTAAATCTTCTGCAAGATAAAGGAGGCCTGAACTGGAGCTGTGATATGATATAAAAAGGTTGGCTAAGTGAAGAGTTTTTAAGGAAAAATGGACAAACCTTGGTAACTTTATTCTACCTTGTTATGAGCGGGGAAAATACTCTTTTCCTTAGTTCTATTCTATTTCTAAAACCTGCATTGATTAGCCTTTTTCTCTAAAATGAATTAATTATAAGATTCTTTCCAGATATCAAGATATTAAGTTTTCTGAATCTGAACTCTTTTGATTTCTGAAGAACCCCCGATGTCCAACAATTTGTTCAGGCAAACTGAGTGCCCAAAGCCTAACCTAGCTCCAACCTCAACTGTTTGCATTATTCTCTGGTGAATAATCTACACTTACATCTACTTGCTTCTTCTCTTACAACTCTTGAAACACATGAGCTGGGTTTCAAACACCTCTGATATGAAAGAGAATTTCCTGAATAAATTACATATGCTTATATTTTTCAATAAATATTTATTCTCCTTGTAGGCATCCAACAGAGTGAACACTGATTGAGCCAGATATTTCAACATTCTAATCTCAGCAACTGTTGCAGTTCCTTCATTAAATCTAATAAGATTTCATGAAAAGCAGTCACCCAAACAATACCAGAACACATGACTATTGTGTCTTCCATCCATATAATGGATACTTTAAGATGAATATATTGGTGCCTCAAGTTGAATTTCCATGCCTAACATACAACTAGAGTTTGATGTAAATAGAAATAGCCAAGAAGAAAGAGTAAATGTCTTATGAAAAGAGGTGGCTGTTGTTTCTATTCTTTGATCAGTTAGTTTACTCTCACAGTAGTTTTTCTACTTTGTAGACATCCAACAGAGTGCACACTGATTCAGCCAGATATTTCAACATTATAATCTCAGGAACTGTTGCAGTTTCTTCATTAAATCTAATAAGATTTCATGAAAACCAGTCACCCAAACAAAAGTGAAACAGGAATCCACTTAGGAAATAAGGCGGAAGAAAATAAAATCAAAAGTAAATTAGAAGAACACCCTTACTTTATTTTCATAGTTCAGGCTTCATACAGTTGTTATTCATTCAAAGATGATAAATCCCACATTTCATCTGCTATATTGAATACTAGAATAACAAAACTACTATGTTGAAGATCAAAATAATAAAAGTAATAGCATTAAATTTTCTTACTAATGAAGGCTTGATGTTATTTTTATTCAACATCTGTTCCTTGCTTCCAAAATAATATTAGTACCGCTACATACAATCTTTAGTTAGTGTTGCTTATGGAGAGGTATTTATTAACAACAAAAGGGAATAAGGTGATACAATTTTTATAATGATTATATTGTGTCTTCCATCAATATAATGGATACTTTATGATGAATATATTGGTGCCTCAAGTTGAATTACAATGCCTAACATACAAGTAGAATTTTCCACGATCTTTTTGTAGGAACGCCAGGTAATCCTTTTGTCTATAAAGTTGCTGTAGACTTTTAAAATCCTACCTTAAGGATAATTAAAAGCAAAACTAGGCCGGGTGCAGTGGCTCACACCTGTAATCCCAGCACTTTGGCAGGCCAAGGCGGGTGGATCACGAGGTCAGGAGTTCAAGACCAGCCTGGCCAATATGGTGAAACCCCATCTCTACTAAAAATACAAAAATTAGCCGGGCATTAAGGTAACACCTGCCTGTAGTCCCAACCACTGCACTCCAGCCTGGGCAACAGAGCGAGACTCCATCTCAAAACAAACAAACAAACAAAAAAACTTTGGCATTACAAATCTTTCTTTCTTTTCTTTCTTTTTTTTTTCCAGAGTCACTCTGTGTCGCCCAGGCTGGAGTGCAATGGTACGATCTCAGCTCATTGCAACCTCTGCCTCCTGGGTTCGAGCAATTCTCCTGCCTCAGGCTGAGTAGCTGTGATTACGGGTGCACACCACCACACCTGGCTAATTTTTTGTATTTTTAGTAGAGATGGGGTTTTTCCATGTTGGCCAGGCTGGTCTCAAACTTGTTGTCTCAAGTGATCCACCCACCTCAGCCTCCCAAAGTGCTGGGATTACAGGCGTGAGCCACCATGCCCAGCCTACAAATCATTCTATTTGATCATTTACTCTTCCCCATATTTTAAACCCCTCTTTTGTCACTGTGTAAGTGGTTGGTGTATTGGTAATAGGGGTATGGAGGATGATGAGGATGAATATAGTATTTTAAAATAAATTATATCTCCCCCCCCCTTTTTTTCCTTTTTACTCATTATAGGCAATATGGAAAATACAAATTAGTAGAAAGGAAAGTTGGAAAACATCTCCCAAATGTACTTCTTGAAAATTCCAGTGAAAAACTCAGGTCCCTTATTTTTTTCCTTGGCAAAAATGCTATATTCTTGTTCTTAGAAGTTGATCACATTTGGTAGGGTAAACTTAAGATTTACCTTTTGTTATAACTAAGATGTGATCATCAAGACAATATATTTCAGAATTACTATTTATGTGCCAGATGCTTTTTAAAGTTTTGTAGGCCTGGGTATTTTACTTTGGAGGCAGCATCTTCAGTATACCTGAGAATTTACCTTTGGAGACAAAGGTGTTTGCAGGCAGGAAATTCTTTGAGGATTCTCAGATGGTAATACAATGTAGGGATAGCCTGCAATTAATGGCTCACCTTGGTGCTTTTACTTGGGTAACAGCTTTCTTATGAAAGATGCTTCCTTCTTTGGGTCAAAGTTGTGACTTGTAGTTTATCTAGACAGAAGATTGCTTATTCATTCAGATAATTTTGACAGTTATAATCATGGGTATATAGCTTAAACATAGAAAATTGCAAACACTGTCAATTTTGTGTTACTACTTTGTTGATGGCTTTCTTGGAAAGGGTTACTGCAGGCTCTGATTGATGGAAGGCTTAATAAGCCTTAAATTTATAATTCAATAATGTAGTTTATTATCATTTCCACCTGATCTGTATGAATTATTTCAAAATTATATTGTATAGTAGAAATCACTGCAGTTCTTGTAAGAACAGTGATTTTGTTGCTTAGTGCAATCTAGAAGAATATACAAGCAGTTCAACATAATAGTGTTACTAATACATGACTCAGGAATCAATATATAAAATTTATCATCTTTAAAAACCTGGTCATCTGTATCCAAAGTGTTTTTGGCTTCTAAACAAGGAACTTACCCACCTGGAGCTCCCCACCCCATACATGTCTTATAAATACATTAAGAAGAACTACATTAACGTGAGACTACATTTCTGGGAATGTAAAATGCTTTATGCGTTGCTGATTAAGGGCAGGACTACAGAAAATGGAACTAGGATGGTTGTCTTTCTTCCATTTGTAATCAAGCTTTTAGTGCAGAGTATTGAGGGAGTGGTTTGAGCTAAGTAAGAGAAGACAGGAATAAGGAAAGACAGTAGCAAAGTTGTTTTTATTAACTTATAAATAACTCAATGATACAATTTCAGATAAACAGCCTGAGGGAGCAGAATGGAGATCTCAAAGAAAGAGCCATGTGTGTATCACTTATATATGATAAAGTGGCACTAGAAATCAGTGGACCT
The DNA here is from genome assembly GCF_000001405.40 of Homo sapiens. NCBI lineage: Eukaryota > Metazoa > Chordata > Mammalia > Primates > Hominidae > Homo > Homo sapiens. Next base: position 98,972,528 of record NC_000010.11, on the reverse strand, counting down.
ATATGTGAAAAATAAGTCTATAAAGTTAATAGAAGAAAAAGTAAGTGAATATCTCTGTGAACTAAGGGCTCGAGAAATGTCTTCTCAACAAAATTTCAACCAATAAAGCACAGCCAATAAAGGAAACATTAATACATTAAAATTCAGGATTTTTTTTCAACAAAGCTTCCAGGGGCAATATTAAAAGGCACATAACATAAGGAAAGAATATTTTTGCTATGTCTGTAATCAACAAGAGATTAGTATCTTGAATGTATAGAATGCCTAGAATCAACAAGAATACAGCAACAAGAAAAGAAAAATAGATGAAGAATAGGAACAGAAAATTTTACTTAGGAAAAAACCCTAAAAGCTAACAAACACATGTTCAAAATGATTAATAATTTTAAAGATGCTAATTATAAAAACAATGAGATATTACTTTCTACCTATTAAACTGGCAAAAGTAAAAAGTTTGATAATGCCATACGTTGAAAGGCTCGAGGGGATATAATTTAAAAACTATTAATAATAACTATAGATACAATGATTTGTTAAGGGATAAACAATATAAAAAGATGTAAATTGTGACATAAAAACATAAAATGTAGGGGCCTGGGGAGTAAGAGTAGGGGGTATAGGAACCTTCATATTCTGCTGGTGGGATTGTACACTGGTATAGCTATTCTGGAAAACAAATGAAGGGTATGCTCACTCTTTGAATTTGAAATTTCACTTATGTGTTTATGCCCCCACGGGAATTCTCATGTGGGTCTATAAAGGGCCAGATATGAGGGTATTTGTTGTAGCTTTATTTGTGGTGGGGAGTTGTGACAATCTGGATGTTCATTTCAAGGAGAATGCATAGATAAAATGTAATGATTGCACAACAAGGAATGTTATGCAACACTTAAAAGCAAACAGTTTGATGTTATATCTAACAACATGAGTGAATAACATTGTGAAATAAACGGGCAGCAATATATAGTACAATAACATTTACATGAATTAAAAATACATGCTCAGATAATAATACACATTTATAAAAGCATATGTAAGGAAAAATATATTAAACACATTTAAGTGGTTGTCTGGCTTATGAATGGGGATATGAATGTGTTATGGGTACAAAGAGAATTAAAAAATGAAAGAGAGAGGCTTTGCAAGGATCAATGATGATGAAGTGTCATTAACTGAGTAGAATTAATTATATCCTCTGCATTTGAGATCACAAGTAAAAATGATGTTAACAATGTCATAACAACAACAGAATTTTTTAAAAAATCCACAATTCCTCTACAAATTCTAAGTTGTTTGGAAGAATGGATTATGTTGTTATTCTTGTTAGTCCCTGTAACTCTGGTGCCTCACATGTAGTAGTCAGTATTAAACGTTTGTTAATTTAATGAATAAATGAATGGATGGATGAATAGAACTAATTATTTTCAGTAATTCTGTATTCCTTACAGTTGTTATCAAATTTTAAACTGCTTTGAATCAGGGAAATAAATATAGCCTCTGTAATGTACACCATATCACAAACTGTGAAGATGATACCAGAGGCTTCTTTCTGAAATGCAGATTTAATTGCTTACATGATTAAATATTTTATTGGTTTTATTTAAGGTTTTTAGGGGGAAATAACTTTTTAAAATTTAACAGGCACATGATTTGGCTTCTGATTACCTATTTTTTTGCCTCATCCTTTCCCTCAAGTACCTTGAGCTTTATGCCATGGGAAACTTCTTTCATTTTACAAATGTGGCATGTTGTTTGATGACCTTTTGCTTTTATACATTCTGATCTTGAAATAAAGCTCTTTCTCTCATGAAGTCACAGGGTGGTTTCAGATACTTGATACAATCAGAAAAGTTTATTTTAGGCCACTTTTTTGTGTTAGCACTTTCCTGAATTCAAGGAATGCAATGATAAAAGGGTATATTGCTTAAGTCAATGTGCTTTTTAAATATTAGCCCACTTTGAGCAGTGTTATTGAATCATTAATCTTCTACTAATCTAAGCTTACCTGTCCTTTCCCTCATTGGGGCAAAGACGTTTCCATAATTATAAAGTGTCAGTGTTGCAAAGGACCTGATACGGTTTGAATATGTGTCCGCTCCAAATCTCATGTTAAAATGTGGTCTCTGGTGTTGGAAGTGGGGCATGGTGGGAGGTGTTTGGATCATGGGGACAGATCCCTCATAAATGGCTTGGTGCTATCCCTTGGTGAAAAGTGACCTCTTGCTCTGAGTTTACATGTGATCTATGTTTTTAAAAGTGGGTGACAGGCCGGGCGTGGTGGCTCAGGCCTGTAAGCCCAGCACTTTGGGAGGCCGAGGCAGGCAGATCACCTGAAGCCAGGAGTTCCAAGACCAACCTGGCCAACGTGGTGAAACCCCATCTCTACTAAAAATACAAAAATTAGCCTGGTGTGGTGGCGGGCACCTGTAATCTCAGCTACTTGGGAGGATGAGGCAGGAGAATCGCTTGAACCTGGGAGGCAGAGGTTGCAGTGAGCTGAGATCACGCCATTGCACTCCAGCTGGGCAACAGGAGCAAAAGTGCATCTCAGAAAAAAAAAAAAGTGGGTGACAGCTGTTCCCCACCTCTTGCTCCTGCTTTTGCCACGTGAAACACCTTCTCTCCCTTCACCTTCTCCCATGATTGGAAACTTCCTGGGGTCTCTCTGGAAGCCAAGAAGATGCTGGTGCCATGCTTCCTCTACAGCCTACAGAACTATGAGCCAATTAAACCTCTTTTCTTTATAAATTGCCCAGTCTCTGGTATTTCTTCATAGCAATGCAAGAATGGCCTAACACAGGACCTTTTAGGTCACTATAGTACAAACCCTCAGGACATTGGTTACAAATGAAAGGGAATAGGAGAAGTGACTGGACTAATGTCATAGCATGTTCTGTCTTCAGTCAAGGGTACTTTGAAGAAACTACATCATGTTTCTTCTTAATTAACCTCCAGCAAGAACTCAACACTTACCTAGGAAGATAAAAAAAGAAACATGAAGAAGAGAGAGTTAAAGTATAGACTTGTCCATTTGCTACCTTGAGAGTTGTGGGATTTTCCCTTTCCTATTGCGTAGGGGAAGTCTGGGCAAAAATAGTTGGCACTGGGCCTCAGACCAATGCAACTATTAACTATCTGATCTAGGAATGAACTGTGGTTATTTCCTTTATGATGCTGAAGGGCAGGTAGAAAAAGGAAAGATTAGTATAGAAACCTTTTGGGTTCTAAGGCTTGACTTACATAAACTTGACTTTATGTAGTTTCCCATAAGCCAAGATGAAATTTTGGTGCTTATATTTCATATATGCCATGCTCAGCCTTGAGAAGTGATTGTGTGAGGAATGAGATGACCAGACACGAGTCTCATTGAGATGTCATGCTCTCTCGCATTTTGTAAAATTACAGATAATCATTTTGTTATCTAGTAATGTAAAGTGACTTTGATTTATGTTAAAAATACTTACCTAAGAATTTCCATAATTAATTTTATGGAATGCAGGACATATTTTGTGATATTTATTTATTTATGTTTTTTATTTCAATAGTTTTTGGGATTCAGGCAGTTTTGGGTTACATGGGTAACTTCGTTAGTGGTGATTTCTGAGATTTTGGTGAACCCGTCACCTGAGCAGTGTACACTGTACTCAATATAGTCTTTTATCCCTGACCCCCCTCCCACCCTTCCTCCCAACTCCCCAGAGTCTATTATATCATTCTTATGCTTTGCATCCTCATAGCTTAGCTCCCACATATAAGTGAAAACATAAAATATTTGGTTTTTTATTTCTAAGTTACTTCACTTAGAACAACAACCTCCAGCTCCATCTAAGTTGCTGCAAATGCCATTATTTCATTCTGTTTTATGACTGAATAGCATTCCATGGTGTATATATACCACATTTTCTTTATCTACTCATTGATTGATGGACATTTAGGTTGGCTCCGTATTTTTGCAATTGTGTGCTGCTATAAATATGCATGTGCATGTGTCTTTTTCATATAACAACTTATTTTTCTTTGCGTAAATACCCAGTAGTCGGATTGCTGGGTCAAATGGTAGTTCTACTTTTAGTTCTTTAAGGAAGCTCCATACTGTTTTCTGTAGTGGTTATACTAGTTTACACTCCCACCAGCAGTTAAAAATGTTCCCTTTTCACCACACCCACACCAACATCAATTATTTTTTGGTTTTTAAATTATGGCCATTCTTGGAATGCAGGAAATGTTAATAATAAGAAACCTGAACAGTGTATCTATGGGGATCCAAACAGTGCTAATTGCCCACAGGTGAACTAAGCATATGCTTAGGGTGTTTGCAAAAATAGAGTACCGTATGTTTTTAAAATAATTTAAATTATTAATTTTTAAAGGCATAAGAGTGGCCATTGTGAGGAAATTTAGAAATCTGTCAAGCTTCCTTACATGTTTTTTTCTCTTATAGGTTAGTATTGTTTTTATTTTGAATTACATAGTGGGGATGTATAGGGAGGGGGAAGTCTATGATTTTCAGTCCTTTAAAGGTTTTAGACCTTAATCTGAAAAATTCATTGTTCAAGCCAGGAGTAAGTGAGTCATATGTATAACAGACTTTTTTCTAGTATTCCCCAGGGCCTCAGAATTTCAGTCTTTACTGGTCAGATATTCCCTCTCCTTTTGCTTGTAGCCTCTGGTCAATTTGAAAGGTTACCCACCATAATTGGGTTGTTTCTGGGCTCTCCCAAGTTAAAATCTTACATCTATCTGCAACAAGTGGCAGTTTGGGGTCACTAGTGGTTACACAACTGAATCATCATTCAAATATTTAACTTTATTTGCTTTACCAGTTCATTATTTAAATTATTTTTTTTTCCAAACTAAGCTTAGAGTCTGTCTGAGGCTTGACCACATGTGAATTCTGACATTTTTAAAGGTCAGCTGGTTTGAGTTATTTGTATGTAAGAGTCAACAGATTTGTTTTTCTTTTTAAACAGGGAAATGTCTATTGTTTTTTCCAATCGAGAAACCAAATAAAACGTACAAATATCTCATGAGCTTTCCTCAGACTTTCCCAGAAAGAGTTTATATTTGTGCTGAGACAAAGCACAGAGAAGTTGCAACCTCAAATGGCTTGGAGACAGTTCACATTGAAATAGCTGAAGAGTTAGGTAAATCTGTAGAAATAAGACTTCCACTGGATTAAGTGTGAAGAAGAAAATATGACTTTGTTTTCTCTGTGTTATAGCATTCTACAGTATCATAAACTCCAATGGAGAACCACATTTGGGGCGTGGCTGAGGTGGGGCTAATATGGTAGCATGTGCTAAACTCTTTCTAGGATATTCTATTGCCTCTGAGCTTATACCCAGCTCCATTATCTATATCAGCTTTTTGAGCTTAAGTCTTCATGGCAACTGCCAGCTAAATGCTCGGAAAAAAACCGTTTGGAGTCTACCCCCTTCTCCTAATTTATTTCTCCTCTAAATCGTGGTTCACTGGTGCCAGTCATGGCAGAGGGTGATCTTCTTAGGATGCAAATTAGATAATCTTCATAACATAAAGCCCTAACTTTTTACCTTAGCCCGGAAGAGCCCCACATGATCTGAACTCCAGCCTGGAAGGATTAAAAAATCTTTTTGATATATTTGTACATATTTATGGAGTACATGTGAAGTTTTGTTATATGCATAAAATGTGTAATGATCAAGCCAGAGTATTCAGGGTATTCGTCACCTGAACATTTATCATTTCTACGTGTTGGGTGCATTGCAAGTTCTCTCTTGTAGCTATTTTGAAAAATGCAATATATTGTTATTAGCTATAGTTACCCTACTCTGCTATCAGGCATTAGAACTTATTTTTTCTACCTAACAGGAGAAGGATTTTAATGTCAGCTGAGTTGAGGGGGCGCGTCACAGAGGGAGTAGAGGTGTGGCCATTAGTTGGTAGAAGAGCAACATTCAAAATACAGTCCCACCATTTAACTGTTTCCTGTTTTTATCACCCTGGCAGCTTCCATGCTGCTACTTCTGAAGTCTTTTCATTATAGTATAAACAGCTCTCATTCAATATATGACTAGTACCTGTTTAAAAAATATGGCACTTTGATAGTATATGCTTAGGGGAAGGAACTGCTTCTCCTTCTCTGCCACCTTATGCTGCTTCTCTCTAGTGCCTTTCTGTCTCTCTACCTGATCTCTTTTTCAGCTCCTTTATTTTGCAAAACTATTTTTCTGACCTCAGAACCTTCACACAAGCTACTCCTTCCTCCTGGAAGCTTTCCCTCCCTCTCTTTGCCTGGCCACTTTCTACTCATCCTTTAAAACTCAGTGTAACTCAGTCCTCATCAAAGAGGGCTTTCTGGCCAGGCACAGTGGCTCACGCCTGTAAGCCCAGCACTTTGGGAGGCTGAAGTGGGCAGATCACTTGAGGTCATGGGTTCAAGACCAGTCTGGCCAACTTGGTGAAACCCTGTCTCTATTAAAAACACAAAAATTATCTTGGAGTGGTGGCAGGCACCTGTAACCCCAGCTACTCAGGAGGCTGAGGCAGGAGAATCGCTTAAGCCCAGGAGGTGGAGGTTGCAGTGAGCCCAGATTCGCGCCACTGCACTCCAGCCTGGGTGATAGAGTGAGGCTCCATCTCAAAAAAAAGAAAAAAAAAAGGACTTTCTGTAAATGACTGAATGAATGAACAGGGCATACAAAGAGGAGCCATGCAGATTAGTAGTCTTCAAGGAGCATGTAATGTTACTAGAATGATATATTCTGAATACATGAAAAGTTGATGATGCAAGACAACTAATAAGTTAAGAGACATGAGTGCTAGAGGCAATGACCACTTTTAGATGAGGTTTATGTTGAAGACTTCATAGAGTAGGTAGGTTTTGAAGAGAACTTGAAGGATGATAATATTTGTGTAGGTGTAGAGGAGAGGCACAAGAGAATGGAAGAATTTCTGTTTGGGAAAAGTGAATACGGGAGTTGGACTGGAATTGGAAAGACTGATTAGAGAAGAGAATCATTGAACTTTAGAGGTAGAAGAGACCTCATATTCAGATTCAGACTGATTGAATGCCTACCATGTGTCATGCATGTCAGTTGTTTTTTTTTTTACTTAATTTGTATTTACCCCAACTATTTGAAAACATCCTTATTTATCCTTATATTCTAAAGAATTTGACATTCATAAGATCACACAATTACCAACTAGCACTAGTATTTAAACTCCTTATCTCCTTACTCAGAGTCTAGTATCCTTTATACTTTCCTGAGCTATTTCTTACAAATAATCCCCAAATAAGAATGTTAAGTTGGAAATCATGGATAATTTGATGTGAAATTGGAACTTTATTTTCTAGACAACAGTACCTATTAAAGATTATTTTGATCAGAGAATTGCATGATGAAAGTAATATTTCAGGAAGATTATTCTGGTAGGTATGTACAGGATAGGTTAGAAGTGGGTGGTCTGTTGACAGAGAAACTAATAAGGAAGGTATTGCAGTAGTCTCTGCATGAGATAATAATAAGTGGCTCTATCTGGAAATTGGAAACATGAGAATCAAGTTATGAATATTAAGAAGTCTAAGGAAGAACCAGAAGTGCTTGTTGAGGATTAAATGTTATGGATAAGAGAGGGAAACCAAAGGAATGGTTTACCTCCATTAAGAGAGAAAGATAAATCAGGGATTGGCATTGATTTGGGGGAAAATATAATGAAATTGAGTTATTTGTATGATGATAACAAGACGTATAATTAAAGATGTTCTGTAGCATGTTAAGAAGATATGACTAGAACTTGAGAGATAAGTCAGGTCTTGACAGATTTATTTAATAGTTGACTATAAAAGAGGTATCAAATATCTTGAATGCATATGAAGGATTAGGAACTTTTGATAGATACAAGAGCAGAAGATTGCAAATAGATCCTTGATGAATACTAACATCTAGAGTGAAGGAGTGGGAGGAGGTACTTGAAATATAGAGAGTAGAGTGATTAGTGGGTGGGAAAACCAAACTAGAGGAATTCTATGGAAAGGAAGGAAGGTGCATTAAGAAATCAAATGTAATAAGCAATGTGCTCCTAGCAGATGCTTGATACTGGCAGATAATATGGATTCTAAAAGATTATTAAAACAATGACAATTACTGTTGTTATTAGCTAGGTAAATTAATGTCAATGAATACCAAGTAGTTCAATTTAATTCCACTTTTAATAAACTTCTTTATTTATAATATGTGACAGTTATTTTCTTTCAAAGAGCTTAGATTTCTGTACAGAAACCTTGAAATAGGAATTATGTTATACATTCATGAAAAGGGAAGGAGAAAATAATTGAAAATAAAATAAAAGACACAAATTTAGGAAAGGGTGGGCAGTTGAAAGATAAAAATTCAAGAGGGCAGTAGTGACAGTTCACTGGACAGGCTCTGGAGTGAGGAAAACTTTTTTGTTTATTTATTGAACTATGAACTATGCAGGTGTTCCTCATATAGTAATAGACGTGCTCTTCTGAAGTTGTGTAAACACGCAACTATTTTTCCCATTGACTTGCATTATAATGTGAAATATTTTATCTCCATCGGGCATTAGGTTTAGATAATAGACTCTGCTATTCTGTGTTCTGTAATCAGTGTTCTTTGCTAAGTCATTAACTTTATCTTGATCTTTGTTTCCTAGTCTTACAAAGGCATCTCTAAACCTTTTCCAGCCCACACAGCCATGTCATGATTCCATTAGTCATGATTCCATGACTAATCCTCAATTGGAAATGCCCACCATTGATGTTCTTCACTTAGAGAAACATTCTGATGCACCTTTTCAAAACTGTTTTTATGTTTCCTGTTAAGTTATGCAATGTCTCTACTTGGAAAAAGTTTGGAAGGGGACATTTGTAACCATACTTACGTATTTCTTGATGTTTCTCCATTACTTTTCATTCATGTGGCTGGCATATAGAAACCAAATATAAAACAAGGTGGCACAAGAGTGTATGTGGGGATGAGTAAGAAAATGAAAGCCAGAAACACTATTTAATACACAAATGCATTCTCAATTTTGAAAACAAGCATGTTGAGACTCAGTCCTTGTAAAAGAAAGCTTAGCAACTATTGGAGAGGTACTAATGACATACTAGTGTGGCACTGAGACACAAACAAAAAAGACTGAAAGAAAACACTCTAAAATATGAATAGCAGTCATCTGCAGGTGTGGGAATTAGAGTTTATTAATTTTTATACTTTACGCTTTTTGGCCTTTGCTTTTTGTATTGTCTAAATTTTCTGCAATTATATTTGAACTTTTAAAATCAGAAAACAAAGAGTTATAATATGTCTTTTTTTTCTGCATACTCCAAAGGACTTGAACATGATAGAAGGTCAGAAAGTACATATTGATTATTTATTGACTGATATTTAAATAGTGAGTAATGAGAATCTCATGCTATAGAGAAATCTTATGCTATGTGCATCCTGAAGGTCCTTAAAGTGATTACCACTATTCCACAGGTGGGATGGAGGTGAATCAAGTTTTCAATTCAACAAACATTCACAGAGAATGTGCTCTGTAGAACACAAGACAGATCCTTAAAAATGAATAAACCAAAGACTCTGACTTCTATTTAGGGAATATAAGAAATGTACATAGTTGTTCTCCTTGAAGAGGTCCTTCACATCCCTTGTAAGTTGGATTCCTAGGTATTTTATTCTCTTTGAAGCAATTGTGAATGGGAGTTCACCCATGATTTGGCTCTCTGTTTGTCTGTTGTTGGTGTATAAGAATGCTTGTGATTTTTGTACATTGATTTTGTATCCTGAGACTTTGCTGAAGTTGCTTATCAGCTTAAGGAGATTTTGGGCTGAGACGATGGGGTTTTCTAGATAAACAATCATGTCGTCTGCAAACAGGGACAATTTGACTTCCTCTTTTCCTAATTGAATACCCTTTATTTCCTTCTCCTGCCTGATTGCTCTGGCCAGAACTTCCAACACTATGTTGAATAGGAGTGGTGAGAGAGGGCATCCCTGTCTTGTGCCAGTTTTCAAAGGGAATGCTTCCAGTTTTTGCCCATTCAGTATGATATTGGCTGTGGGTTTGTCATAAATAGCTCTTATTACTACAAACCACTGCTCAAGGAAATAAAAGAGGACACAAACAATTGGAAGAACATTCCATGCTCATGGGTAGGAAGAATCAATATCGTGAAAATGGCCATACTGCCCAAGGTAATTTACAGATTCAATGCCATCCCCATCAAGCTACCAATGACTTTCTTCACAGAATTGGAAAAAACTACTTTAAAGTTCATATGGAACCAAAAAAGAGCCCGCATCGCCAAGTCAATCCTAAGCCAAAAGAACAAAGCTGGAGGCATCACACTACCTGACTTCAAACTATACTACAAGGCTACAGTAACCAAAACAGCATGGTACTGGTACCAAAACAGAGATATAGATCAATGGAACAGAACAGAGCCCTCAGAAATAATGCCGCATATCTACAACTATCTGATCTTTGACAAACCTGAGAAAAACAAGCAATGGGGAAAGGATTCCCTATTTAATAAATGGTGCTGGGAAAACTGGCTAGCCATATGTAGAAAGCTGAAACTGGATCCCTTCCTTACACCTTATACAAAAATCAATTCAAGATGGATTAAAGATTTAAACGTTAAACCTAAAACCATAAAAACCCTAGAAGAAAACCTAGGCATTACCATTCAGGACATAGGCGTGGGCAATGACTTCATGTCCAAAACACCAAAAGCAATGGCAACAAAAGCCAAAATTGACAAATGGGATCTAATTAAACTAAAGAGCTTCTGCACAGCAAAAGAAACTACCATCAGAGTGAACAGGCAACCTACAACATGGGAGAAAATTTTCGCAACCTACTCATCTGACAAAGGGCTAATATCCAGAATCTACAATGAACTCAAACAAATTTACAAGAAAAAAACAAACAACTCCATCAAAAAGTGGGCGAAGGACATGAACAGACACTTCTCAAAAGAAGACATTTATGCAGCCAAAAAACACATGAAGAAATGCTCATCATCACTGGCCATCAGAGAAATGCAAATCAAAACCACTGTGAGATATCATCTCACACCAGTTAGAATGGCAATCATTAAAAAGTCAGGAAACAACAGGTGCTGGAGAGGATGTGGAGAAATAGGAACACTTTTACACTGTTGGTGGGACTGTCAACTAGTTCAACCATTGTGGAAGTCAGTGTGGCGATTCCTCAGGGATCTAGAACTAGAAATACCATTTGACCCAGCCATCCCATTACTGGGTATATACCCAAATGACTATAAATCATGCTGCTATAAAGACACATGCACACGTATGTTTATTGCGGCACTATTCACAATAGCAAAGACTTGGAACCAACCCAAATGTCCAACAATGATAGACTGGATTAAGAAAATGTGGCACATATACACCATGGAATACTATGCAGCCATAAAAAATGATGAGTTCATATCCTTTGTAGGGACATGGATGAAATTGGAAACCATCATTCTCAGTAAACTATCGCAAGAACAAAAAACCAAACACCGCATATTCTCACTCATAGGTGGGAATTGAACAATGAGATCACATGGACACAGGAAGGGGAATATCACACTCTGGGGACTGTGGTGGGGTCGGGGGAGGGGGGAGGGATAGCATTGGGAGATATATACCTAATGCTAGAGGACTCATTAGTGGGTGCAGCGCACCAGCATGGCACATGTATACATATGTAACTAACCTGCACAATATGCACATGTACCCTAAAACTTAGAGTATAATAAAAAAAAAAATAAAATAAAAAAAATAAAACAAAAAAAAAAAAAAAAAAAGAAATGTACATAGTTAACTGTAATTCAAAGAAGATGAACTCATGTTGTATTAGATATACAAACAAGGCTGTGGAATTATAGAGGAGGGATAGATTAGCTCTGCCTTGGGGTAGTAGGGGGATACAGTTTAAACTTCCGTTTTCAGGTTGTATAATAATTAGTATCTCCCACATTTACTCATTCTCAGCCCCTTTTCATAATTTTTTATCTGCATACAATTTTATTCTTGATTAATCTTTTTAACTCGAATAATGTAAATAAATGAATTTAGAAAGTAAACTTTATTTTACTACTATAAATGGAAAAACAATTCAGTTGCCATAAATAGACCGTAACTAAAAATAAAGACAGTATAAACAAAATGGTGTTATTAAATTCTATCTAGGTAGTATTGCCTGTTCCTTGGCTTTGAAACTGAGTCTTTGTAACAAGAACTCTTAACAACTGTGGGAGAGGTGCTAATGACATACTAGCATGGCAGTGAGACATGCTTCTTAACAAATCAGAAATTCAGAAAAAGCAATGAAAATAGAATAACTTTCTCCTATGTGATTCAATGTTATTTCATGGCATCCCTTAACCACTTGTGGTACCAGTCTCACTTCCTTGGAAGTATTTTGGTGAATCAACAGTCCAGATTTTAGGTTTGATGGATATAATCTCAGCAGGAAGGAAAGAGGCAAAGTTTATGGAAGAAGTGGTGTCTGAGGCTTTTGACTGGCAGAATCTGAGGCAAGGATATTCCTGTGGGGGGAAAAAACTTTGCAGAAGCATATTGGCTTCTATGGTAGCAATAGAAAAAGGAGAAAGAAGAGGAGGAGGGATACTTGCTCTTATTTCATAGCTTTATTTTTCTGCCCCTAGAATTCATCTTGGGTCTAGATGTAAAAATGAGCTTAGTGTCAGCTTTCCCACATTTCTAATGCCTTCTTTCTAGTTGTCTCTACATAGATGAAGGCCTCCACCCCCAATCTGACCATGTGTCTGCTTTAAACTATAAATGCCTCCGCAGATGTGAATAATGGATGCCTTTTCAAATGCAGATGAAGTTTATGTACTGGAAATAGACTTCACTAGGGAGATTTTGCTGGAGTTTATCAGCTTCAGAAATACAGCCTCTCAAATGTAGATCATTGAACACATTAGTATCATTTCACAAAACGTTTTGGGCACAAACAGTGCTTTGATGCTTTAAAATCCAAGATAAATGCTGTCAGTCAAGACAGAAAGTGTTATTTATTTATGAGCTAGACCTTTGAAGATATATGGGTGTTTGGATTTGGCAGGACATCAGCAGCCACTGGGCCTCCTATCCACTGGCCTTTTTTTTTTTTTTTTTTTTTCCAGAGATAGTTTTGACAAGAAACTGGAGAGAATCCTTTTCTGTTCTGTGGGGAATGTGAAATTATTAGGTTTATAGAATCTATTTTGTTTGCCTCAGAAGAGCCCAGCTTTAGGAATGTTAAGAATTGTAATTTGTAGCAGAATGCAAAGTAATAATGAAAGCACTCCATTAGAAAATATGAATTTACATCTCATGCTAATGTTTATAAAACATGATCTATGTCCTAGTCACCTTCTTCTTGGAATAATAGTAAATATATTGCCTTTCATATTTGTAGTGCCTTCTATGCTTACTACATGCTAAACATTGGTTTTGACTTCATATACATTATCTCTGCTCTTAACATCAACTCTTTAAAATAGATATTTTTCCCACTTCAGATGGAGAAATTGAGGCTCTTATGGAACTAGCCAGGGTCACATAGCTAGCAGTGGTTGGAGCCAGTACTTTCTAACTCTAAAAGTCTGTGTTGTTAAATTTGGTTCCTAATTTGATATTATGCTTCAGGTGAGGTATAATAGGAATTTAATCCAGTAGAAATACTATAAACTTTTAATATTAATGTAGCTTAAGTTTACATTTTTCATTGTCCTTCCTACCCCATGTGGCATATAAGTATCATATAAGCATAAGAAGCTGTTAGAGCACAGGGTTTAGTTAGGCAGATCTGACTAGAGTTCAGCTCAGTCACTTACTGTTTCTCAGGTCTTGGCAAGAAATTTAATCTTTAGTTAAAGAATCTATAGTTTCTTTAACTATAAAGCAGTTATAATAATACTGCCTGTCTCTTAAGGTTATTTTTATTAAATGAGATAAGCCTTATTTCATTTAATATGTGCTAATTGTTTAGCATGTAGTAAATGCTCAATAATAGATAGCATGCATAATAATCATTATCATTATTTATTCATTTAATCAAAGTTCAACTTTTCCTGTTGCATTAGAGTCTCCTTTGTTCCACAGTTCTCTGTGTGACCTCTTCCTTGCATTTTTTTTTAACCTTGTTATCTGTTTGACTAATCCTTGACTTTAACTTGGTCTTTAACCTGCCAGGTTCTGCACATGTATTAAAATTGTTTCATATGCAAATTACTTGGCCTGCTTTAGCTGTTGTATATGTATACAAATATGTGTATGTGTAAATATATGTGTGTGCATTTGAGTGTGCAGTGAGTGACATAGACAAAGAAAACCCTCTGAGACACTAGCCTTATAGGGCATTATTTTGTTCACAATCCTACTAATCTCTTGGGAATTTAGATCCATCTTTAAACAGCTGAACTTTCTGGAAGATCAGTGACTCAGATTATCAGAGTTTACAGAGAGCAAATGCTGGAAGAAGAGACAACCTCTCCAGCTGTTCCCTTTCTTCTCTCTGCAGATGTGAACACTCCCCACAAACCCCTGTATGAAATCTGGGCGAATCCGAAGGGAAACTGTTGAGCTGTTTATTTTATTGCAAACGAAGGTTAAGAGAGCCTTTTCTGGATATTTTTCTTGGAAGCCAAGAATGAAATCTTATATTACTTGACTGATGTGTTTATTTTGAGGGAATTTAAGATTTAACTACCTTGAATTGTATCTCTGTTCATGGCATGCCTACATGATCTTGTTAAAGCCCAAGCACTCCAAAGTCACAATTGGGAAAAGCTGCTAAGGAAGTCGGGAGAGAGAGAGTGAGACTCAAGAACCAGAGCCACGTTATTAATAGAGCTATGGAATCAGAAGACTGCTGTGTGGGCATGCATTTACAACAAGAAGACTTAGATAAATTGGATGTTTGATGGCTCAGGCTAAGGCAGCCTTACCCTTCCTATCATAATGGGCATGGCCCTTTCAAGGGGACTGGAAATACTCCAATCTAAACTTATTACCATGACTTATTATTAAGTCTAATATGCCAGTCTTCTGACTTCATGCTGTAGCACTCTGTTCTGCAGTGAGAACAGTGAGCAGGTCTATGCAAAGCTACCCCTGAAGGCCGAGGGAGCTGAGAGGCCAGAGAAAGAGGCTGACAAAGCCAGTTTCTCAGAAAGAAACATTTAATAGGGACTTACAAAGAGGTGCCATTTCTTGGGTAGCTGCTAGATAGTGGATCCTCACACCTGCCCTCTAGAAAGTATCCTTCATATAGCATGCTTTTAGTGTAAAGACATGTGCAGCTGGTCATACCTCAGACTTTCTTGCCAAACTTGCGACCACTGGGGAGGTTAGATAAGCATCTTTATGGGGGAATTATCTATGCTACAAGTATTGTTCAAAGACTTTGCTGCAGAACATGTTGGTATGCAACATTAGTCATCATGGTGGTTTCACTTCAATATGGCATCACTCTTGGAATGCAACAGACTGTTTTCCTGCACACTCTCTCATTCAATTTGTACCAGTGCCCTGGCTTTCTTGTGATTCCTAAGGTATACAGAGTTCTTTCCCACTTCAGGGATTTTGCACTTGTTCTCCTCTTTGAAACCTTTCGTCTCCAGATCCTTTCATGGCTACCTTTTCATCGTTGAGGCTTCAGGTCATATGACTCCTCAGAGAGGCCTTCCTTTCTTTGTTAGGCACATTGCCACACAGCTGAGCAACTATATTTTCCAACGTCCCTTGCAGCTGAGTGTGGCCCTGTGACTAAGTTCTGGCTAATGAAATGTAAACCAAATTGTACTGTGGTACTTTGAAAGGAACTGTAAAAGGAAAGAAGTGTATTCTTCTTTCTCCTCTTCTCTATCTGTTGTGTTCCCTGGAATACCTAATGTGGTGGCTGAGCTCTAGTAGCCATCTTAGACCATGGGAGAAAGGGTATTCACTAGGTATGGTAGAGATTTGGAAAGCCTGAGTCTCTGATGAATTTGTGAGGCTCTACAATAGCCCCGAGCTATCTACCTCTATGCTTCTTTTAAATGAGAGAGAAATAAGTTTTATCTTACTTAATCCACTGTTATTTTAGGTTAGTTTGTATATGCAGCCAAACTTATTCCAAACCAATTTAACATATCATGTTTCCTGCCTGAACACACCATGCTCTATCATACCATTATTCTCTGGTTTGTCTTCTTCATGGCTTGTTTAATGACTGGAAATTCTCATTATTTTCTTTTTTTTATTGTTTGTCCTTCCTGCTTTAAATATAAGCTTTGTGGGAAGAGTCCTCATCTTCCTTGTTTACTGTGTTGTCTTCAGAGAGAAAACAATGTCTAATAGGTACTCAATAACAAATTACTTTTTGTTTTTGTTTTTTTAAAATTTAATTTAAGTTCTGGGATACATGTGCAGGATGTTCAAGTTTGTTACATGGGTAAACGTGTGCCATGGTGGTTTGCTGTACCTATCAACCCATTGCCTAGGTAATAAGCCCACATTCATCAACTGTTTATCCTGATGCTCTCCCTCCCCTTCACTCCTGAGAGGCCCTGGTGTGTGTTGTTCCCCTCCCTGTGTCCATGTGTTCTTGTTGTTCAGCTCCCACTTATAAGTGAGAACATGCAGTGTTTGGTTTTCTGTTCCTGCATCAGTGTGCTGAGGATAATGGCTTCCAGCTCCATCCATGTCCCTGCAAAGGACATAATCTCATTTCTTTTTATGGCTGCATAGTATTCCATGGTATATATGTACCACATTTTCTTTATGCAGTCTATGATTGATGGGCATTTGGGTTGATTCGATGTCTTTGCTATTGTGAATAGTGCTGCAGTGAACATACATGTGCATGTATCTTTATAATAGAATGATTTATATTCTTTTGGGTATATACCTAGTAATGGGATTGCTGGGTCAAATGGTATTTCTGATTCTAGGTCTTTGAAGAATCGCCACTGTCTTCCACAATGGTTGAACTAATTTATATTCCTACAAACAGTGTAAAACCATTCCTGTTTCTCCACAGCCTCACCAGCATCTGTTGTTTCTTAACTTTCTAATAATCACCATTCTGACTGGCATGCAATGGTATCTCATTGTGGTTTTGATTTGCATTTCTCTAATGATCACTGATTTTGAGCTTTTTAAAAAAATATGTTTGTCCACATAAATGGCTACTTTTGGGAAATATCTGTTCACGTCCTTTGCTCACTTTTTAATGTGGTTGTTTGTTTTTCTCTTGTAAATTTGTTCAAGTTTCTTGTAGATTCTAGATATTAGACCTTTCTCAGATGGATAGATTGCAAAAAATTTCTCCTATTCTGTAGGTTGTCTAATAACAAATTGCTGAGTGAATGAAATCCATAGGTTAAAATTCCTTCCACTTATATCAGCATTTGTCTCTATGATTCTGTTCCATGGCTGACCAGTGAATCACCATTCTTTTGGATAGAGTAATATATATAAATAGGTCTTTCTAGCCTTAGAGTTATATATAAATAAATATGTATATATATATATAAATATGTATATATATATATAAAATTGATGCTTAGATCCACTGAGTATTGAATACTCAACTTTCACTTCTAAGTGTTTTTTTGGGAGACATCCACTGTCATCTCTAAGCATGTACACCAATCAAATTGGGTTATTGGTAGTTTCACTATCACATAACCTAAGCTATATATATAATGAAACGAAACAAGGTGGAAAATGCGGAGTTTATATTGTACTGACCTTATGTTTATGACTGTTGCCTCAAATCAAATGGAATTTTTTCATTCAATTTATTTCTTCCTAAAGTGATCAATGGGGTAAGGTTAGTGCTTTCAGGATCCCAGTGGCTACGTGATGCCGAAAGGTGTTCAACTTGCCATCTCTTTTGACCCCACAAAGAAAAACACATTAAAAATGATTCAGAGGCAACCACTGGTGATATAAGAAATGCTGATTTAGAGTACTTTGAAAGTAATGGAAAACTAAGGAACATTCATTAACTTAAATATTCTTAATGTGTTAACTCTCACAAGTGTTAATTTAATCAGGAAGATTTTTAGTGACACGTTCAGTGTCCTAGGGCTCCCAATAGAATGGAAAAGGGAATGAGGATTTTTAGGACTTCCCCTCACTTTCCTGCTTACAGCCTTCCCCAAACTTAGTGCTCTTTTTTTTTCCTTTGTTTCTTTTTTTTGAGATGGAGTCTCACTCTCTCGCCTAGGCTGGAGTACAGTGGTGCGATCTCTGCTCACTGCAACCTCTGCCTCCCGGGTTCAAGTGATCTCCTGCCTCAGCCTCCTGAGTAGCTGGGACTACAGGCATACGCCACCACACCCAGCTAATTTTTGTATATTTTTTAAGTAGAAATGGGGTTTTACCATATTGGCCAGGCTGGTCTCGAACTCCTGACCTTGTGATCCACCTGCCTCGGCCTCCCAAAGTGCTGGGATTACAGGCGTGAGCCACCGCATCCGGCCAACTTAGTGCTCTTTTCTTCCCAGTTCATATTTCTTCTCAATAGTAATAACTACTATTTATTGAATGCTTATTATAGATTTGGTAGTATAATCAGCATTTTGATTATGGTACCTTTTCAATCCTGGCAAAAACATGAATTTGGAGGTGTTATTTCCAGTTTAAAGATGAAGAAGCTGAGGCTTAGAGGAGTTGAATAGAGTATTCAATGTTGCGTAGTCACCAAAAGGCAGAGCCGAGGTGAAGACCTAGGTTTATTGAGCTCTAAAGCCTGTGTTTTTAACCAGTTTCCCTGCTATATGGCCATATTATACCATCCCCATGATGCCTGTTTTTTTCACTCTCTAGTTGCCACGTAGCATACAAATATGTCTTAACCATCTTCCCCAAATCCTCAAGCTCCAAAACAGTTCCTCCTTCCACTCCGTCAATGTGGAGCGTGTACTCTGAACCTAGTGAGCCCACAGCCCTCAAGCAGGGCTAGATAGATAATACAGGATACTACAGAACACAGACCTAGATCGGGGGTAGAAGGGACCAGACCTAGGCAGCGTGAGCAGAGTTTGATGTGGTGAGATGGCTGAGTCTGCCCAGGTCCTTGCTGTATTAGATAGAAACATGGTGAGGTAAGCTGGCATTGATAAGGCCAAAGGGTCGTAGTCACAGTGGCAGAACTGGATTAGACATGTGCAGTGTGGGATAAGGCCAAGTCAGCAAGGTTCTAGTCATGTGGGAAGAATCCTATCCCAAGACCCCTGCACCGAGGAGAACACCAAATGACTTACAGCTCTCACGGAAATCTTACAGCTGGAGCCTTTTATGGAACATCTTAGAGTTGCCAGGTTTACCCTGCTACCAGAAGGAAGCCCAGCTCTCTTGTTTAAGACATATTCCCCTTGTCCACCAGGAGCCTTCAGCATCTTTTTTCAACTATGCAACAGTCTCAAGGACTCATTCCAGGCCCTGGCAGAAGTCGTGGGGGAGAGAAAGTGTGTGTTGGGTGTCACAGTCATCATTCTTTGTCAGAGCTTACTACCACTACTGCTTTGGACTGAATTGCTTCCCCCACCTTCCCTAATTTCGTATATTGAAGCCCTAACTCCCAATGTGGACTATATTTGGAGACAGAGATTTTAGGAGGTAATTAAGGTTCAATTAGGTTATCAGGGTAGGGTCCTATTCCAATAGGATTGGTGGCCTTATAAGAAGAAGAGAGATCATGCACATGCACCAAGGGAAGGCCATGTGAGGACACAGCAAGAAGGTAGCCATCTGCAAATCAGGAAAAGAGCCCTCACCAGAACCCTACCATACTAGCACCCTGGTCTTGGACTTCCAGCCTCCAGAATTGTGAGAAAATAATTTCTGTTGTTTAAACCACTTATTATATGGTATTTTGTTATGGCAGCCCAAGCTGACTAGACTAATACAATGTTTTTGTCCTCAGTGGCTGGTCATTTTCTTTGGCCAGAGCAACAGGAATTCTTTTAGTTTCTAAGAGAAAAGCAAACTGATCAAAGTAATTCACATTGAGTTGTGAATGACTGATAAGTCTTACTTGGGGAAGAAAGGATTTACCGTTTTAAAATGACATTTTTGCAGCCCACCTTCCACTCCTTTCCACCTTCCAAACCCTTGCCCATTTTGCCCTACTATACCCACCCTGACACACACACACACACACACACACACACACACACACACACACACAAACAAATTCTTTTGAGCGGGGAATCCTTCCTCAATGGTCTTACATTTTCTTGACACCCTCTTTACACACACTGGAGTGGCAGAGCCACGGGAAAAACAGGTGACCTGCTTAGCACCTCACTTGTGAAAAGGAGTTTACCTCTGGCAGTAGATTATTCTTTTCTGACCATGACAAGTGAAAAACAAAATCCTATGAAATAGAATCAGAAAGGGGTCACTCATGATCCACTTGTATACCTAAGAACAGCAATTCAAATCTGCCATCATTTGGTATAGGGTTAAAAGTGGTTAAGGCTTTGGAATCAGCTACCTGGGCTTGAATCTTGGCTCCACAATATAGTTGTAAGAACTTAGGCAAGTCACATTACCTCCTAAACTTTCATTTCCTCATCTATAAGATGGGGTTTATGGTAATACCTATTCAAAGGGCTGGGGGAATTTAGTTGGATAATCTGTTAAGCTTGTAGTAGAGAATCTGGCTGAGCAGTGAATAAATGTTAGCTTTATTATTATTTAGTAAGCATCTCCTGTAAAGGGCACTATCCTTGGAAATATGAAGGGAGATAATGGTCTGTTTCTGCCTTTGGGGAGCTTATGAGTATGAAAAATGGCATGCAGGATTCCTATGAGATTAAGAGATCCTCATAGACACCAAGTCTTTTAAACATCTTCAGAATTCCCATTTTCCAGTAAAGCCACTGTCACATTTTCCTGCACACGTAGTTTATCTGCCTTCCTAAATCTTTTTGAAGTCAACTACACTAGGCTTTTTTGCATCCTTCTTCCTGGCCCTGTGCACAATGTGGCCAAATATTATACCTCATGTATTATTTTTTTGTCACTTCCCTGGTGCTTCTCCAAAGCAGACCCTTTTCTTGCATGCAAAGGAGGGACACTTCCTTGGAAGAACATCTAGTGCAGAGGCTCCACGTATCACACATGCTGACTGTCATTTCTTCATGAAGACAGTATATTTTCTTGTAAAAACAAAATAAAACAGCTCTGTAAGAATGATCAGGGCATCTTAATGGTACCAACTAAGATAAAAATACTTTTGCTTCTATTATTAGTTGGAGACAAGTCTGCGGCATTTCTTTAGTCTTACTGTTGTCATCCAGAGTTGACAGTGTGCTTTTTGGTTTAAAAAAGAAAAGGGGCCAGTGATTATCTCCTCATGCTATTAAAATGGCTCTTTCATCTTCTTCCTCATCTTGTGCCCCTCTACCTTGTCTAGTTAAACTAGTAGTATGAGAAAGGGGCTGACCACCACTTTTTTTTGTCACTTGTACTTACAGGCCTATCTTGGATTGTCATCTCGTGAACTTTCTTTTATTACAGTCTCTGACATAAAGTGGCACAGAAAGCCAGACAGAGGTCAGTACATGTGTAAACAGTGGTACCAATAGTTAGAACAAGTAAAGATGGGGTGGATGAGTCTTGCTACTTCTCAAGAAACTAAGCATCACAATGGCATTATATGGTTTTTGGAAAAGGTAGCATGTTGTCAACTCATAGTTTAACATTTGAGTTGCCTATCCTCTTGAATGAGTTATTTGAGATGGGAATGCTGATTTGTTTATTGAGTGAACATATGTCAATATTGCACTGAAGTAAAAGGTGCTGGTGTGTTCCGCCATCACCATAATACCAAAATTAAATGCCAGATTAATTATATTGTTTCTGTGTTCCTGACTTTAAGAAAATCAGCATGAAAGAAGTTGGTGCAGCCACAGAGATGGTCAGAGACATTAGGAAATATTGAGAACATAGCAGGAAAACTATAATTGATTTTTTCAAAAAGGATAGCATCATTTTTTCCATTCATTTTAATCATTCAACAAACATTTACTGGGTACCTTCTAATGTATTTCAATGACTCTAACACTTGGATTGTGAAATACATTATTATTAATATTTCAAGTACCACTAGTGTGTCAGGCAGGTTGTAATATGACTGCCACTAATCCCTACTCCTGGGTATTTATGCCTTTGGGTAATCCTTGTGTGTGGGTGGGCTGGATCTAGTGACTTGCTTCTTAAGAACAGAATGTGGCAAAACATACGGGTTATCACTTCATATAGGCTACAAAAGACTAGGACTTTAACCTTACTAGGACTTTCTCTTTCTTGCTGGCACTCTTCTTTGCCTTCTTGCTTGCTTGTTCTGATGAAGCAAGCTACCACGCTGTATCATGCTCTATGGAGAAGCTCAACGTGAGAGACTAAAAGAAGAAGAACCAGTTAAACTGCACCTGGATACCATATAAAGAAAAAATAAAAACACTAGGATGGAATCAGCTGTTCCTGAAGATTCTCAAGAGTTTTGTTTCCTAACTTAATAAAGAAAACTTGATATTTTTAAAGTTTCAACTTGACATAAATGCTGTTATCATTTTTGTTCATTTGCCATACTTCTGCCTTCCTGTTCTGTTTTCCTCTTTTTATATATCTTTCCTTTAGCTGCTTTTTTCTTCAGTGGGATGCAACTTGTCTTTATAAAAAACACATGTGCTTCCAGGCCAACGCTAACTGACTTCATAATCTTACTTAATTTTTTTGAACTTTAGGTTTCCTATGTGTAAAAAACAGGAATAATAATATCTTCTATATTAGGCATGACTTTTTATTTCAAATGATAGAAACCCAGGTCTGTCCAACTTAGACAAACAATAACCATATAAATTTATTGATTCAGGTAACTTCAGAAAGGGGTGCAATTGAGGCTCAGGAATTACTGACATCAGGAACTAAAATGTTGTAAGAATTGCCTGATTCCATCTGTAAACTCTGCTGCTCTCTGGTCAGCTTCATCTTGTCAGACTGGCTTTTTTCATATGGCTGGAAGCTTGGTTACTAGCAGCTCCTATTTTTTACATCTCTGACACAACTTTGCCACCAGAGAAAGACTGAATTTTTTCCCCAGCTCTGGTGTGAGAAATGCCATAGAAATACTGATTGGCCCACCTTGGGTTACATCCATTGTGGGGAGGGGTAAGGGTCTATATTAACAATCCTCAAGTAAACTACCTGGTTAGAATTTGTGTGTGTGTGTGTGTGTGTGTGTGCACGCATGCGTGTGCGTGTGCGTGTTGGAGGATTACACTTTTTTTTTAAAGGATTATTGTTAGAAACAAAAATTCTTTTAAAACACTTGGTTATTTTATTGTTGTTTTTGTATGTGGGTGAAAGGAATAGTCTTATCTGTGTGTCTAAAATACAGACTACAGTTGACCCCTGAAAACACGGGAGTTGAGGGGGCACCAACTCCCCGTGCAGCAAAAAATTTGCACATAACTTTTGACTTCCCCAAAACTTATCTATTAATAGCCTACTGTTAACCAGAAGCCTTATTGATAACATAAACAGCCAGTTAACACATATTTTATATGTTGTATTTATTATATTGTATATTCTTATAATAAAGTAAGCTAGAGAGAAAAGGTTATTAAGAAAATCATAAGAAAGAGAAAACATATTTACTATTCATTAAGTAGAAGTGGGTCATCACAAAAGCCTTCATGTTGAGAAGGCTGAGGAGGATGTGGAAGAGGAGGGGGTGGTCTTGCTGTCTCAGGGTGGCAGAGGGTGAAGAAGTAGATGAGGTAGAAGGTGTGGCAGGAAAGGCAGGCACACGTCTTGTAACTTTATAGAAATACCATCATAATTTCTGGTTGACTTTTCTGCTTTTTCTTTACTCTAAAAATGTTTTTATACAGTACCAATCCTTCTTCTACCATTTGCTTTAGTTTCAGTGCCCATATCATATAGAAGGATCCATGTTGTAAAGGAAGTCAAAAGCAGTCTTGAATAATCAGAACCCTTCTGCCAGATTGTCTAATGTCAATTCGTTTTCTGGCATTGCTTCTTCCCCTTCGTCTTTCTCATCATCTGGCATTGGTTTGGAAGCACTCATCTCCACCAAGTCATATTCTGTTAATTCCTCTTGTGTGGTGTCCATTAGCATTTGAATTTTCTCTAAGATCCATACCTTGAAACCCTTTACCCCCTCACCTTTTTTGCCATATCTATAATATCTTTCATGATTTCCTTGACTGGCTCTGTTATAAATCCTGTGAAGTCATGCACAAAATCTGGGCACAGTCTTCTCCAGCAGGAATTTATTGTTTTGGACTATGGCTTTCACAGCTTTTTATTTTTAAACAATGATGGCATCTTCAATGTTGTAATCCTTCCAGACTTTCATGATGTTCTCTCTATTAGGGCTCTTTTCCATAGTGTTGAAATCCTTTCCTGTAGTATTACGTGTAATGACCCTTAATGGTCCTTATGACCCCTTGATCTAGGGAGTGAATTAGAAATGTTGTGTTTGGGGACACGTAGGCCACTTTGATGACTTCAGTGTTGAATCCATGGGGTTCTGGGTGGCCAGGAACGTTGTTTAATATCAAAAGAACTTTAAAAGCCATCCCTTACTGGAAAGGTGCTTCCTGACTTCAGGGACAAAGCATCAATGGAACCAATCCAGAAAAAGGGCTTTTCTTGTTCAGGCCTTCTTATTGTACAACTAAAAGGTGGGTAGCTTGTATTTATCTTTTTCCTTTAAGGCTTGGGGTTAGCAGCTTCATAGATAGGGGCAGTCCTGTTCATAAACCCTACTGTATTTACACCAAACAATAAAGTTAGCCTGTCTCTTCCTACCTTAAATCTTGGTACTTGCTTCTCTTTCTTACTAATAAATGTCCTTTGTGTGGCATTTTATTCTAGAATATGGCACTTGTCTGCACCAAAAATCTGTTCAGGCAGATATCCTCTCTCCTTAAAATTTTCTTAATGGTGCCTGGGAATTTATCCGCTGCCTCTTGTCAGCAGGAGCTACTTCTCTTGTTATCTTGACTTTTTAAAAGCCACATCTCCTTCTGAAATTATCAAACCATCCTTTGCTGGCATTAAATTCTCCAGCTTTAGATACTTCACCTTCCTTTTGCTTTAAGTTGTCATATATGTCCTTGCTTTTTCTCTAACCATATTATAGTCTATAGGTATGCCTTTCTTATAGCAGTCCTGTACCTACATAAAAGCTGCATTTTCAATATGAGATAAGAAGGTATTTTGCAAAAATTTTGCAAGGTTTTCACACTTTCTGGAATAGCTGCAGTGATGGCTTTATGATTTTCCTTTTCTTTTTTCACCATGGTCCTTATTCTTGGTTCATTTATCTTGAAATGGTGGGCATCACATCACAGCTGCAAACCTCAATCGGTGGTATGTGTCAAGCAATTCAACCTTTTCTTGTAAGGTTATGACTTTCCTCTTCTGCTTGGAAGCAGTTACAGCATCACTAGTGGCACTCCTTATGGGCCCCATGGTTTCTGGTATTGCACTTTAACATGATAAAAAATAAGTGAGAACTCCAAGTGCTCACTTTTTACTGTGATATGCAATTTACTGGAGAGACAAATTGCTCACGTGAAGATGATTAGCCTCACATGGTGTTTTAACGGAATACAACTCTTGAGCTCACCACAATAGCCACAGGAGGTAGCTACAGAATTATTACCATAGTACAATAGATACTAGTTAATTTTATGTAGTTATGGCTTAATACTGCCTCTTTACATTTGTTTACATTTCTTTTAACTGTAAATGGTGCCATTTATAGTTTATAAGTGTTTGTGTGCATACTTTTTTTAACAATGTCTTCACAACATTCAATTTTTAAATTAACTTTTAATTTTAGGATAGTTTTAGTTCCCAGAACTGCTGTGAAGATAGTAAGTTCCCATATACCCAACACTCTGTTTCCTCTGCTGTTCTCATTTTACATTAATATGTTGCATTTGTCACAATGGGTTTTATTTCTTTTCTGTTTTTTTTTTTTTTTTGAGTGAGGGTCTCACTCTGTTGCCCAGGTTTGAGTGCAGTGGTATGATCATGACTTACTGCAGTCTAAAACTCGTGGGCTGAAACGATGCTCCTGCCTCAGCCTCCCAATTAGTGAGTAGCTAGGATTACAAGCATGTGCCACCACACCTGGCTACTTTTTATTTAATAGAGGTGGGGTCTCACTATGCTGCTCAGGCTGGTCTGGAACTTCTGACCTCAAGCAATCCTCCCACCTTGGCCTCCCAAAGTGCTGGAATTACAGGTGTGAGCTGCTATGTCTGGCCATGCACGTAAATTTTGACAAATTTTAACCTTCTATAATAGATTTGTGTAATATTTTATGGTAGAAAATGATAAAGTAGACTATAGTTATACATATTTTATGTGCTCATCACAACCTTTTCCTTATTTTTTTGATATTTCTAGGCTACACAGTTTGTCTGTTTTTTCAAATTGTCACAAATCTTGAAAAAAATTTCTGATATATCTTATTGAAAAAATCTGCATATAAGTTGACCCGCACAGTTCAAACTTGTGTGGTTCAAGGATCAACTATATAATCTGTGCTCTGTCTTCATCCCAGCTAATTTTGAGGAATGGGAACAATGAAATATTGCAATGTGAACAGTAAATGCTAAACAAGACATCAGAATTATCTAATTGTTTCTCTTTTTAGGTACCATTTCATTTCCTCTAAAGGAGTTTTGATAAGGAAAGCAGTAGATAGAAAATTAAAGAAAAACTTTGAAAAGAAAGTAATTACCCAGAATTCCATTTACTTAATGCACTTTTGCATACTGTCTTCTAAGCCTCTTCGCATCCCAAAAACATTTACAGAGTTATAATTGTGTCTACCTCTCACTTTCTATTCTGCTTTTAATATTATATAGCAAGTATTTTCTGTCTTTCTAGGTAGCAATTAAAATGATAACCTAATGGTAATATATTATTTCATTATGTTGATGGATCATAATTTATACTGCATTTCCTCTTTATTGGTTGGGTTAAGAGGGTAAAGAAAGCAATGAGAGAATCTTTCTGTATCATCTACAAATATGATAAGTAGAGAAAGCTATCAGCAGATCAAATGTGAGCCAAAGGTCATTTTTTAAAGAAAAGGAGTGAATTCTGGAAATATTAACCTAATAATAGAGTGCTTTTATATTTCAGTATCTGTAAAAACAACTTGGGGAATTATAAAACTTGTACATTGTGACCATTTAGAAGAAAACATGTTAATCAGTAAGAGCCGACTTAGGTTCACTAAGAAGAAATCCAGCCAAAGTAAATTCACTTCTTTTTTTGGGTGGGGATAGTGGCTTGATGTATTGGGGAATTCCATACACAAAAGGTATATTGATTTCAGCAAAGCAATTTGCAAAGGCTTACATGTCATACATCTTGTAGCTAAAATGATGAATTTGCACCTAAGTGAATTTGCAGTTGATTGAGCAACCATTGTGGCGTGACAGCAAAACAATCTAAGGCAATCTTAGGCTCCGTTAATAGATATGTAGTACTCATAAAAAGAGGCATAATGGTTTCCCCGGTTATTAAAATGAATAGTGCTCAGTAAGGTCCTTGGCTTTCAAGTACCCTTTCTTTCCAAAGTTAGCAGTGTGGAGAAGATACAAGAATAGATGTAAAAACTTAAAAAGGTCAAGGATGGAGAAACTGGAAGCTAACTAAGGATTTCAAACATGGATGAATGAAGGAGGATACTTGTTACTTAAGCTAATAGGCAGGCATTGTGATAATGTTAGGCCAGGCAGAATTAGTGGGTCCCTTGAGGAATGGTATTGTGCCTTATTGACCTTTCTAATCCCTTCTCCCCTCTAAAGCTTAGTATGTTATGCCTAGAACAGAGGAAATACTCAGTAAACAATTACTGAATAAATGATAATGCATATGCATAAAATGGGTTGCTTTCCAGACTGAGAAGGTGCGCTACCAATAGCTTGTCCCTCAAAACCACTGAAATAGTATAAACTATAATTCACCTAAGGCAGTGCTACCACCTCTAGCATTGTGCAAAGAGAATATTCTAATGGTAGAATTTATAGTCATCCTATCTCTTTCCTTTTTAGATAAGAAAACTAAAGCCCCAGAGTGACCGAGAGGCTTGTTCAGTGTCCCATTTGCCTTAAGAAATGCTGGTCTTTTAAATCCCAGTCCAGCAGAGCTCTTTCCTGCCTCCTTGCTGTCCTCTTGCTCTCTGCCTCTGCTGCTTTAGATACTGTCCCTTAATACATTTTCCATCTGGGCACTTATGGACTCATGTCAATCATTCTTGAGCTCATTACCTGTCACTACCCTTTGCCTTTCAAATTGATCTGCCTTCTTGTTCTTAAACTATTTGGCCCATCAGCATCTTCCCTGTACCTCTAGCTGCTCCCTCTCTGGGATTTTGGTCCTCAACCCTATCCCATGTTTTTCTTTTTCTCTTAAAAAGTCAAAGATGATTGTTTTATTAGATATCTATTTCTGTGTAACAGACTACTCCAAAACTGAGTGGCTTAAACTACAAACATTCATCATCTCAGTTTCTATGGGGAAAAAATTGGAAGCTGCTAAGCTGGGTGGATCTGATTAAGGTCTCTCATGAGATTTCATTCAAAATATTGGCTGAGGCAGCAGTCTAATCCGAAGGCTCAATTTGGGGAGGATACATTTAGAAAATCATTCCCATGGTTTTTAACAGTCCTCAGTTCCTATCTAGCTGTTGGTCAATGGCTTTAGTTCCTTACCACATAGGCTTTCTATAGGCTTCCTGAATGTCCTCATGATATGACAGCTGGCTTTATCCAGAGCTAGTGTATAGAGACAGCAGGGGGAGAGAGAAAAAGAGAAAGTAAGAGAATAAATAAGATGGAAGCCATTGTCTTTATCATACAGTCTTGGAAGTGACACACCATGTGTTATTTGTCACACAGACCTTCCTAGTATGATGTGGGGGGTACTACACAGGGCTATGAATACGAAGGGGTGGGGATCATTAGGGCCTGTCTTGGAGGCTGTCTACCACAAGGGTACAGAAATGATCTTTGCAGAAACCATTGCAATTTATTTTAAAAGCTATTTTAATAGGTAATATATTTATGTACTCTAAAAATCAAAATAATATTAAAAGATACTCAATACAAGTCTCCCATTTTTACCCTCATCCTTTATTCTTCTCACAGATAATTATTTTTATTTTTATTTATTTATTTTTTTATTATAATTTTTTATTGTATTATTATTATACTTTAAGTTTTAGGGTATATGTGCACAATGTGCACGTTAGTTACATATGTATACATGTGCCATGCTGGTGTGCTGCACCCACCAACTCGTCATTTAGCATTAGGTATATCACCTAATGCCATCCCTCCCCCCTCCCCCCACCCCACAACAGTCCCCAGAGTGTGATGTTCCCCTTCCTGTGTCCATGTGTTCTCATAGTTCAATTCCCACCTATGAGTGAGAACATGCAGCGTTTGGTTTTTTGTCCTTGCGATAGTTTACTGAGAATGATGATTTCCAATTTCATCCATGTCCCTACAAAGGACATGAACTCATCATTTTTTATGGCTGCATAGTATTCCATGGTGTATATGTGCCACATTTTCTTAATCCAGTCTATCATTGTTGGACACTTGGGTTGGTTCCAAGTCTTTGCTATTGTGAATAGTGCCGCAATAAACATACGTGTGCATGTATCTTTATAGCAGCATGATTTATAGTCCTTTGGGTATATACCCAATAATGAGATGGCTGGGTCAAATGGTGTTTCTAGTTCCAGATCCCTGAGGAATCGCCACACTGACTTCTACAATGGTTGAACTAGTTGACAGTCCCACCAACAGTGTGAAAGTGTTCCTATTTCTCTGCATCCTCTCCAGCACCTGTTGTTTCCTGACTTTTTAATGATTGCCATTCTAACTGGTGTGAGATGGTATCTCATTGTGGTTTTGATTTGCATTTCTCTGATGGCCAGTGATCGTGAGCATTTTTTCATGTGTTTTTTGGCTGCATAAATGTCTTCTTTTGAGAAGTGTCTGTTCATGTCCTTTGCCCACTTTTTGATGGGGTTGTTTGTTTTTTTCTTGTAAATTTGTTTGAGTTCATTGTAGATTCTGGATATTAGCCCTTTGTCAGATGAGTAGGTTGCGAAAATTTTCTCCCATTTTATAGGTTTCCTGTTCACTCTAATGGTAGTTTCTTTTGCTGTGCAGAAGCTCTTGAGTTTAATTAGATCCCATTTGTCAATTTTGGCTTTTGTTGCCATTGCTTTTGGTGTTTTAGACATGAAGTCCTTGCCCATGCCTATGTCCTGAATGGTAATGCCTAGGTTTTCTTCTAGGGTTTTTATGGTTTTAGGTCTAATGTTTAAGTCTTTAATCCATCTTGAATTAATTTTTGTATAAGGTGTAAGGATGGGATCCAGTTTCAGCTTTCTACCTATGGCTAGCCAGTTTTCCCAGCACCATTTATTAAATAGGGAATCCTTTCCCCATTGCTTGTTTTTCTCAGGTTTGTCAAAGATCAGATAGCTGTAGATATGTGGCATTATTTCTGAGGGCTCTGTTCTGTTCCATTGATCTATATCTCTGTTTTGGTACCAGTACCATGCTGTTTTGGTTACTGTAGCCTTGTAGTATAGTTTGAAGTCAGGTAGCATGATGCCTCCAGCTTTGTTCTTTTGGCTTAGGATTGACTTGGCGATGCGGGCTCTTTTTTGGTTCCATATGAACTTTAAAGTAGTTTTTTCCAATTCTGTGAAGAAAGTCATTGGTAGCTTGATGGGGATGGCATTGAATCTATAAATTACCTTGGGCAGTATGGCCATTTTCACGATATTGATTCTTCCTATCCATGAGCATGGAATGTTCTTCCATTTGTTTGTATCCTCTTTTATTTCATTGAGCAGTGGTTTGTAGTTCTCCTTGAAGAGGTCCTTCACAACCCTTGTAGGTTGGACTCCTAGGTATTTTATTCTCTTTGAAGCAATTGTGAATGGGAGTTCACTGATGATTTGGCTCTCTGTCTGTTATTGGTGTATAAGAACGCTTGTGATTTTTGTACATTGATTTTGTATCCTGAGACTTTGCTGAAGTTGCTTATCAGCTTAAGGAGATTTCGGGCTGAGACAATGGGGTTTTCTAGATATACAATCATGTCATCTGCAAACAGGGACAATTTGACTTCCTCTTTTCCTAATTGAATACCCTTTATTTCCTTCTCCTGCCTAATTGCCCTGGCCAGAACTTCCAACACTATGTTGAATAGGAGTGGTGAGAGAGGGCATCCCTGTCTTGTGCCAGTTTTCTAAGGGATTGCTTCCAGTTTTTGCCCATTCAGGATGATACTGGCTGTGGGTTCGTCATAGATAGCTCTTATTCTTTTGAGATACGTCCCATCAATACCTAATTTATTGAGAGTTTTAGCATGAAGGGTTGTTGAATTTTGTGAAAGGCCTTTTCTGCATCTATTGAGATAATCATGTGGTTTTTGTCTTTGGTTCTGTTTATATGCTGGATTACATTTATTGATTTGTGTATATTGAACCAGCCTTGCATCCCAGGGATGAAGCCCACTTGATTATGGTGGATAAGCTTTTTGATGTGCTGCTGGATTTGTTTTGCCAGTATTTTATTGAGGATTTTTGCATCAATGTTCATCAAGGATATTGGTTTAAAATTCTCTTTTTTGGTTGTGTCTCTGCCCAGCTTTGGTATCAGGATGATGCTGGCCTTATAAAATGAGTTAGGGAGGATTCCCTCTTTTTCTATTGATTGGAATAGTTTCAGAAGGAATGGTACCAGTTCCTCCTTGTACCTCTGGTAGAATTCGGCTGTGAATCCATCTGGTCCTGGACTCTTTTTGGTTGGTAAGCTATTGATTATTGCCACAATTTCAGAGCCTGTTATTGGTCTATTCAGAGATTCAACTTCTTCCTTGTTTAGTCTTGGGAGGGTGTATGTGTGGAGGAATTTATCCATTTCTTCTAGATTTTCTAGTTTATTTGCGTAGAGGTGTTTGTAGTATTCTCTGATGGTAGTTTGTATTTCTGTGGGATCGGTGGTGATATCCCCTTTATCATTTTTTATTGCGTCTATTTGATTCTTCTCTCTTTTCTTCTTTATTAGTCTTGCTAGCAGTCTGTCAATTTTGTTGATCCTTTCAAAAAACCAGCTCCTGGATTCATTAATTTTTTGAAGGGTTTTTTGTGTCTCTATTTCCTTCATTTCTGCTCTGGTTTTAGTTATTTCTTGCCTTCTACTAGCTTTTGAATGTGTTTGTTCTTGCTTCTCTAGTTCTTTTAATTGTGATGTTAGGGTGTCAATTTTGGATCTTTCCTGCTTTCTCTTGTGGGCATTTAGTGCTATAAATTTCCCTCTTTACACTGCTTTGAATGTGTCCCAGAGATTCTGGTATGTTGTGTCTTTGTTCTCGTTGGTTTCAAAGGACATCTTTATTTCTGCCTTCATTTCGTTGTGTACCCAGTAGTCATTCAGGAGCAGGTTGTTCAGTTTCCATGTAGTTGAGCGGTTTTGAGTGAGTTTCTTAATCCTGAGTTCTAGTTTGATTGCACTGTGGTCTGAGAGACAGTTTGTTATAATTTCTGTTCTTTTACATTTGCTGAGGAGAGCTTTACTTCCACCTATGTGGTCAATTTTGGAATAGGTGTGGTGTGGTGCTGAAAAGAATGTTTATTTTGTTGATTTGTGTTGGAGAGTTCTGTGGATGTCTATTAGGTCTGCTTGGTGCAGAGCTGAGTTCAGTTCCTGGGTATCCTTGTTAACTTTCTGTCTCGTTGATCTGTCTAATGTTGACAGTGGGGTGTTAAAATCTCCCATTATTATTGTGTGGGTGTCTAAGTCTCTTTGTAGGTCACTCAGGACTTGCTTCATGAATCTGGGTGCTCCTGTATTGGGTGCATATATATTTAGGATAGTTAGCTCTTCTTGTTGAATTGATCCCTTTACCATTATGTAATGGCCTTCTTTGTCTCTTTTGATCTTTTTGGTTTAAAGTCTGTTTTATGAGAGACTAGGATTGCAACCCCTGCCTTTTTTTGTTTTCCATTTGCTTGGTAGATCTTCCTCCATCCTTTTATTTTGAGCCTATGTGTGTCTCTGCACGTGAGATGGATTTCCTGAATACAGCACACTGATGGGTCTTGACTCCATCCAATTTGCCAGTCTGTGTCTTTTAATTGGAGCATTTAATCCATTTACAATTAAAGTTAATATTGTTATGTGTGAATTTATCCTGTCATTATGATGTTAGCTGGTTATTTTGCTCGTTAGTTGATGCAGTTTCTTCCTAGCCTCGATGGTCTTTACAATTTGCCATGATTTTGCAGTGGCTGGAACTGGTTGTTCCTTTCCATGTTTAGTGCTTCCTTCAGGAGCTGTTTTAGGGCAGGCCTGGTGGTGACAAAATCTCTCAGCATTTGCTTGTCTGTAAAGAATTTTATTTCTCCTTCACTTATGAAGCTTAGTTTGGCTGGATATGAAATTCTTGGTTGAAAATTCTTTTCTTTAAGAATGTTGAATATTGGCTCCCACTCTCTTCTGGCTTGTAGAGTTTCTGCCAAGAGATCAGCTGTTAGTCTGATGGACTTCCCTTTGTGGGTAACCTGACCTTTCTCTCTGTCTGCCCTTAACATTTTTTCCTTCATTTCAACTTTGGTGAATCTGACAATGATGTGTCTTGGGGTTGCTCTTCTTGAGGAGTATCTTTGTGGCGTTCTCTGTATTTCCTGAGTCTGAATGTTGGCGTGCCTTGCTAGATTGGGGAAGTTCTCCTGGACAATATCCTGCAGAGGGTTTTCCAACTTGGTTGCATTCTCCCCCTCACTTTCAGGTACACCAATCAGACGTAGATTTGGTCTTTTCACATAGTCCCATATTACTTGGAGGCTTTGTTTGTTTTTATTCTTTTTTCTCTAAACTTCCCTTCTTGCTTCATTTCATTCATTTCATCTTCCATCACTGATAACCTTTCTTCCAGTTGATCACATTGGCTCCTGAGGCTTCTGCATTCTTCACGTAGTTCTCGAGCCTTGGCTTTCAGCTCCATCAGCTACTTTAAGCACTTCTCTGTATTGGTTATTCTAGTTATACATTTGTCTAAATTTTTTTCAAAGTTTTTAACTTCTTTGCCTTTGGTTTGAATTTCCTCCTGTAGCTCGGAGTAGTTTGATCATCTGAAGCCTTCTTCTCTCAACTCGTCAAAGTCATTCTCCGTCCAGCTTTGTTCCGTTGCTGGTGAGGAACTGCGTTCCTTTGGAGGAGGAGAGGTGCTCTGCTTTTTAGAATTTCCAGTTTTTCTGCTCTGTTTTTTCCCCATCTTTGTGGTTTTATCTACTTTTGGTCTTTGATGATGGTGATGTACAGATGGGTTTTTGGTGTGGATGTCCTTTCTGTTTGTTAGTTTTCCTTCTAACAGACAGGACCCTCAGCTGCAGGTCTGTTGGAGTTTGCTAGAGGTCCACTCCAGACCCTGTTTGCCTGGGTATCAGCAGAGGTGTCTGCAGAACAGTGGATTTTTATGAACCGCGAATGCTGCTGTCTGATCGTTCCTCTGGAAGTTTTGTCTCAGAGGAGTACTGGGCCATGTGAGGTGTCAGTCTGCCCCTACTGGGGGGTGCCTCCCAGTTAGGCTGCTTGGGGGTCAGGGGTCAGGGACCCACTTGAGGAGGCAGTCTGCCCGTTCTCAGATCTCCAGCTGCGTGCTGGGAGAACCACTGCTCTCTTCAAAGCTGTCAGACAGGGACATTTAAGTCTGCAGAGGTTACTGCTGTCTTTTTGTTTGTCTGTGCCCTGCCCCCAGAGGTGGAGCCTACAGAGGCAGGCAGGCCTCCTTGAGCTGTGGTGGGCTCCACCCAGTTCGAGCTTCCAGGCTGCTTTGTTTACCTAAGAAAGCCTGGGCAATGGTGGGCACCCCTCCCCCAGCCTGGCTGCTGCCTTGCAGTTTGATCTCAGACTGCTGTGCTAGCAATCAGCGAGACTCCGTGGGCGTAGGACCCTCCAAGCCATGTGCGGGATATAATCTCCTGGTGCGCCGTTTTTTAAGCCTGTCGGAAAAGCGCAGTATTAGGGTGGGAGTGACCCGAATTTCCAGGTGCCGTCTGTCACCCCTTTCTTTGACTAGGAAAGGGAACTCCCCGACTCCTTGCACTTCCTGAGTGAGGCAATGCCTTGCCCTGCTTCAGCTTGCGCACGGTGCGCTGCACCCACTGTCCTGCGCCCACTGTCTGGCACTCCCTAGTGAGATGAACCTGGTACCTCAGATGGAAATGCAGAAATCACCCGTGTTCTGTGTCGCTTAACGCTGGGAGCTGTAGACCAGAGCTGTTCCTACTCAGCCATCTTGGCTCCATTGTCACAGGTAATTATTTTTAAAACGTTATTGTATATTGTTGTAGAGGAGGAGGTTGAAAAACTTAAAATTTTCCAAAAAGTTGGAAAACTTGTTTTTTTTTTTTTTTTTTTTTTTTTTTGAGATGGAGTCTCCTACTGTCGCCCAGTTTGGAGTGTAGTAGTGCTGTCTCAGCTCACTGCAACCTCCGCCTCCCGGGATTAAGTGATTTTCCTGCTTCAGCCTCCTGAGTATCTGGGATTACAGGTGTGTGCTACCACGCCCAGCTAATTTTTGTATTTTTAGGGGACACAGGGTTTCCCCATGTTGGCCAGGCTAGTCTTGAACTTCTGACCTCATAATCCACCCACCTCGGCCTCCCAAAGTGCTGGGATTACAGGCGTGAGCCACCGCACCTGGCCAAAACTTTCAAAATAAGTAAGTATTTTAGGCTTTATGGGCCATATAATCTCAGTCACAATGACTGAACTCTGTTCTTGTAGCATTAAAAGCTCTCATAGGGAAGAGCAGAAACAGGGTGGGGCGTCACTTCACCTGGGAAGTGCACGGAGTTGGGGGCACCTCCCTTCTCCAGTCAAGGTAGCAGTGAGGGACTGTGCTACCCACTGGGGGTACTATGCTTTTCCCAAAGATTTTTGCTATCTGGGGATTAGGAGATTCCCTCGTGAGCCTACACCACCAGGCCCCTGGGTCTCAAGCAAAAAACTGGGCAGCTGTTCAGGCAGGCACTGAACTGCAGTTTTTACATACTCCAGTGGCACTTGGAACTCTAGTGAGACAGGAGAACAGTCCACTCCTGTGGAAAGGGGGATGAAGCCAGGGAGCCAAGTGGTCTTGCTCAGTGGGTCCCACTCCCATGGAGCCTAGCAAGCTAAGAACCACTGGCTTGAAATTCCCATTGCAAGTACAGAAGTCTGGAGTCTGCCTGGGGGGATCGAATTCCCAGGCAGGGGTGATGCAACTACCATTACTGTGGCTTTAGTAGGCAGTTTTCCCCTGAGAGGGCTAAGGAGACTGGGAGGTTTGGACTGGGCAGAATTCTCCACAGTGCAGTAAAGTGGCTGTGGCCAGACTACTTCTCTAGATACCCCCTCACCGGGCAGGGCATCCCTGCAGGAGTCCACCAGCTCCAGTCAGGGGCTTACAGACAGAACTCACATCTCCTTGGGACAGAGCACCTGGTGGGAGGGGTGGCTGTGGTCCCAGGTTCAGCAGACCTGATCTTTCTTGCCTCTTGGCTCTGAAAAGATTGGCTGATTCCGAAGAGGGGGATTTCCCCCAGCACAGCACACCAGCTCTGCTAAGGGACAGACTGCCTCCTCAGGAGGGTCCCTGACCCCATGCCTTCTGTCTGGGTGAGACCTCCCAACAGTGGTTGGCAGATGCCTTATATAGGAGAGCTCCAGCTGGCATCAGGTCAGTGCCCCTCTGGGATGAAGCTTCCAGAGGAAGGAGCCGGCAGCAATCTTTGCTGTTCTGCAATCTTCACTGGTGATACCCTGGCAAACAGGGTCTGGAGTGGACCCCCAGCAAGCTGCAGCAGACCTGCAGAAGAGGGTCCTGACTGTTAGAAGAAAAAGAAACAAATAGAAAGCAAAAACAAAATCAACATCAACAAAAAAGACCCCACAAAAACCCTATCCAAAGGTTGTCAGCCTCAAAGATCAAAGGTAGATAAATCCAGAAAGATGAGGAAAAACCAATGCAAAAATGCTGAAAATCTCAAAAGCCAGAATGCTTCCTCTCCTCCAAATGATTGTAACTCGTCTCCAGCAAGGACACAGAATGGGGCTAAAGCTGAGATGGATGAACTGACAGAAGTAGGCTTTAGAAAGTGGGTAATAACAAATTTTATTGAGCTAAAGGATTATATTCTAACCCAATGCAAAGAAGCTAAGAACCATGATAAAAGATTACAGGAGCTGTTAACTAGAATAACCAGTCTAGAGAGGAACATAAGCAACCTGATGGAGCTGAAAAACACAACACGAGAACTTTGTGATGCAAATAGAAGTATCAATAGCCAGATCAACCAAGCAGAAGAGAGAATATCAGAGCTTGAAGGCTATCTTGCTGAAATAAGGCAGGCAGACAAGATTAGAGAATAAACAATGAAAAGGAACAAACAAAACCTTTGAGAATTATGGGACTGTGTAAAAAGACCAAACCTGTGACTGTTTGGATACCTGAAAGAGATGGGGAGAATGGAACCAAGTTGTAAAACACCCTTCAGGATATCATCCAGGGCAACTTCCACTTCCCCAACCTAGCAAGACAGGCCAATATTCAAATTCAGGAAATCCAAAGAACCCCAATAAGATACTCCACAAAAAGATCTGCCCCAAGGCACATAATCATCAGATTCTCCAAGGTCAAAATGAAGGAAAAAATGTTAAGGGCACTAAGAGAGAAAGGCCAGGTCACCTACAAAGGGAAGCCCATGACACTAACAGTGGACCTCTGAGCAGAAACTCTGCAAGCCAGAAGAAATTGGGGGCCAATGTTCAACATTGTTAAAAAAGAGAAATTCCAACCCAGAATTTCATATCTGGCCAAACTAAGTTTCATAAGCAGAAGAGAAATAACATCTTTTTCAGACAAGCAAATGCTGAAGGATTTTTGTCACCACCAGGCCTGCCTGGCAAGAGCTCCTGAAAGAAGCACTAAACATGGATAAGAAAAACCATTACTAGCCACTACAAAAACACACTGAAGTACACAGACCAATGACACTATGAAGGAACTACATTAACAAGTCTGCAAAATTAACCAGCCAGCATCATGATGATGGGATCAAATTCACACATAACAATATTAACCTTAAATGTAAATGGGCAAAATGCCCTGATTAAAAGACACAGAATGGCAAGCTGGATACAAAGAGAAGACCTGTTGGTGTGCTGTATTCAAGAGACACATCTCATGTGCAAAGACGCACATAGACTCATAAGAAAGGGATGGAGGAAAATTTACCAAGCATATGGAAAGCAGAAAAAAGCAGGGGTTGCAGTCATAGTTTCTGACAAAACAGACTTTCAACCAACAAAGATAAAAAAAGACGAAGAAGGTGCCAGGCTCACTGGCTCAAGCCTGTAATCTCAGCACTTTGGGAGGCCGAGGTGGGCAGATCACAAGGTCAGGAGATTGAGACCATCCTGGCTAACACAGTGAAACTCCGTCTCTACTAAAAATACAAAAACATTAGCCGGGTGTGGTGGTGGGCGCCTGTAGTCCCAGCTACTCGGGAGGCTGAGGCAGGAGAATGGCGTGAACCCAGGAGGCGGAGCTTGCAGTGAGCCGAGATCACACTGTTGCACTCCAGCCTGGGCAAAAGAGCAAGACTCCATCTCAAAAAAAAAAAGAAAAGAAAAAGAAAAAGGCAATGAAGGGCATTACATAATGTTAAAGTGTTCAATTCAACACGAAGAGCTAACTACCCTAAATATATATGCACCCAATACAGGAGCCCCCAGATTCATAAAACAAGTTCTTAGAGACCTATTAAGAGACTTAGACCCCCACACAATAATAGTCAGAGACTTTAATACCCCACTGGCAGTGTTAGACAGATCATTGAGACAGAAAATTAACAAAGATATCCAGGACTTGAACTCAGCTCTAAATCAAGTGGACCTGATAGATATCTATAGAACGCTCCACTCAAAAACAACAGAATATACATTTCTTTTTGGTGCCACATGGCACTTATTCTAAAATTGATCACATAATTGGAAGTAAAACACTCCTCAGCAAAGGAACTGAAATCATAAGTCTCTCAGACCACAGTGCAGTCAAATTAAAACTCAAGATTAAAAAGCCCACTCAAAACCACACCACTACATGGAAATTGAACAACCTGCTCCTGAATGACTCTGGGGTAAATAATGAAATTAAGGCAGAAATCAAGAAGTTCTTTGAAACCAACTAGAACAAAGAGACAACATATCAGAATCTCTGGTACACAGCTAAAGCAGTGTTAAGAGGGAAATCTATAGTACTAAATACTCACATCAAAAAGCTAGAAAGATCTCAAATCAACACCTTAACATCACAACTAAAATAACTAGAGAACCAAGAGCAAACAAACCCTAGAGCTAGCAGAAGACAGGAAATAACCAAACTCGGGAGATAGAGACCTGAAAAACACTTCGAAAAATCAACAAATCCAGGAGCTGTGTTTTTGAAAAAATCAATAAAATAGATAGACTGTTAGCAAGACTAATAGAGAAGAAAAGAGAGGAGATTCAAATAAACACAATCAGAAATAATAAGGGGGATACCATCACTGACCCTAGAGAAATACAAACAACCATCAGAGAATACTATAAACACCTCTTTAAAAACAAACTAGAAAATCTAGAAGAAATGCATAAATTCCTGGACACATACACCCTCCCAAGACTGCACCAGAAAGAAGTTGAATTCCTGAACAGACCAATAACAAGTTGTGAAATTAAGGCAGTAATAAATAGCCTACCAGCCAAAAAAAAAAAAAAGCCCAGCTCCAGATGGAGTTACAGCTGAATTCTACCAGAGGTACAACGAGGAGCTGGTACCATTTCTTCTGAAACTATTCCAAACAATTGTGAAGGAGGGACTCCCCTCTAACTCATTTTATGAGGCCAGCATCATCCTGATTCCAAAACCTGGCAGAGATATAACAAAAAAAGAAAACTTTAGGCCAATATCCTTGATGAACATCTGTGCAAAAATCCTCAATAAAATACTGGCAAACAAAATCCAGCAACACATCAAAAAGTTTATCCACCATGATCAGGTCGGTTTTATCCCCAGAATGCAAGGCTGGTTCAATATATGCAAATCAATAAATGTAATTCATCACATAAACAGAACTAAAGACAAAAACCATATGATTATTCCAATAGATTCAGAAAAGGCCTTCAGTAAAATTCAACATACCTTCATGTTAAAAACTCTCAATAAACTAGATATTGAAGAAACATACCTCAAAATAATAAGAACCATTTATGACAAGCCCACAGCCAATATCATACTAAATGGGCAAAAGCTGGAGGCATTCCCTTTGAAAAGTGGCACAAGACAAGGATGCCCTCTCTCACCACTCCTTTTCAACCAAGTGCTGGAAGTTCTGGCCAGTGCAATTAGGCAAGAGAAATAAATAAAGGAAATTTCAAATAGGAAGAGAGGAAGTCAAATTGTCTTTGTTTGCCAATGACATGATCCTGTATCTAGAAAACCCCATCATCTCAGCCCAAAAGGTTCTTAAGCTGATATGCAACTTTAGCAAAGTCTCAGGATATAAAATCAATGTGCAGAAATCACAAGCATTCCTATACACCAACAACAGACAAGCAGAAATCAAAATCGTGAATGAACTCCCATTCACAATTGTGACAAAGAGAATAAAATACCTAGGAATACAGCTAATGAGGGTAGTGAAGGACCTCTTCAAGGAGAACTACAAACCACTGCTCAAGCAAATCAGAGAGGACACAGGCAGATAGAAAAACATTCCGTGCTCCTGGATAGGAAGAATCAATATTGTGAAAATGGACATACTGTCCAAAGCAACTTATAGATTCAGTGCAATTCCCATTAAGCTACCATTGACATTCTTCACAGAATTAGAAAAAACTTTTAAAATTTATATGGAACCAAAAAAGAGCTTGCATAGCCAAGACAACCCTAAGTAAAAAGAACAAAGCCAGAGGCATCATGCTACCCAACTTCAAACTGTACTACAAGGCCATAGTAACCAAAATAGCATGGTACTGGTACAAAAACAGGCACATAGACAAATGGAACAGAATAGAGAACTTAGAAATAAAACTGCCCATCTACAGCTATCTGATCTTTGACAGACCTGACAAAAACATGCAATGGGGAAAAGATGCCCTATTTAATAAATGGTGCTAGGAGAACTGGCTAGTTATATGCAGAAAATTGAAATGGGATCTCTTCCTTACACCTTTTACAAAAATTAACTCAAGATGGATTAAAGACTTAAATGTAAAACCGAAAACCATAAAAACCCTAGAAGAAAATCTAGGCAATACCATTCAGGACATAGGCATGGGCAAAGACTTTATGAAGAAATCTCCAAAAGCAATTGCAACAAAAACAAAAATTGACAAATGGGATCTAATTAAACTAAGGAGCTTCTTCACAGCAAATGAAACTATCATCAGAGTGAACAGATAACCTATGGAATGGGAGGAAATTTTTGCAATCTATCCATCTGACAAAGGGCTAATATCCAGAATCTACAAGGAACTTATGCAAATTTACAAGCAAAAAACAACCCCATCAAAAAGTAGGCAAAGTGTATGAACAGACACTTCTCAAAAAAAGACATACATGCAGCCAACAAACACATGAAAAACAGCTCAACATCACAGAGAAATCAAAACCACAGTGAGATACCATCTCAGGCCAGCCAGAATGGCGATTGTTAAAAAGTTAGGAAACAACAGATGCTGGTGACATTGTGGAGAAATAGGAACGCTTGTACACTGTTGGTGGGAATGTAAATTAGTTCAGCCATTGTGGAAGACAGTGTGGTAACTCCTCAAAGATTTAGAACCAGAAATATCATTTGACCCAGCAATCCCATTACTGGGTATATACCCAAAGGAATATAGATCATTCTTTTATAAAGATACATGCACACTTATGTTCATTGCAGCACTATTCACAATAGCAAAGACATGGAATCAACCCAAATGCTCATCAATGATAGACTGGATAAAGAAACTGTGGTATATATACACCATGAAATACTATGCAGCCATAAAAGGTAATGAAATCATGTCCTTTACAGGAACATAGATTAAGCTGGAAGCCATTATCCTCAGCAGACTAACACAGGAACAGAAAACCAAACACTGCATGTTCTCACTTATAAGTGGGAACTGAACAATGAGAACACATGGACACAGGGAGGGGAACAACACTTACTGGGGCCTGTTGTGGATAGTGGAGGGGGGAAGCATTAGAGAAAAGAGCTGATGCATGCTGGGCTTAATACATAGATGATGGGTCGACAGGTGCAGCAAACCACCATGACACACGTTTACCTATGTAACAAACTTGCACATCTTGTACAGGTATCCCAGAACTTAATTTTTTTTAAAAAAGCACTCATATACAAGAGATCATGGCTAGAGGCCAATAGCCAATAAAACTTTATTTATGGGCACTGAAATTTTATTGGCTATGTGCCAATAAAACTTTATTTATGGCACTGAAATTTTAATGTTTAAAAATAATTTTCTGTGTCATGAAATATTCACTTTTTTCAACCATTAAAAAATGTAAAAATAATTCTCAGCTCATGGGCTGTTTGTTTTAAACAAACACAAACTTAGGCTGATTTTTCCCACTGGCAGTAGATTGCTGATGTCTGTTCTAGACTTTCTTTATCGAAATAGAAGCAAATATGAATATATAGTCTTATTTTTTCTCCATTAGGGACATTAAACAATTCTGGGTCACTCCAGAGCAAGCCTCTTATCTATAGTCTTTCAACTTTTGAACGTTGGAATTCTTCTGGCAAATAACTTAGGTCTTCAGAAGCCACTCAGCTTCTTTACAAAACTGGGCTTATCTTCTCGTTGTTCAATATGAAGATAGCTTTAGTATGTAAAAACCTGGATCAATAGGGCCAGAAAGGATCTTGAGTATTATCTTTTCTACCTCCATTTTCCATTTTGCAGACAAGAAATCTGAAGTCTAGAGTTTTAAAATTTTTATTTTATCAGGAGTAGAGGTAGTACCACAACCCTGGTCAAGGAAAGCCTTGCTTGGCTATAGGTTATAAACAGTGGAAAAATGGAAGATTATAGGATCTGCAGTGTCCACTGATGCTGAAGCTTCCAATTTCTTTGTTCTTTTGCCTGGCATATTGACAGTGGTGTGTGCTTCTGGAACTTTGTGCCTGCTATTTGTGCTTACAAGGGCACACATCATATACCATGAGTATTAATAGGAAAGAAGGTATGGGTTTGTGGTAGAATTCTGGCATTTGGTGGTAAATGGATAAATAAAAGCTTAAGCTTGTTTGTTTGTTTTTTTCCTTTTATTTTTGAGACTAAAAAATATTTATTTATTTATTTATTTATTTATTTATTATTATACTTTAAGTTTTAGGGTACATGTGCACAATGTGCAGGTTAGTTACATATGTATACATGTGCTATGCTGGTGCGCTGCACCCACTACCTCGTCATCTAGCATTAGGCATATCTCCCAGTGCTATCCCTCCCCCCTCCCCCCACCCCACAACAGTCCCCAGAGTGTGATGTTCCCCTTCCTGAGTCCATGTGTTCTCATTGTTCAATTCCCACCTATGAGTGAGAATATGCGGTGTTTGGTTTTTTGTTCTTGCGATAGTTTACTGAGAATGATGATTTCCAATTTTATCCATGTCCCTACAAAGGACATGAACTCATCATTTTTATGGCTGCATAGTATTCCATGGTGTATATGTGCCACATTTTCTTAATCCAGTCTATCATTGTTGGACATTTGGGTTGGTTCCAAGTCTTTGCTATTGTGAATAATGCCGCAATAAACATACGTGTGCATGTGTCTTTATAGCAGCATGATTTATAGTCCTTTGGGTATATACCCAGTAATGGGATGGCTGGGTCAAATGGTATTTCTAGTTCTAGATCCCTGAGGAATCGCCACACTGACTTCTACAATGGTTGAACTAGTTTACAGTCCCACCAACAGTGTGAAAGTGTTCCTATTTCTTCACATCCTCTCCAGCACCTGTTGTTTCCTGACTTTTTAATGATTGCCATTCTAACTGGTGTGAGATGGTATCTCATTGTGGTTTTGATTTGCATTTCTCTGATGGCCAGTGATCGTGAGCATTTTTTCATGTGTTTTTTGGCTGCATAAATGTCTTCTTTTGAGAAGTGTCTGTTCATGTCCTTTGCCCACTTTTTGATGGGGTTGTTTGTTTTTTTCTTGTAAATTTGTTAGAGTTCATTGTAGATTCTGGATATTAGCCCTTTGTCAGATGAGTAGGTTGCGAAAATTTTCTCCCATTTTGTAGGTTGCCTGTTCACTCTGATGGTAGTTTCTTTTGCTGTGCAGAAGCTCTTGAGTTTAATTAGATCCCATTTGTCAATTTTGGCTTTTGTTGCCATTGCTTTTGGTGTTTTAGACATGAAGTCCTTGCCCATGCCTATGTCCTGAATGGTAATGCCTAGATTTTCTTCTAGGGTTTTTATGGTTTTAGGTCTAATGTTTAAGTCTTTAATCCATCTTGAATTGATTTTTGTATAAGGCGTAAGGAAGGGATCCAGTTTCAGCTTTCTACATATGGCTAGCCAGTTTTCCCAGCACCATTTATTAAATAGGGAATCCTTTCCCGATTGCTTGTTTTTCTCAGGTTTGTCAAAGATCAGATAGCTGTAGA
The DNA here is from genome assembly GCF_000001405.40 of Homo sapiens. Lineage (NCBI taxonomy): Eukaryota > Metazoa > Chordata > Mammalia > Primates > Hominidae > Homo > Homo sapiens. The sequence continues at coordinate 98,927,687 of NC_000010.11, read as the reverse complement.
TATGTGGCATTATTTCTGAGGGCTCTATTCTGTTCCATTGATCTATATCTCTGTTTTGGTACCAGTAGCATGCTGTTTTGGTTACTGTAGCCTTGTAGTATAGTTTGAAGTCAGGTAGCATGATGCCTCCAGCTTTGTTCTTTTGGCTTAGGATTGCCTTGGTGATGCGGACTCTTTTTTGGTTCCATATGAACTTTAAAGTAGTTTTTTCCAATTCTGTGAAGAAAGTCATTGGTAGCTTGATGGGGATGGCATTGAATCTATAAATTACCTTGGGCAGTATGGCCATTTTCACGATATTGATTCTTCCTACCCATGAGCATGGAATGTTCTTCCATTTGTTTGTATCCTCTTTTATTTCCTTGAGCAGTGGTTTAAATATATATGCACCCAATACAGGAGCACCCAGATTCATAAAGCAAGTCCTGAGTGACCTACAAAGAGGCTTAGACTCCCACACATTAATAATGGGAGACTGTAACACCCCACTGTCAACATTAGACAGATCAACGAGACAGAAAGTCAACAAGGATACCCAGGAATTGAACTCAGCTCTGCACCAAGCAGACCTAATAGACATCTACAGAGCTCTCCACCCCAAATCAACAGAATATACATTTTTTTCAGCACCACGCCTATTCCAAAATTGGCCACATACTTGGAAGTAAAGCTCTCCTCAGCAAATGTAAAAGAACAGAAATTATAACAAACTGTCTCTCAGACCCCAGTGCAATCGAACTAGAACTCAGGATTAAGAATCTCACTCAAAACCGCTCAACTACATAGAGACTGAACAACCTGCTCCTGAGTGACTACTGGGTACATAACGAAATGAAGGTAGAAATAAAGATGTTCCTTTTCTTTTAATTTACAGTTTGGGAGCAGACTTTTCCTGGCATGGGAAAAATAAGGATAAGTAAGGGACAAGATGTATCACAACTTTTAATTTAATGTGTCCTAATCACTGCCTTTTAAAATTTTTTTACCTTGTGGGCTTGGTGGGAAAAGTATGTCTCATGCTTATTTATTGGTGCCTTGAAGACAGGTTGATATTTGAGCATTGTTTTCAATGCTGGAGAGAGAGTGATTAGAAGGGAAGACAATAAAAAGGTATTTAGGCAGACAGGTTGGTGACAGTTTAAGGGGACCAAACTTTTTCTACTACCCAAAAAGCTAATATGAAGCATGCCTCCTTTTTCTCATGCTTTATTTAGTGCTTGCTTATCATGAAGGAGACTAAATTAGATCTGTTTCCAAGAGTGGGTAATCCTAGCTGTATTGTACCATTACCTTCCCTCAGTTGAGCTCTGTAAATTCTGTTTCACTACCATCTGGTTATATTTAATATTAATTTTGTCTCCTACTTGTAATTCTTATGTAGACCTTTCCTTCATTCCTATTGACCTTCAGACCTCCTCCCACTGGTTCAGCACCAATTTAAAAAATAAAACTTAAAAATGATGTATTTTCCAATAGCACGCATTTGTGGCTTTATAAATTCATTCAATAAGTTACTATGGCCATACAAAAAGCATGCCCTTTTGAGGTTCACTTTCTACCAGGGGGATATAGATAATAAAGAATGTATATTCAGTATTTTAAAAGGCAATGACACCTACTTCTACTGCCAAAAAGACAGAGTAAATATACTTTCCCCTATTCCTCCTATTAAGGGTAACTAAAAACTCTAAATATTATATATAAAAAACATGTAAGAAGACTCAGAGGTTGAAAAGAAGTCAGCCAAGAACCCAAGGAACAACATGATGGTGAGTTCCCTGGGTTTTCTTCTTGTCTTTAATATCCCAAACTTGGCGCTGAAGAAGCTGGAAACCTGGAAATCTCAATGAATACAAACACAAAAGACCCCAACAAAAGCCAGTTTTCTCTAGCCAAGGAGAACAATAAAGGACCAATCTAGCAAGACAGAAAGGTTTTACACAATAACCACTCCACCCTAGCCAAATGTCATAAAAAATTTGTGTCCTATTTCTCACACAAACAAAGGCTGAGTAGGGAGCCTGGACTTACCCTCATGAAACTCTAATGTGCTCCTGCAACATCCTTGCCAGGATGGTGTCCAAGTAGAGAGCCTGCACTTCATCCCCATTGGTTGATATTGAGGGAACACCCTCCCACTTCACTGCAGTATTAGTTGAGACTCTGGAGATGTGGAACTTACCCACCTGCTCAGCAATAATGAGGAGCCTCCCTTTGGTGTGAATGAAGGCTGAATGGGCAACCTGGACTTTGACATCCACCTGGCAGAAACAAAGCAGTGCCCTCACTTATACCCTGCCAGAGCAGTGTCAAAAAAAAAAAAGCCAATTAAAATAAAAGGTTTAAATAAGATCTAGGGAGGTGGAGCAAGATGGTTGGGATAGAAGCCTTCACTGTTTGTCCCTCTGGCTTGAACACCAAATCTTAACAACTATCTGTACACAGAAAAGCCCCATCACAAAAACCAACAATCAAGTGTGCAATCACAGTACTTGGATTTAACGTCATATTCACAGTACTTGGATTTAACGACAGAGGCATTGAGGAGGGCAGAAGAGATACTTTAGAATCACTGACACCACCTCACCTCCATCCCCTAGCAGTGGCCATGCAGTGCAGAGAGAGAACTTGAGCACTTTGGGGAGGGAGAGCACAGCTGCTGGGCGACTTTACATTGAACTCAGTGCTGCCCTGTTACAGTGGAGAATAAAGCTGTATTGAGCTCAGCCATTGCCTGTGCACAATGGGAGCATCTGGACCAGCCCTAGCCAGAGGGGGGTCACCCATCCCAGTGGTCCAAACTTGAGTTTCTGTGCAAACCTCACCACTTAGGGCTAAAGTGCTCTGGGGTCCTAGGTAAACTTGAAAGACAGTCTAGGACACAAAGACTGCAATTCCTAGGCAACTCCTAGTGCTAGGCTGGGCTTCAAGCCAGTGAACTAGGAGTGGAACATGACCTAGGGAGACACCAGCTGGCACAGCTATGGGAGAGTAAAGAGAAGTCATCCCTCCCCCAAACCCAGGATTGCAGCTTGTAGCAATGGAAGTGACTGTTTCTTTCCGTTTAAGGAGAGGAGATCAAAGTTAAAGGGTACTTTGTCTTACATCTTGTGGAAAGGGGAGGGAAGAATAGGAGGGACTTTGTATTGTGGTTCAGTACCATGCAAAGTCCTTCCTATTTTTCCCTCCACTTTACTTCCTTTCCCTCAACTTAGCTTCCGTAGAATAGAACATCACATAAGTTTCTAAGGTTTTTGACTCCAACTTCTGGCTCCCAGACAGCATCTCTGGACACACCTGGAGCCTACAAGAACTCACTACCCTGACGGGAAGGGCCTTGGGCAAGGCCCATTGCTGTGCTGGCTTTGGGTCTGACCCAGCACAGTCCCAGTGGTGGTGGCCACAGGGGTGATTGCATCACTACACCCCCCAGTTCCAGGTGGTTCGGCACAGAGAGAGAGAGACTCCATGTGTTTTGGGGAAAGTAAGGGAAAAGAACAAGGGTTTCTGCCTGGTAATCCAGAGCATTCTTCTGGATCTTACCCACAACCACCACAGCAGTACCTCTATGAGTGTACAAAACCCACCGTATTATTGGGCTTGGGGCCCAAGTCCCTTTGAATACCTAGAAAACCTTCCCAAGAAAGACAGGCACAAATAAGCCCAGACTGTGAAGACCACAATAAATACATAACTCTTTAATGCCCAGATGCCAAAGAACTTCTACAAGTGCCAACATCATTCAGGAAAACATTACTTCACCAAATGAACTAAATGAGGTACCAGGGATCAATCCCAGAGAGATAGATATATATGACGTTTCAGACAGAGAATTCAAAATAGCTGTTTTGACGAAACTCAAAGAAACTTAAGATAACACAGAGAAGGAATTCAATATTTTATCAGGTAAATTTAACAAAGAGATTGAAATAATTAAATAGAATCAATCAGAAATTCTAGAATTGAAAACTGTAGTTGACATGCTGAAGAATTTATCAGAGTCTCTTAATAGCAGAATTGATCAAGCAGAAGAAAGAATTAGTGAGCCTAGAGACAGGCTATTTGAAAATACACAGTCAGAGGAGACAAAAGGGAAAAAGAATAAAAAAGAATGAAGCATGCCTACAAGATTTAGAAAGTAGCCTGAAAAGGACAAATCTAAGAGTTATTGGCTTTAAAGAGGAGGTAGAGAAAGAGATAGGGATAGAAAGTTTATTCAAAGGGATAGTATCAGAGAATTTCCCAAACCTAGAGAAAGATATCAACATTCAAGTAGAAGAAGTTATAGAACACCAGGCAGATTTAACCTAAAGAAGACTACCCCAAGGCATTTAATAATCAAACTCCCAGTGGCCAAGGATAAAGAAAGATTCTAAAAGCAGCAAGAGAAAAGAAACAACACACAGTGGAGCTCCAATAGGTCTGGCAGCAGACTTTTCAGTGCAAACCTTACAGGTCAGGAGAGAGTGGCATGAGATATTTAAAGTGCTGAAAGAATAAAACTCTTATCTTAGATTAGTATATCTTGAGAAAATATCCTTTAAGCCTGAAGGAGAAATAAAGACATTCTCAGACAAATAAAACCTGAGGGATTTCAATACCATACCTATCCTATAAGAAAGGCTAGAGAGAGTTCTTCAATCTGAAAGAAAATGATGTTATTGAGCAACAAGATATCATCTGAAGATATAAAACTCATTATTACCATAGTAAGCACACAGAAAAACACAGAATAGTATAACTTTGTAGTTGTGATGTATAAACTTATCTTGACTAAAGTAGAAAGAATAAACGATGAACCAATCAAAGATAACAGCTACAACAACTTTTCAAGACATAGACAGTACAATAAGACATAAAGAGAAACAACAAGAAGTTAAAAAGCCAGGGCACTAAGTTAACATGTGGAGTTTTTTTAGTTTTCTTTTTCCGTGTTTGTTTGGAATGGTGCCAGCAAGGCCCCTACTGTCTCTGCTGCTGGCCATACTTGAAGTATATTATACCATGTATTTATGGATTCTGAGTACTAGATATCAGATCACCCCAATTGGTGCCCATGAAAGCTGGATACCTTCACCATCAGCCTTGCCAGAAAATTAATTCCACGTATACAGGGCCATGTTCTTCATTTTTTTCTGTTTACAATTCAAATCTCATATGGTTGTTTCTGACTGGTCAAGCATGCGTTACCTTCCAATGCATTAGCTGAAAGGGAATCTGAGAAATTGAGTTCTCCCTCGTATCTTCATGAAATGAGACTCATAATATGCAAGCTACCCCAGGACAGAAAGAGTGTTCAAAAGATGCTAGGTACCCCAAAATGACAAACATCCATAACAGTGTCTTGGTCTTTTATAGAACTTTGTCATTTCCCAGTCCAGCTCCCCTGAAGGGCACTATCCAATTTGGTAACCACTCTCCACATGGACATACTGAGCACTTGAAATGTGGCAAGTCCAAATTGAGGTGTGCTGCAAGTATAAAATACACATGGGATTTTGAAAACAGTATAAAATATTAAAAATCACATTAATAATTTTATACTGATTACATGTTAAAAGAATGTTTTAGATATATTGGTAATTAAATCATTTCTATTAACTAAAACTGATTTTATCTGTTAATTTTTTCTTCTTGTGGTTAGTAGAAAATTTAAAATTTTAAATGTAACTTGCATTTGTGACTTACATTGTAATTCTGTTGGACATCACAGGTCTAGAGTGCAGATCTGAGACTTAGCCCTTTCCTTACAGCTAATCACTTGCATGCAGCACACCAGTCTCTCCCCATGAATTGGCACCTACTTATTTATAGTTACTAACCCTTACTTTAAAAGAGAAACAAGAGTGTAGGTGACAGAACTCCATGAAAGATATTCACCTAATAAGCTTCTCCTGCACCTGTGGGAAGAAATCTGTGACTGCATTGATTTCAGAAAATGTCCTCATGGAGCACTGGCCTCAGCTGCTGGGGAATATGAAAGGAGAAGGTCTGCTGATAAGTGATGTCACAGTTGGGCAAAGGAGTATGTGCTAATGAACCATGCAAAGCTCCAGTCACTAAAATTGGGGGTTTACAGATGTGTTTTTATGGATTCTTATTTACCATGAACATTTAGATGGTAATTGGAGCACAAATTGTCTGTTAAAATAGTTATTTCAGCTTTCCCCTGACCATCGTAATCTTCTGGTAATCCCTCTTTTGGCCCTCTCCAGCTGTCTACCCCTAATTCAGAAAGAGGCCAGCTTTCCCTTTGCTGCTGTGAGTGAAGGCTGAGCCTTAATGTGTGGCCACGTACATAGCTTCTCAGCTTTCTAGTTAAAAGAAAAATGCCAGATCATTTTATATGGCCACTGGTTTCTTCAGTGTAGATAAACAACTCCATTTATTCTCAGAGCAGATGCTTCCACTAACAACAATGACATACATAATTTCCAATTACTGAGTGCTCAGTATGTGCCAGAAACTGTGCTAAATGCTTCATCTGCCTTGGCCCATTTAGTCCTAACAACAAGCATATGAGATAGGTACTAGTATTATATTCAGTTTACATATGAGAGAATGGAGGATCAGAGAGGGGCAGAGGGAAACATGCCTGAAGTCACCTAGTTTGAGCACCTAGTAGAACCAGGATTTAGATGCAAGTGTGTAGGAGTACAGAGCCTGCACACTTAACTATGATGTCAGACTGCCTCCCTTGACTAGAATTCTTGTGTGTTGACTCTAAGGCAATGTCATCCAAATATTCTACTGGCAGCTGGACGAAGCTGTTTGCAGCAGGAAAGGCAAATTCTCCTGAGAAGGTGGATGAACGTTGTACTCCAGAGGAGACTATGTTGTCTGCCTGAATTGCTTGTGCCCCTGGAGCTCAAAGAGCAGACTATGATTATTTAAGCTGAGAATTCACTTAGTTGAAAATAAAATTCTTATGGAATAGAGTTTTCACTCTTTTTAGTTCAATCCAGTTTTTATGGGAAGTTTAATTTAATTCAATTATATGAAATGTTAGTAAAAGATGTTCTGGAAGTTAGAATGGAACATATGGCCCAAGGGAGGTGGGTAAGTCTTTAGGAGTAAAATATCTGACAGTGAGGGCTGTTAAACACTGGGCTGGGTTGTGTACTCTTAAGAAAACCCTGAGGTCAGGGTGGTTTACATGCAAGATGCTCTGAGGAGGAATTCACATTTCCCTGTGATTTTCATTCTTAATACATTTACTTAAAGTATTGTGTCAGTTAAGGTCCTTTGAGGAGCAGACACCAAGATGCAGTTAGACACATAAGTTTTATTTGGAGAAATATCCATGCTGAGTAAAGGGGAAGAGAGCAGGAGTAGGCAGGGAGAGCCTTCAGCCAGTGATGCAGGTCTGATATCTATGAAAGGAGCAGAGGAAAGAAAGAAAATTGGGCAGGAAGAGCCCCAGTCCGTAATGCAGTTCTGAGAAAGTCTTGGCCAGGCTGGGAACAGAAGTCTTTAAGCAAAAGTTCCCCATTATAGAAATCCCACATTACAGGGAAAGGATGGCTTAGCTTGACTGTGCCTTCTGTGCTTAGTCATTGCCTGGGAGCAGCATAGGGGTCAGAAGGTGTGGAAGTGGGGAGCATGACCTCAGAGTGAACACTGCAATGGATCTAAACATACAGCAGCTGGAGACTATCAGACAGCTATGCTTCTAGCAGCAGGTTCTCTTGACAGGAGATCTGAGCAGTGCACCTCCATGTCTGCCACCGTTACATATTGTCTTGCCACACTGGAGTACTTTCTTCCAATTTACTGCTAATGTCAAGTGAAACAAGAAGTGACTTTCCATTTCAGTGATATTTTTTTCCTAAAAGTAAATACTGTAGTATCAAAGCATCCTCCATAAAAACCTCTTCGTTCCTTCTTTTCCAGACACCATATCCAACTATCTGTACTTTTATTTTTATTTTTTCTGGAATTTGTTAAAACTTTGCCACTTGGTATCTAATATTTTTTCTAAATGCTTCAGATTTCTGTTCTGATATGAGCAGAAAGAACACACTTGTACATACTTTTCACTTTTATTTTTCCATTAATATTGATTAATCTAAAATGATTGTTAATTTTATCTCTTGAATATATTTAAAATGTATTCATTCTCTCTATTCCTGTACTGTTAGATTAGCTTAGTTCCCTCATCCTCACTTCCTTGGGTTATTTTAGTAGCTTCCTATCTTTTCTCCCTACCTCTAATCTTGTCGCGGTTTAGTTTGCCTTCTGTATAATTTCCAACCCAAATCTGACATTTTTGGAGGCCTTCAATGGCTTACTAGCATTTAGAAGGAAAAAATAATCCAAGCTCCGTAGCATGGCATATGAGGCATTTCATGAATTTATCTATGTCCACTTTGCTAACTTCATCTCCTTCTATTCTCCCCTTCATGCTTTCTAGTCCAGTGCTATGGAACCAATTACACATCTGCATATTATCTGCTTATGTGTATACTCGTTTCTTTGTGTAGAATGTGCTCTACTTGTTCACTTTACACACTGCTACTAAATATCTGGTCAGGTATTTAGTTTGAAGTTTTTCTTGATTTCTAGTCAGCATTGATCACTTTATCTTTTATATTACTATTAAATCTCTTAGCAGTCTGTAATTGCAGGCTCTATGTTTTATATTTTAATTATTTGTGCCTTTTTCTTAAGGCCCCAGGCTGTATCTTATTTTTCTTTACAACCCTTGCACCTAGCACAATGCTTGGCCCATGAGAGGTACTCAATAAATATTGGTTGAACTATGCCAAAATTGAGTTACATTCTTTGTATTGCTCCACAATATGTACTACAGAGTCTTTTTTTTATTAATTGTCCTTTTGTTTTTTATTTTTATTATTATTATACTTTAAGTTTTAGGGTACATGTGCACAATGTGCAGGTTAGTTACATATGTATACATGTGCCATGCTGGTGTGCTGCACCCATTAACTCGTCATTTAGCATTAGGTATATCTCCTAATGCTATCCCTCCCCCCTCCCCCCACCCCACAAGAGTCCCCAGAGTGTGATGTTCCCCATCCTGTGTCCATGTGTTCTCATTGTTCAATTCCCATCTATGAGTGAGAACATGCGGTGTTTGGTTTTTTGTCCTTGCGATAGTTTACTGAGAATGATGATTTCCAATTTCATCCATGTCCCTACAAAGGACATGAACTCATCATTTTTTATGGCTGCATAGTATTCCGTGGTGTATATGTGCCACATTTTCTTAATCCAGTCTATCATTGTTGGACATTTGGGTTGGTTCCAAGTCTTTGCTATTGTGAATAGTGCCGCAATAAACATACGTGTGCATGTGTCTTTATAGCAGCATGATTTATAATCCTTTGGATATATACCCAGTAATGGGATGGCTGGGTCAAATGGTATTTCTAGTTCTAGATCCCTGAGGAATCGCCACACTGACTTCCACAATGGTTGAATGAACAAATGTTTGTGTAATGGGATGTAAATGAATAAAATGAAAATGTATTTAAGGAACTGTAAGAAAACTCAGTTTAAATATTCAGTAAATAGATTTGTTATTGTTGATGCTTTTATCTTAATCTTCTCCATTTTCATTACTTGAGAGCAGTTGCCTTACTTGCCTCACTACTGGGTCAACACATTTTATGTGTATAACATATGTGTACAGAAATGTGATGACGCAAGAGGCAAGAGTTGACGGCCTGAGTTATCTTGCAAGTATGGCCCTGAACTGGTATCACTTTAATTTCTGTATAACCTGTACCTGAACAATTATACTGTGTTGTATCTGTAGAAAACTGTAATGATGTATGCTGGCTCTTCATTAAAATTCCCTACAGGCATTGCCATCAGAAAGACTAACAGAAAAGAAATGAAACTTCCTTGCTGGATGCCTACCAGTTTCTCCTGTACAAGTGTTACTAAACGTTTATTTGTTCCTTCATTCATTCACTTTCACTCACCTATTTATTCATTCATCGTTCAGCTTACAGTGGTAAGTGAAAACAATCCATGAGAAAAATAATAATAATAAGGGTAGGTACCATTTATTGAGTCCTCATTCAGGCACCAAACTGGGTGACTTAAATGTCAGAACAGCTCTCTGAGAGAGAAAATACTATTTTCCTTTTAAAGGTGAAGAATTGGATGCTCAGAGAAGTTAAGTTGTAGAGCTAGGATTTTAAGGCAGAAGTTAATCCTTTCAAATAGTCCTATTTCAGGATTGATTTCAGAATTATCTGTTTCAGAATCATTTCCACCCACTCACGTGATGATTGCTTATATAATTTATATTGCTGAGTTTTTTTCCACTCAGTGTTTGAATCTGATGATGCCAACTTATAAATTAGATGATGGCATACAAAATACAATTCTGGAATCACCATTATGTTTATTGAATACCTAATGTATAATTAGAACCTTTGTAGCTTAGTTCTTATTTGGCTATAAGAATTGTTTCTATTAAAAATGTTAGTGTTTCCCTCTCAAATTCTTCCCATTTTCAACAGACTAATAGTGAGTGGGGGTGTCAGGGTGGTCTGCATGTAAGTTGACAATGATAAAATAGTCTTGGATGGATCTGTTGATTCCTTTCATACACCCCCAACAAAAAAGCAAGAATCGAAAAACCCAGCACAACCCTTGTAATAGTTGCCAAGTCCCCATGTGAGGCCTTTATTTTGCTTTTAATAAAGACAGACCACATATAGCCTAAGGGGAACTTCAGTCAGACCAATAGCAGCCTCATTTCCTCCCAGTAGGAGGCATGGTAAACAAATGGTTCTGAAGATAGATGCTCTAGAGATATTCATAGCAATATGGATGTGGAAAAGGCTGAGGCTGATTAAAAGGAAATTCAGAGGAAGGGACTGGGACTGAGCTATGTATACAGGCAGGGGCCAGACCTATGTGTTAAGGTTAATCAGAATAGATTATCTGACTATCTTCCAGAATATAAACACCCAAACTTAATATTTCTATTTATGTTGAAAGAAATCAAGAAACAAAGTTTGTTATGTTCTTTGGAATAAATCTGTGCAGATGGTAAGCAGAACCAGAAACTGTTTGAAGTTTTGTGACAAGCCAGAGGCCTACATGAATATGGTAACTTTTCCCTTTTGAAAGCACTTGATTTTATCAGCTTGTTTACCTATCTGTCACAACAGAACATAAAACCAAGAAACAGTTTCATAAACTGATATGTGAGAAATGTGTTCCTGGTAGCTGAGAAGAATTAAGAGAGTCATATATCAGTTTTCTGCTCTTCATTAGATGCAGTAATAAACTAGTTTTTTAAAATCACCTAACTGGATGTCAAATAGTATGTGACAGTGGGCAAATTTACAGCAAGGGGTAGACATTGTCTGTGTAACAAATTGCTCTCTTGTACCAGTATTTCATGCCCTGTGCAGATAAATCAAGAGCAATTTGTCACATCCTCAAAAATGCATTCCCATTAAGTTGTTAAACATAGCAAGTAATTTTGGTACAGTTTTATATTCTTTAATCTTCAAAGAACACCATTTGGTCCTCTGACAAACCTGGATGGTTATCACAGCCAGAGCAGAAATGGTTAAATCTGATTCTGTCTTCCAACAGGGAGCTAAAAAGAATTGCAAAATATCTCATCCCCGTTGGCTCTGAGTGTAGATTTAAAATTAAATTGGTTCTGGTTAGCAAGCTAGAACAGGGCAACTAAATTGAATTTTCTGAGGAATGTTGTGAATCCTATGTGGAAAAAAAAGTCATACAAAGTTTGTGTTTCCTTCTATCCTTTCTTTGTACACTACCCTCTCCTGTCCATTGCACTCTTTCCATACTCTCCTCCCCATTGGTAAGCCCAGCTTCTATTGTATCTCATTTGGAGTTTTATATGCATTTCTACCCATTTCTCTGAAAGTTTCAGTCATTCCTTTCCGCATGCTCTTTCTTTTCCCACTTGAAAATTGCTCTCTTTATTTTTCTTCTCATTCACACTTTTCATGGAACAAGATTATTGAGAGCATTTTATCAAGTTTTCACAGAGGAAAAGCAAGCACAGAAAAGACCAGAGACTGGGGCATGTGAAGTGTTAGGCTTTTGGTTATGTTGTTAAAGCGTGAGTACAGAGTTTTGATGATTCTATCTTTCAGAATAGATGATGGTGTTCTAAAGATTCTAGAAGCATTTATTTATAAGTAAATTTTTCCCTCCCTCTCATTTTTCTTTTAACATTTATTTTCTTGCTTGCTTATTGTAAAAAAATGGAAAATTGGGCTGGGCGCGGTGGCTCACACCTATAATCCCAGCACTTTGGGAGGCAGAGGCAGGCAGATCAGGAGGTCAGGAGATCAAGACCATCCTGGCTAACACAGTGAAACCCCGTCTCTATTAAAAATACAAAAAATTAGCCGGGCATGGTGGTGGGTGCCTGTAGTCTTAGCTACTCGGGACGCTGAGGCAGGAGAATGGCATGAACCTGGGATGTGGAGCTTGCAGTGAGCAGAGATCACACCACTGCACTCCAGTTTGGGCAACAGTGTGAGACTCCATCTCAAAAAAAAAAAAAAGGAAAATTTAGAAAACTGTAGAACAATATAAAATTACATCAAAGTTTATCGAGGTTATATAAGTATATAGAAGAAAAATAATTATATCATCAAAGACAAAAGCAGTCAATGATTTGGCATATTTCCTTCCAGTGGTTTTTTTTTTCAGTGCATATGACTTTCTAAATGGTTGAGATTATCCTGTGTGTATACTTTTGTATATTGCTTTATCTTCGGAAAGTTTTATAATGGATTTTTCTTAAATTGATCTTTGTCATAGGAGTCGGGTGTTGGGGTGAAGCTCACCAAATTGGCTTCAGTTTGGTAACAGATGGATATCCATCTTCTATTTTCCCTTTGCCCTTTAGTATTAGAGGACAGGTATCTTAATGCTGCCATGGTTCAGATTTATCAGCTTATACTAGGGTGGTTTTTCATAGGACCTGGGTAACTTTTCTTTTATAATTTTATTTTTTAAATTGACATATAAGAATTGTACATATTTATTGGGATCTGGGTAACCTTTCTTATTAAACATTTATTCTATATGTAAGAACATACTAGATCAGACATGCAGCTGATGTTACATCAAGTTACCAAGTACAGTTGCCCTGGATTAAGAAGTGTTTGCTATTTGGCCTTTATGCAGCATATTGGAGCAATCTTAATTTTTATTTTATAGTTCCTTCCAGCAAGAAAATGCCCCAACGGATACTAAATTGTGAGGATTTGAGAAATTCATAGTGTTTTTTATTTTACCTCTGTATTAGTCCATTTTCACACTGCTAATAAAGACATACCCGAGGCTGACTAATTTACAAAAGAAAGAGGTTTCATTGAACGTACAGTTCCACCTGGCTGGGGAAGCCTCACAATCATGGTGGAAAGCAAGGAGGAGCAAGTCACATTTTTACGTGGATGGTGGCAGGCAAAAAAAATGAGAGCTTGTGCAGGGAAACTCCCCCTTATAGAACCATCAGATCTCATGAGACCCATTCACTATCACAAGAACAGCACAGGAAAGACCTGTCCCCATAATTCATTCACCTCCCACTGGGTCCCTCCCACGATATGTGGGAATTGTGGGAGTTACAATTCAAGATGAGATTTGGGTGGGGGCACAGCCAAACCATATCAACCTCTTATTTTTGTTGAAGGAATAGTACTAAATCCTCCATTTTCACCTTCTAAAATTTCATTTTCCTCAGTGATTATATGGGAAAGAGAAAAAGCGTATGAGTGCTTTACTTTGTTACCACAATTATTTGTGGATTTAAGCTCCACCAGTCATTTAGTAGGATATTTTGCTTTTATTAAGGAATCTTCCCCTTCCTTTTAAGTTCTTAAATGTTTCCCTTTCAAGAAATCTGCTTTTAAATTTTTTGAAGCTCTACAGCAGATGATCTCAGTGAGAGCTTTAATTTCATTTTATTGCTCTAATTCAGGCATCTCCAAGCCATGATGGGCAGGCAGTCAGTGGTCTGCATCCTTGGGGATTTTCAGTGGCATTTGGGCTGCTCATTTTGGTAGCTTTTAGGCCATTTTTTCCTCAAAAATGAAGTGTCTTTTGAGTGGTGTTATCTGGGCTTTCGGAAGGAGCCCAAAAGTTAGGAATATGTGAATCTTCTCTAAGATCAATTCTTTTTTCAACTATTATTGGGCCCTGCTTCACCTCCATTGTGCAGTAACTGAATATGCCGTAAGAGATAATAGAGATTTACACACAACTTACTTCACTATAAGAAAATAGTTTATAAGTGATTTGTGTCCTGTAATCGATCTCAACAGTTCTATTAAAGCAGATAAATAAAGTGTTGATTGACTTTCAATATGTACAATACCCAAGTTGCAGGAACAGTGACTTTAATCATCTCCAGTTTGGTTGCGGGACTTCTTTATTGGCTACTGGAGGTTTCACTACAAGTATATGGAGTTCTTTTAACATTTGCAATTGATGTTGTTGCTAATTAGATAACAACTCTACCTTGGATCTAAATTACCTGATACAATTTTTGAATATATTTATTTTGAAAATTTGAAATATTTGAATGGAGAATTTTTTAAAGTTATGTATTTTATTTATTTTATTTTTTATTTTTGTGCCTACATAGCAGGTATATATATTTATGGGGTACATGAGATACTTAGGTATAGGCATGCAATGCGTAATAATCACATAATGGAAAATAGGGTATCCATTCCCTCAAGCATTTATCCGTTGTGATTCAAACAATCTAATTTTACTTAATTTTAAGTGTACAATTAAATTATTATTGACTATAGTCCTCCTGTTGTGCTATCAAATAGTAGGTCTTATTAATTCTTTCTAACTATTTTTTTTTTGTACCCATTAACCATCCCCACCTCCTCACTGCCCCGGCTACTATTCTTCCTAGCCTCTGGTAATCATCCTTCTTCTCTATCTCTGAGAGTTCAATTGTTTTAACTTTTGGATCCCACAAATAAGTGAGGACATGTGATGTTTGTCTTTCTGTGTCTGGCTTATTTCATTTAGCATAATGACTTCCGGTTTTTGCAAATGACCCTCTCATTCTTTTTATGTCTGAATAGTACTCCATTGTGTATATGTACCACATTTTCTTTATCCATTCTTCTGCTGATGGACAATTAGATTGCTTCCAAATCTTAGCTATTGTGAACAGTGCTGCAACAGGCATGGGAGTGCAGATAGCTCTTTGATATACTGATTTCCTTTCTTTTGGGTATATGCCCAGCAGTGGGATTGCTGGATCATATGACAGTTCAATTTTTACTTTCTTGAGGAACCTGAATGGAGAATCTTTAGCCAATGAAGTAGAAGAAATATAAGAAAGAAGAGAGACCTACATTCACACCAAATGACATTGCTGGAAGATTCTGTTCTACTAGGCATGGTGTCTAGCAGCGATAGATGTTAGCAATTCAGTGTGTTGGTATTAAATGTCTTTGTTGCAGAGAACAAAGTAGTTGCTAAATATAGGATTTTTTCCACTCTCTGCATTTTTCCCAAAATAAACATCCAATTAGTCCCCAAATCCTGTTGATGGTAATTATCTCATAAATACCTCTTGAATCTGTCTCCTTATCCTCAATGCCACTCTACTACCAATGCATATGTTACTAATATTTATCACTTAATATGTAGCCAGATACTACAAGACACATTATCATATTTAATTATCGTAACAATTCTGCAAGGATAATATTATTTTTATTTTATGGAAGAGGAAACAGGTATGAGGAGATTGTTTAGTTTCTCAAGGTCAAATAACTTGTGACAAAAGCCAGGTTTTAAACCCATATCCATCGATTCTAAAACTCCTTCATTTGCTGCCTGTTCTATTTGCAACAGCCTCCTAATTTTCTTGCCCCCATCCCCACCGTTATCTCATTGCTATTTCTTTCCAGTGATCCTTTTTTGCAGTACTACTGTGTTAATACTGAAATATACAAACATCAGTATGTCCCCCTACTCAATGCCTAAACAATGAAGTCTAGCCTTCTTGGCTTGTTTCAACCGGGTTATAGCTGGACCCCTACCTCATCTCTGATTACTCTCCTGCCCATTTCCTATCCCTCTACCTCAGCTCCTTATGTTTCAGCTGCACCAAATGTGGTGGTATTATGTGAATGCTTAATGTCTCTGTGCTATTTCAGTTACCTAGAACACACTCCATACCTGCCCTCTTTGGTCTGTGAGCTCCTATTCATTTTCCTACACCCAGCTCCAGTGTTCCTTTCTTTGTGAGGCTTTCCCACAGCTTTCCCAAGCAGAATTAGTAACTCTAATCTCTGCACTTCCATTACACATGCAAGGAGCCTTAATCATTTATGTATCTATTCCCCCTCAGAAGCCTGTGAACCCCTTACAGGCAGGAGTCCAGTATTATTCTTTGTACTTATCTCCTGCAGCTCCTAACAAACAATCTGGAAGTTGACTCCAATTAATGTGCTGCCCCTAGAAAATTTGGAATCACATCATGTCTTGCTCAAAGAAATACAATCCCAAGACTACAGCCACATTTGTTGAGGTCTTTTACCCTCTAAACTACTTCTATGCCCAACAGACTTGTTTCTCATTGATGTCTGATAGTTTCTCCTTCTTCCCTTTCCTCTTTCTTGACTAACCTCTCTTCTTGCTTTTCTTCTGGCTCAATTCTGTTTTTCTATTCTGATTTTTTATGTTCTTCATCAGAAAGTCTCAACATTTTCTGGTGGAGATAGAAATTTCCTCAGATAGAGGGTGGCCAGTGAAGCTGGGTAGGCAAAACCTCAATTCCTTTTAGTTAAGCAAGATCTTAGAGGAAGTCTGTGAGCACTCATGCCTTAATACCTTAAAAATTTTTTTTCAATCCACAAATGTATTTTGTGTTGAATTTGGTATAGTGGAAAACAACTGGATATGATCAGCCGACATGAGTTCAAGATCTCTATTCTGAGTAATGCTGAGCCTTAAATGCAGTATGTGATGTAGAAACACTTTGTAAGCTACAAAGCAATACGTTGACACTGAGAGATTACTGTTCCTCTGGGCCCGTTCTCAGGCCTGCACTGAGCATTGTTCCTTCTTGTTCTGCCTCTAAAGCCTTCTTCTGTCTCATTTAGGAAGATGCTGCTGCTGAATTTAAAAATACATATTTTGTTATTTAATATAGCATACAAACTGAAAAATACATAAAACATATGCACAGTTCAACAAATGAAACCATGTAACCATCAAGAAATGGAACATTGCTGGCAGCCCTTTAAGTTCCCTATGTGCCCTTTTGCTGATTTGTCAAACTTCTAGCACTGGCTTCTTTATTCCCTTCAGTTGAAATTTCTCTTTACTGGTGACTCATAAACCTTCTTGAGTCTGATGCTATACTGAGGGCAGCAAGGGTGTCTGACCAGAGAGAGCTTTATCTAACAAAGCAGCTCTGTCTTAGTGCCTTATCTCCACCCTGGGCACCAGAAGTACTAGCCCCTCCCTCACAACTGTCAGTCTCTTTCCTCTGTGCTTGGGGAAGGTAAGCAGATGGTCTGTAAGTGCCCTTCCCAGTAGCACCATTGCATCAATGATACTGCTGGTGCCTTTATCACAGCACAGTTAGCTATTATTTTTATGAACACTTTTTTTCTTCTTATAATAGCATTATGGTCTCCTTTCAGAAAACTTGGAAAATACTATAAAGTATAGATGAGTATTAAGTAATCATGCAGAGAAAGCTTACATCTCTGTTAACAGTTTTTTCCATATTTGAACAACTTTTAATCTTGGTTTTTGTGTCATCAGAGTTTTCATTAAAATAATTTTAATGGTTGCCTAATATTCCATCACGAGTATAGTTTACTAAACTTTTATGTGTGTGAATGGCATTTAAGTTGTTTATTTTTTTAAAGTTTTATAAGTAACCTTATAATAAACACTTTGATGTGTAAGTTTTTACCTGCATTTCAGTTTATTGGCTTAGGCTAAATTTCCCAAACTGAAATTACTGAGTTAAAAGTCATGCATTAAAAAAAACCAAACTTTTTTTTTCATTTTTTTTTTTTTTAAATTTTGAGACGGAGCCTCACTCTGTCGCCCAGGCTGGGTGCAGTGGCGCGATCTCGGCTCACTGCAACCTCCACCTCCTGAGTTCAAGCGATTCTTCTGCCTCAGCCTCCCGAGTAGCTGGGATTACAGGCGCCCACCACCACGCCCAGCTAATTTTTTCTATCTTTAGTAGAGACAGGGTTTCACCATGTTGGCCAGACTAGTCTTGAACTCCTGACCTCTGGATTCACCCGCTTCGACCTCCCAAAGTGCTGGGATTAGAGGCATGAGCCACTGTATCCGGCCAAAAAAAAAAAAAACTTTTTTGAATACCAGTTGTGGAACTATTACATGTTCCTTATTGGCATTTTGGAAAATACAGGAAAAGAATAAGGAAAATTACAGAAATTACCTTATCAGTTACTGAGGTAACAAACCCTGAAATGTCAGTAGCATAATACATTAGTAGTTTATTTCTCTCTCAGAGAAATGCAGATAAGGCCTTTCCTGTGTGACTGTCTTTCAAGCGTCAGGAACCCAGGATATTTCTGTTTGTGGCTCCACCATTTTGTTGCCTCAAAGTTACCTTGATGGCATAACTGACTGACAGGAGGAAAGGAAAACGTGGAAGACCACACATAGATTCGGGCCTGGAGTTGCCCTATACCATTCCCACCCACATTCTATCACCTGAATTCAGTTACATGGCCAGGGGAGTGACAAAGCTATAGGGGAGAGGGTGTTTAAGGCAGGAATGTGTCTTTCTGTGACAGGAGGAAAATGAAATGGCTTGGAGGAATAAATAGCATTGTTTTTTAAGCATATTACCCACAATTCTGTCTCCCAGAAATAACCCTTGTTAGTATGCTGATATATTTCCCTTTAGCCCCTTTATATAAATATATGGAATATTAAGCAAATCACAATTACTTTCCATATACCATCTTTTTTTTTTTTTTTTTTTTTTTTTTGAGATGGAGCTACGCTCTTGTTGCCTGGGCTGGAGTGCAACGGCACGATCTCGGCTCACCACAACCTCCACCTCCCGGATTCAAGTGATTCTCCTGCATCAGCCTCCCAAGTAGCTGGGATTACAGGCATGCACCACCATGCCCGGCTAATTTTGTATTTTTAGTAAAGATGGGGTTTCTCCATGTTGGTCAGGCTGGTCTTGAACTCCTGACCTCAGGTGATCCACCCGCCTCAGCCTCACAAAGTGCTGGGATAACAGGCGTGAGCCACTGCGCCCAGCCTCCATATACCATCTTATATCTACTATGGATCATCTAATATTTTAGGAATATTTTTATATTAGTAAATATTCTAACTATTTTTGAAGCTCTTGATGTAATCATGACAAGTTGTTTTTCAAAATGTGGCACCAGCTCTGTGTGAGAGTGACTTGAGTGGTTCTTTGTTATTTCACATTTTGCTTAACTTCTTTGGGTCTTGGTTTCCTTATCTACCTACCTTATATGATTATTGTGACTAATTAACAACTTACTGCAGGTAAAGAGCTTAGAATAGTGCCTAGCACAGTAACTATTATTGATTACAGTTGTATGGAGATACTTGGACTTCCCAAGTCACTCATCAGTCTTATGCTTTCACTTTGGTATCTTGGGTATGTTTTGCATCTCTTGGAACTTGATAATGAGTGTTCTGAGCACTTTTAGGGTAACTTTTTATTCACAAAATAGACTGATTTTTATCAAATAAGCTTAACTACAATGGTGAAAGAGATTTTCAATATATACTAAATGGTTTTGGGGGATACAGGAAGTGAAAGGAAATTATAGTTTGTTGAATATCTACCATATGCCAGACCCTGCTTTTTATACTTTTATACCATATCTCATGTAATTATCCTAGCAACCCTGGAAAGCAGGAGTAGTGTTTTTATCCAGATTGACTCAATAAGGAAAGTGAGGTTCAGATAATTAATCCAAGACCACAAATGCTAGTTAAGTAGCAAGATCAGGATTTAAATCCAGATCTGTCTCCCATCAAAGTCTACTATACCATCATGCCTCCTATTTATCCTGTTTTCCTATTGCCCTTGTGGTATGTTCATGTGGAATAAGGTCCTGATTTTAGACCATGCCTTGTCAGAAGAATTACAGTGACTATTGTTAAGCTGAAGAAAGAAAACTGTGTGTATTGTTTTGTTTTGTTTTTTTAATTAGAGAGCAGGTCTCACTATGTTGCCTAGGCTGGCATCAAACTCCTAGGCTCAAGCAATCCTCCTGCTTCAGCCTCTTCAGTAGCTAAGTCTATAGGCACATGCTGCTGCACCCAGCCTATGAACGTACATGGAGGCATACTTCCTCCTTAAGATTTCATATATTGATTACTTACCTTGCTGGCCATTTAAAACTATATTTGACACGGATAGCAACAGAGGCCCCAAAAAGACTCTATAATTTGTCCATATCAACTAGTCAGTTTCTCTCTGGATTTAGGAAAAGTAAGCAGGCCTTTTCATCTTCTCGGATTCTAACAGTATACATGAAGAGGCAGTAGCTCAGACAAGTTACTTTAACTTTGTAAGCCTTAATTTCTTTGTCTATAAAATGGGCATAATAATTGGACTTCCTCACAGAATTGTTGTGAGGAATTTAAATAAGATTACGTGCGTGCCTAGTTCCCAACATAGAGTAAACTCAAATCATTGTTATTGGCATAATAGTAAATGAATAAATGCCCTTCATTACTAAGTTGGTCTACTATTCTAGCATTTTTTTTTTTTTTTGAGACAGAGTTTCAGTCTGTCACCAGGCTGGAGTGCAGTGGCACAATCTCGGCTCACTGCAACCTCTGTCTCCCAGGTTCACGTGATTCTCCTGCCTCAGCCTCCCAAGTAGCTGGGACTACTGGTGCGTGCCACCACGCCCGGCTAAGTTTTGCACTTTTAGCAGAGACGGGGTTTAACCAAGTTGACCAGAATGGTCTCGATCTCTTGACCTCATGATCTGCCCTCCTCAGCCTCCCAAAATGCTGGGATTACAGGCGTGAGCCACTGCACCCAGCCTATTCTAGCATTTTTAATTATTGGAAAACATTTCTTAAATCTAACCTAAATTTTACTGTCTGTTTTTGTACTGTTGATTTTCACCCTATCATTTGTCTCTAAAATAAATATTTCAAATTCCTTTAACCTTTCCTCTAATGTTCCTTTGGCACCTCTGTCTCCTCTCCAGATTTTCTGTGGCTTATTTAGTTGATCACCATACCAAGCAAGAACCTGATCTATTACTTAGTGTCCTGGATTACCTAGAGATGTGTGATGTTCCTAATATCATGGTTTCTTCACAATGAAACTCCATGGCAGTAGTTCAACATCTTCTTGGCTTGCTGGTTGGGTTTCCAAGAAAGCAGATTCTGAGATGGAGATTGGCATGAAGGGAATTTTGGGGGGAAATTGTTCTTCAGAATCAACACTTTTGGGGAAAGGGAAGAAAGCAGAATTGGGCAGAGGAAGACATTGGTCTGTGATGCCTCCTAAACAAGGACTCAGTGAGCCTGAAGCTCTGGAGCTGGGATGGCCTTTCAGATTGGAGATGAGAGGATCAGACCTTCAGACTCTCACATTGACCAATCATTGGATGCAGGCAGCAAGACCTTGGAAAAGATGACTCTTTTCAGCTAAGGACAATTCCTAGAGAGGGTTGTCAGCTGGCAACACTCCCAGCAGCCAGGAGACTAAGTTCTTCAATCCTGAAGGGAGATCTGGTGGGTGCAACATACATCCACTACAGCTTGTTTTGTGCAGATGTTGTCCCTGACCCTGAAGGGCATTGTGTTCCATTGTCTCTAGTGAATATCATTCTTTTAGTTTCCAATTCTTTCTTCAGTTTGTGTCCTTGTGGTTTAGTCTCTAAAATGATAAAGGGTGCATCTGAACATAATGAAGGAATTTTCAATCCAGGGCCAGTTAACTCTCAACCTAGTACTTTCCTGCCTTTATTAAATAATATAATATTGGAGCTATTTATAGCAATTTATTGAGAAAAATTTTATAACCAGTTGTGTTTAATGCTGGTCTGGGAGCAGGGGTCACTGAAATGCCATGGGTATATCCATACCTATAGGCTGAATGAATAGAAGTCACTGGATCCTGAACATGTAAGTATTTTTCTAGGTTACTAAATAAAATGTCTCCCTTTTCCTAAGTTTAGTTTGTTCCCCCCACCTCTCACCCCAACTCTCATCTGTCAGTTTCTGTGCTCCAATTAGAAGTACTTGTTAGTATATTCTCACTCATGGGTGGGAATTGAACAATGAGATCACATGGACACAGGAAGGGGAATATCACACTCTGGGGACTGTGGTGGGGTCGGGGGAGGGGGGAGGGATAGCATTGGGAGATATACCTAATGCTAGATGATGAGTTAGGGGGTGCAGCACACCAGCATGGCACATGTATACATATGTAACTAAACTGCACAATGTGCACATGTACCCTAAAACTTAAAGTATAATAAAAAAAAAAAGAAGAAGTACTTGTTAGTAATCGTATAAAAGTATATAGGGATAAATACAAGCATTTAGCCCATATATGTGATGAATGTTTTCTGTGTTCTCTATTTTCCTCCTGTCTCTTATTATGCCCATGTATGTAAGAGCTGGCGATAAGGTATTAAATGTTAAAGACTTTTTGAAAATACTTTACATTTTTATGTCATTAAGATAGAAATGTTTACACAGAAGAGTCAGAACACTGAAATATTAAATGTCAAGTAGTACTATTCACTCTGGTATATTACACTGAGTATGTCATTTCAGATTATATTTTAAATTGTTTGTCCAGACAATTTGTATTGTAGGGTGATTTTACTTTTACCATTATTTTTTTCTTGACTTTATATGGATCTGTGATTACTTGTTCTTTAGCTTATAATTTCTTCCATTGTTTTTTAAAGGATTGGAGAGGCATAGGAAATATGGAGATAATTCACAGTTTTTACCAGAAGCCACCATTCTACAGACAAGCAAACATTAAATCAATCAGAAAACAGACTGTTTTTATCCCTATGTATGTAGATGCTTAGGTCCTAATTTGTGAGAAACTGGAACCATAGTAGAACTTTGTATTTAAATTATTCTGGGAGAAGATATTGTGCTCACTGAATTACCCTCACTTTCACCTTTTTAAAAGAAAATTTATGTGATTAATAAGGATATATGGCAAGGTTGTACTTACTAAATAAGATTTCTCTTCATCTTCAAAGCCCTGCCTTCTGCACCATGTTTTCTACCATGCCTGTGTTCTTGTCAAGCTTACTATCTGGTTGGCCTTTGTCTCTTCCAACCATTATAGCCCTTCTTCCATGTTATTCTTCATCTTCTTCATTACATTTCAAGCTGTTTCCTTTTTTTCCCCCAAAAACTATTAAAATTCCATCTGTTATTCTCAGTTACAGGAAAAATATTGTATTAATTATTTTTCTCAGATTTTAAAGCACATTACTAACTCTATTCTCACTAATTTACAAAGAAAGTTAACAAATCAATGATTATTTCTAAAATATCGATATATCACAGTGTACTATAATACACAGTGATACTATGTAGTTTATACAATACTTTTGTAGACATGTTTACATTTAATTATCACAATAACCCAGTGAGTTGGGTGACATTTTCTCCATTACACAGTTGAAAAACTGGAACTTTGAGTAGTTAAATGACTGACTTAAGATTATAAAACTACTAAGCCTATTTCATTTAACCAAATTTTCTAACTCTACATCTAGTGGCAGAATCTGTTCTTAGCACTTTTACATGCTTGAATTATAGTACATCTTAATTGATATATTACTGTGTGTTTATACATCTGTCTCCCTTACTAGATTGTAAACTTTTTGATGGCAGGCACCTGGTCTTATTTGACTTTGTACTTTAGGCGTTTAACAGAGTTTCTGACACAATGTAACCACTCAGTATAAATTTGATAAAGTGAATGAATGAAATCAGGAAAGCATCACAAATTATTTTAGTCCAAGAACAAAAGTAAAATATAATTTCAAAAGAAAATCTGAGATGCAGTTTTCTAGGAATATTTAAGAAAATTGCGAGTGCCACTGAAGCAAGAAACGAGAGAGAGAGAGTGAGACCGCTTCTTGATCTTAGCACTAAAGAGGTATAGGGTAGAGAAGAAACTGCAGAGAGACCGAATACATTTTTTGCCTTTATTTTTTTATCTTTAACATAGCTTTCTTGAGATATAATTCACATACCATACAATTCATCCATTTAAAGTGTACAATTCAATGTCTTTTAATATATTCATAAAGTTGTGCATTTATATTGCAATCAATTTTACATTTTCACTACTCCAAAAATGAAACCTGTACTCACTAGCCATCACTCCCCAAATCCCCACTCCCCTAGGCCTAGGCAGCCACTAACCCACTTTCTATCTCTATAGTTTTTCTTATTCTGAGCATTTCATATAAATGAAATAATATAATATGTAATCTTTGGTGACTGTCTTCATTCATTTAGCATAATGAAGTTAAGTTTCATTCATGTTGTTGCTTGTAAAAGTACTTGCTTTTTATGGCTGAATAATATTCCATTGTATGACTATATCACATCTTATTTATCAATTCTGCTGCTGATGGACATTTAGATTATTTCTCTCTTTTAGCTATTATGAATAATACTGCTATAAGCATTGTGTTCAAGTTTTTGTGTGGGCATATGTTTTTAATTCTCCTGGGTGTGTATATCTAGGAGTAGAATTGTCATCTCACCTGGTTTACCCATTTGAGGAAATTTGTCACCTATCTATCCATCTATCCACCCATTAATCTGTCTTATTTTTGGTGCCTTTTAACATAAGTTGCAGAAATCATTACACTTAAGCCCTAAACATTTTAGCATGCATATCATTAACTAAAATTTATTATTTGTATGTAGGGTTTTAAAATTTTCACATAAAGTTTGCATACAATTAAATGCACCAAAAATCAGTATATGTTCACTAAATGCAATCACATGTGTAACCCAGCTTATAGGGTTTTAAGTTAGAAAGTACTGTGGAGGTATTAGACAACACCCTCCCATTTTACAGAGGAAAACTGATATCCTGAGAGGGTGAGTAACTTGTCCAAAATCAAAGGAGAAGCAGAGCATCAGCCTAGATGCTTTGACTCATATTGTCATTCATACTTTAGGTATTGAGGTTGCTATAATCTATAGGCAGCACCTTAACATGGTGATAAAGTTACCTGAGATCTTGGGCTTTAAACTCATGCTTATTGTACATAGATTTAAATGAAGTAGGACTTTATATGTCAAGTAGTAAAGTACTCCTGTAGCAAATGAGTTTGGACCTTGGAAAGTCTAGCCAAGATTACAAGTTAAATTCTCACTTCTTTCTTCAGTCAAATGCACCTTTATTCATATACCTCCTAGTTTGCAAAACTGTATTCAAGTACTACTTCATCTGATACTTTATTCTAAATCTCTTCTAATCCTTTTTCCTTTATTGTTTGCCTCAAATAATTAACACTTCTTAAGTCAGCATTTTGTGACTACGGATTCAGATCCTAAGGCATCTTTAATGCCGAAAAAAATAATGGATGACAGTATGAGTTGTGATTACATGAACAAATTATAGCATTTTTAGGAAACCTAGATGTTGAGCACTCTGGAATTAAAGTCTTAGAGACTAAGGTACCTGGTGTTGATTAGCCTGTGTGAGAAAGATAAGGAGAGCTGGTAATTATAATTGAGCATGTGCCATATGCCAGGCGTTATGTTAACTGCTTTACATGCATTACCTCTTTAATCCTTATAATCCTCATAGTGCTATTATTATGAATATTTAACAGCTGAGGAAACATAGGCCTACAAAGGTTAAGTAGCTTGCTTAAAATCATTCAAAAGTGATGTGGTCAGAATTAAATTCTAAGCCTGTCAGTTCTCAGAGCACATGTTATATAAACTCTCTCTGTTATACTGTCTGCAAGATAGGCAGCTTTTAATATTTGAAGGCTGTCAATAAAGATTATATGAGAGTAGTTCCAGAGGGCAGAACTTGGCCAAATATGGCCATCAGAGGGAAGTTTATTTAGACTCAGCATGGAAAGATTTTCTGACCGAGCTGTCAAGAAGTGGGCAAGGCAGCCCTGTTTAGCAGCAAGCTTCAGACATAAGAAATATTCAGGTAGGGCTAGGTGACTGTTGTAGAAAATGTATTTGCATTCAGTTGGAGATTGGATTTGCTCAGAGATTTCCCTAATACCAGAATCACTTGGAGGACACTTTGTTTTCCAAATCAACTGTATTGAAATAAAATTAACACACAATAAAATGTACCCAAATTGTAAATGTTTAACAAATTTATACAACCATGTAACTGCCATCAAAATCAAGATATAAGGTATTTCAGCAAGCTCCAAAAGTGTTGTTGTGCTCCTCCTTGGCTAACACCTCCTCCATCCCCAGCCCCAAACAATCACTAATCTGCTTTCTGTCACCTTAGGTTAAATTGTTTTTTTCTAGAGTTTCGTATAAATGAAATCATTCTGTATGTCATCTTTGTGTCTGGAGGTCTTTGCTCAGCACAGTAACTCTGAGATTCATTCATGTTGTTGCACATATCAAGCACTCATTCCTTTTTACTGCTGAGTAGTATTCTACTGTATGAATATACCACAATTTCTTTATTCATATACCTGTTGATGGACATTTGGGTTGTTTCCAGTTTTTAGCTACTATTAATAAAACTGCTATGAGTATTTATGTATACATTTTTATATGTACATATGTGTTTGTTTCTCTTCAGTAAATAACTAGGAGTGGAATTCATGGGTTGTATGGTAAATTCAAGAAATTGCCAAATTGTGTTTGCAAAGTGATGGTACTATTTTACATTCCTTCAAGTAATGTATGAGAGATTTGATTTTTCCACATCTTCACCAACATTTAATATTATCAATATTTAGTATTTTACATTTTATCTACTTTGACGAACATGTACAGGTATCTGGCTTTATGTATTTTTTATAACAGTTTTGTTGGAGTATAATTGACATTACAATAAGCTGCACTTAAAAGTGTTCAATTTGATAAGTTTTGGCATATCATATATAATGTTCGTGCATAACTAACATGTACTGTATATCCATATCATACATAATGTTCATACATTTGTATGAACATGTACTGTATATCCATCATCCCCCAAAGTTTTCTCACGCCTCTTACCAACTTTTCCCTCCCTTCCTCCACTTTGTCCCAGGTAACACTGATTTGCTTTTAATCACTATATATTAGTTTGTATTTTCTTGAACTGTACATAAATGGAATATTACAGTTTGTACTGGGTTTTGGCTTCTTTTACTCCGTACAATTATATTAATATTCATCCATGTTGTAGTGTTCCTTTTTATTGACAAGTGGTGTTCCATTGTATGGCTATACCACAGCTTGCTTATAAATTCATTTATTGATGGACATTTGAGTTGTTTCTAGCTTTTGATTGTTAAAGATAAAGCTACTATGAATATGCTTGTACAAGTCTTTATGTAGACATATGCTTTTATTCCTTTTGGTCAAATACCTAGGAGTAGAATGGCTGAATCACAATTGGCAAGTGTATGTTTAACTTTGTAAGAAACTGCCAGAATACCAGGAGTTTGAGACCAGCCTGGCCAACATGAAGAAACCCTGTCTCTACTAAAAATACAAAATTAGCTGGGCGTGGTGATGCACACCTGTAATCCCAGCTACTCGGGAAGCTGAGGCATGAGAATTGCTTGAACCCAGGAGGCAGAAGTTGCAGTGAGCCAAGATCGCGCCACTGCACTCCGGCCTGGGCAACAGCATGTTTGTCTCAACAGCAAACAAACAAACGAAACTCAAAAAAAAAAAAAAAAAAAAAAGACACTGCCAAAATATTTTTCAAGTGATGGTACCATTTTACATTTCCATCAGCAATGTCTAAGAATTTTCATTCCTCTACCTCCTCACCAAAACTTGCTATTGTCAGTCTTTTATTTTTAGCCATTTTAATAGGTGTGCAGTAGTCCTTCATTCTGGTTTTAATTTACATTTTCCTAATAATTTATAATGTTGAACATTTTTTTCATGGGCTTATTTGCCATCTATATTCCTTTGGTGAAGTATAGGTTCAAATCTTTTGCCCATTTTAAAATTTGGCTGTTTGTTTTCATATTATTGAGTTTTAAGGGTTGTTTATATCATCTGGATACAAGTCCTTTATCAGATATATGGTTTGTAAATATTTTTCTCCCTTTGTGTTACTTGTTATTTCATTCTCTTGATTGTGTCTTTCAACAAGCAAATGCTTCAATTTTAATGAAGTCAAATTTATCGATTTTTAAAATAGACTATGCTTTTGTTGTTCTATCTAGAGCCCATGGGTCAAATCTGGCCTGCTGCCTGTTTTGGGCAATAAAGTTATTTTGGATCACAGCCATGTATTCTTGTTTACATGTCGTTTGCAATTGCTTTCAAGCTACAA
Organism: Homo sapiens; assembly: GCF_000001405.40. Classification (NCBI taxonomy): domain Eukaryota; kingdom Metazoa; phylum Chordata; class Mammalia; order Primates; family Hominidae; genus Homo; species Homo sapiens. Next base: position 98,899,156 of record NC_000010.11, on the reverse strand, counting down.
AAGCACACAGAATTGCTGGAACGAAGACCACATGGCACACAAAATCTGAAATATTTACTTTTTTGCCCTTTGCAGAAAAAATTTATCTAAGCCAAGGCACAAAGTTTTTCCTGTAGTTTTTGTATACTTTTGGAGTTTTATGTTTTGCATTTAGGTGTATTATCCATTTTTATCTTTTTCTTATGTTTAGAGTTATGGATCAAAGTTTGCTGTTTTATACATGGACATATGTTCCAGCACAATTTGTTGAGCAAACTATTCTTTCTCCACTGAATTGCCTTTGCACTTTTGTCAAAATCAGTTTTCCAAATAAGTTTTGTTTATTTCTGGACTCTATTGTTTTCCATGTGTCTATCTGTTGATCTTTACACCAGTTGGATTGTATTGTTACATTCTGCAGTCCATCTTGGAATCCTCTGATCTCCTAAATAGTTTTCTATAATTTGCATACGTTAAGGTTCACTTTTGTGTGCTGTTTTATTTTTTTGTCAAATGGATTGTGTCATGTACCTACTGCTATAATATACAGAATAGTTTCATCACCCTAAAAAAAATCTCTACTGTCTATTCAACCATCCCTTCCTTCCTCTGAGCCCCTAGAAACACTGATCTTTTTACTATCTTGATATTTTGCCTTTTCCAGAATGTCATATATTTGGAATCATACCGTACCATACCCTTTTCATGTACTAGTTTCTTTTACTTAGTATGCGTTTAAGATTAATCCATGTCTTTGTGGCTTGATAATTTCTTTCCTTTTATCACTAAATGAGATTCCACTTTATGATGTACCATATTTGTTTATACATTCACCTATTGAAGGTTATCTTGGTTACTTCCAATTTGGGGCAATTATAAATAAAGATGCTGTAACATTCACATGTAGGGTTTCTTTGTGGACTGAAACATTCAAATCAGTTGGGTGAATATCTATGAGTGTGATTGTTGGATTGTAAGGTAAGACTATGTTTAGCTTTGTAACATAGCTGCCAAACTGTCTTTTAGTGGCAGTACTATTTTTATTTGATTTGCAATACCTTAATGACAGATGAGGCTGAGCATCTTTTCATATGCTTATTTGCCATCTGTATGTCTTCTTTGATACGGTGTCTGTTCATATCTTTTGCTTACGTTTTAATTGGGTTGAGGTTTTTTTCCTCATTGTTGAGTTCTAAGAGTTCTTTGGTATATTTTTGGCATAAGTCTTTTATCAGGTATATATTTTGAAAATCTTTTTTGCCCAGTCTGTGGCTTTTCGTTCCATTAATGATATCTTTTGCTGAGCAGAAGTTTTCAATTTTAATAAAGGCTAACTAATCAATTTTTTTTCTTTCATGGGTCATGCTTTTGGTGTTTTATCTAAAACTCATTACCAAACCCAAGGTCTCAACCATTTTCTCCTGTTTTTATCTAGAAGTTTTGCATTTTACATTCAAATATATAATACATGTTGAGTTAATTTTTGTGAAGGGTATGAGATCTGAATCTAGCTTTGTTTTTTATTGCATATGGATGTCCCATTGTTTCCATACCATTTTTTTGAAAGATATCCTTTCTCCCTTGAATTGCCTTTGCCGGTTTATTAAAGATCAGTTGACTTTATTTGTATGTCATTTTCTGGACTCTCTACTCTGTTCTATTAATGTGTATGTCATGGTGTCTTGATTACTGTCATTTTATTGGTCTTGATTAATGTAGCCTTATGCTGTTTTATTGTAGTCTTTGAAATGGATAGTGTGAGTCTTCCAATGCTGTTCTTCAGTATTGTGTTGGCTATTCTAGATCTTTTGCTTTTCCATATAAACTTTATTTTTCTATTTTATTTCAATAGTTTTTGGGCAACAGTTGGTTTTTGGTTACACGAATAACTTCTTTAGTGGAGATTTCTGAGATTTTGGTGCACCTATCACCCAAGCGGTGTACACTGTACTCAATAAATAGTTTTTTATCCCTCACCCTAATCCCACCCTTCCCTTCAAGTCCCCAAAGTCCATTATATAATTCTTATGCCTTTGCATCCTCATAGCTTAGCTCCCACTTATAAGTGAGAACATACAACATTTGGTTTTCCATACCTGAGTTACTTCACTTAGAGTAACGGCCTCCAGCTCCATCCAAGGTTGTAGCATTTCTTCCTTAAATGTTTGGCAGAATGTCCCAGTGACACCATGTGAATCTGGTGCTTTCTTTTTTTAGAATGTCATTATTAATTCAACTTCTTTAATAGATATTGGCCTATTCAGATTACCTATTTCTCCTTGTGTGAGTTGTTAATTTGTGTCTTCTGAGGAATTGATCCATTTCATATAAGTTACCAAATTTGTGGTCACAGAGTTTTATCTAGCATTCCATTATTATCCTTTTAATATCAATTGGATCAGACTGGTAATTTGTGTTGGCTCTCTTTATTTCTTGGTTAGCCTGGCTAGAAGTTTATCAGTTACTGATGGTTTTAGTTCCATTGTTTTTCCCTGTTGCTTTCTTAATTTCAATTTCATTCATTCCTGCTCTAATTTTTATTAATTCTTTTTCTTCTGCTTACTTTAGGCTTAAATTGCTTTTCTTTCTCTAGTTTCCTAATGTGAAACCATGTTATTGATTTTAGGTGTTTTTCTGTTTTCTAATACATGCATTTTAATGCTAAAAATTTCTCTTAAACCATGTTTTTTCTTCATCACCATTTTGTCCAGGTTTCAGACAACCAACCAACCATATGATTAGAACTACTCCCTGTTGCACTGTCTACTGTGTTGAATATAGAATCTCTGGTAAATTCACCTGTAGCCACAAATTAGCTGGTTCTAAAAGTATTTTTCTCTCTCACTGGTCTAGCTCCCTCCAAATTTCCCCCTAAATAGTTTCCACCAATGTATAATTAGCCAATCTTTTACCATGCAAGCATTTTCCTCCTGGGTTTGACTTTGCAATTCGCCACCTGGAAATATACTAGGATCAACTGTAGGCAATGAGATATTTAGATGAAACATGAGAAAAATGGTATCTCGTTGCAAGGGAACTACTTTAGAGGAGATACTATAGATGAGGTTTTTTTTTTCTTTTTTTTAATTATTATTATACTTTAAGTTTTAGGGTACATGTGCACAATGTGCAGGTTAGTTACATATGTATACATGTGCCATGCTGGTGTGCTGTACCCATTAACTCGTCATTTAGCATTAGGCATATCTCCTAAGGCTATCCCTCCCCCCTCCCCCCACCCCACAACAGTCCCCAGAGTGTGATGTTCCCCTTCCTGTGTCCATGTGTTCTCATTGTTCAATTCCCATCTATGAGTGAGAACATGCAGTGTTTGGTTTTTTGTCCTTGTGATAGTTTACTGAGAATGATGATTTCCAATTTCATCCATGTCCCTACAAAGGACATGAACTCATCATTTTTTATGGCTGCATAGTATTCCATGGTGTATATGTGCCACATTTTCTTAATCCAGTCTATCATTGTTAGACATTTGGGTTGGTTCCAAGTCTTTGCTATTGTGAATAGTGCCGCAATAAACATACATGTGCATGAGTTTTTAAGTAAGGCAGAAATAGGCTTCTCAAACATTGGGGTGAAGTTCCTTTGGTTGACAGAGTAGACAAGAGTACTGTTTTGAAGATCAGAGTACTTAGAATTATCTGAATCTTCCTAAACTTTCTCAATGAATGTGATTACCTTTACACAGAGACCTGATGAGGTGAAATAATTAAAATACACACAGAATTGGATTCTGCATTCAATTTTCAGCTACATGGACTCTGTGGCTGTAAGAAAATTTATTCTACTGTGATCATAGAAACTCTGGCTAACTATATCTTAGGCAATGAATTTAAAAGATTGGGCCTATTTTGAGAAGCAGTATTTTTTGTTATTGTTCAACTCTCTGTATTTTCTATATGCTATTTTTTTCTTACCTGAAAAAATCATATGTATGATCAGCTGTATAGAAGTGTGTTTTTAATTTCTATACGTATGGGTTTTTCTAATTGATTTTTTTTGTAATCCTAATTTCAGTGTTTACTCTCAGAAACTGTGATGGTCTGAGAGTATGGTATGGTAAACACTCCTAAATTTTTTTTAAACTTCAGATGTCTTTGTTTCACTCTCATTTTTGAAAAATCGTTTTGGTTTGTATACAACTTGTATACAATTCCAGGTTGATGGTTATTTGTTTTCTCATCACTTTCAGGTATTATTTCACTATCTTTTGGCATCCATTGTTGCTTCTGAGAGGTCAGATGTTAATGTAACTCTTCCTGTGTATACCATTTTTCTTTTCTCTCTGGCTGCTTTTAAGATCATGTCTTTGATGTTTTGTATTTTCACTATGTCTTGGTGGAGATGTCTTTTTCTTTATCTTTCTTGGCAACATTGTTATTCCTCAATCTGAAAATTCACGTTTTCATCAATTCTGGAAAATTCTTAGTTATATCTTTTAAATATTGTCTCCTACCCTGATTGTTCATTATTTTCTCTGAAATTTTGTTTGGACATATGTTGAACCTTTTCAGTCTAACCTCATTGTCTTTCAGTTTCTCTTTCATATTTTCTATATCTTTGACTTTCTATGCATGTTTTTAGGTAATTTCTTTAGCTCTATCTTCCATGTCATTAATTGTCTGAAATTTTGCTTTCCCATTCTGTTTAACCTTTTACTGAACTTTTGCTTTCCCATTCTGTTTAATCTTTTATTGAACTTTAAATGGTAACATTTTTCACTTCTGGAAGTTCTGTTTGATTCATTTTAAATTTTGCCTCATTATTTCAGTGTTTAAAGTATCCCTTATTATATCATTAAACATAGAAAACATGTTTGTCATATTCTGTACCTGATAATTTCAATATCTGAAATATTCTGGGGTCCAATTCTAATATCTGCTGTTGTACTTGCTATTTCTTGCTCATGGTGCCTTGTTTTCTGTTGTTACTTATTTGGAGATGATTTTTTCAGTCCTGAACTGAAGGATTGTTTTCTTCAAAGATTATTTGAGTGTTGTTTTGCCAGGTGCTTTTGGGCACCAGCAATCTATGACCACTTAAGAATAAATAATAAGATTATGATTTTTCCAGTTATACCACTAGTGTGAATTTAGGTTCTATATTTATGTGAAGGCCAATCTGTGGCATATGTTTTCAGAAAATAGTTATTTTCTTTCCATCTGTCCATTTCTTGCCAAAGTCAAGAGAGGCAGTTTTCACTGTTGCCACTTTTTATGGAATTTTTTTTTCTTTACTGCCTATTTTTTTTTTTTCTAGTTTACCACTTCATTATGGTATAGCCCTTTGAGGTCCTGGCTTTATATAGGGATCCTCTGTCTGACTTCTTGCCTTGTGAAGCTCTAGACTTTGTCTTCAGTCCTTACAGCAATGTCAAATACCACTCAGGGTCTCCAGGCAGTTAGAGATGTTCCCAGGACTTTTGGCTTTAGTGCTTACTTTTCTTGCTGGATTCCCTAGTTTGTACCCTCTTTGGCTTTCCTTACTTTCTTACCAGCTCACTAATGCATTTTACAAGATATTTTTATGTTTTATTCAGAATTTTTTTAATGCAGGTCAAGTAGTGTTCAGGGTATCTAATTTGCTATCTATCTAGAAATGGAGTTCAGGCATTTTCTTTTAATATTTGATCTCCTAGCCCATGACTTTCTTATAATTTGAATCTATAAATGCAGATGTTAACACAGAATGCATACTCTTTTATCTTTAGGAAAAAGGGATATGTTTACTGGCTTTGTTACTGTGTACCAGTTAGTTAGCCTTTTTAGCCTTATTCTAAAAATGAAAGTGATGGCTAGGCATGGTGGCTCAACGCCTGTAATCCCAACACTTTGGGAGGCTGAGGCGGCCATATCATCTGAGATCGGGAGTTCGAGACCAGCCTGACCAACATGGAGAAACCCTGTCTCTACTAAAAATACAAAATTAGCCAGGTGTGGTAGTGCATGCCTGTAATCCCAGCTGCTCGGGAAGATGAGGCAGGAGAACCGCTTGAACCTGGGAGGTGGAGGTTGCAGTGAGCTGAAATCACACCATTGCACTCCAGCCTGGGCAACAAGAGCGAAACTCCATCTCAAAAATAAATAAATAAATAAATAAAATTAAAAATAAAAATGAAAAATAAATGAAATTGATAATGATACCTACCTCATAGTACTGTTTACAAGAATTAAATGAGATAATGTACCTAAAGCACTCAGACCAGTGTATGGCATTTGTAGGTACCCCAGTTAGCTGCCCTCCTGTTCCCTGCTCCAGGACAGAGGACAGCTCTACAAAGGTTTAATGCTGGGGGAAAAGAAAACAAAAACAAGAAAAAAACCACAATGTTAATAGCTTTTTAAACAATGTACTCCTCACTTCTGTCACAGAAGTTAGTCACAATTCTTGGCTGCAGGGATAATTAAAATCATTCAGGGGAAGTGAGAGACTTGTCATAAGGCAATTTATTTTACTTGTCAGACAGTTAACTTGTTGATGAATTAGCTTGTGGTTTTTGGAAGTTGAGAATGAAATTCAACTCAGTAGAAAAGCCACTGGCCCAGTTGTGAGCATCTTTTTTGTTCCTAAAGAGATCTATAAAGGATAATAGAGAGTTCTGCTTAGGAAACATCTGAGAGTTCGTAGATTGGGAAAGGTTTACATTTGTTCATTTCTGGATTTATTTCTTTTGCTTACTCCCATGTCTTGAACATGATAAGCACTCAACAAATATTTGCTGAGTTAAGTAGAAGGTGGACTTGGTGGTGTCAGGATAAATTAAAGAATATTTATTCAAATTTATTCTAAAGCTCATTTAGAAATCTCTGGGATCATGATAGGGCTTTGGTAGTCATACTAAGTCTTGAGCTTTGATAACTGAAGATTCGGATAATGCAACAGAGATATGGTCCACCTAATCCTGAGGTATCTCTTATAACATATAGTGTAAATTTTTCTTTTTTCCCCCTTTCACTTAATTTTGAGATTTTTCACTTTTTGCTAATCTTTTTAAATGTTTTCCATCCCCAGTTTTGTGTCTGAAAGACCTCTAACCAGATACTCAAAGTATACATAATGTCCCCATACTCTCAGTTTAAGAATGTAACTGGCCAGGCACAGTGGCTCACACCTGTGATCCCAGCACTTTAGGAGGCTGAGGTGGGCAGATCACTTGAGCCCAGGAGTTCGAGTCCAGCCTGGGCAACATGATGAAACCCCATCACTACTAAAAATACAAAAGTTAGCCAGTTGTGGTGGCACACGTGTGTATTCCCAGCTACTCAGGAGGCTTGAGGTGGGAAGATCACCTGAGCCAGGGAGGTGGAGGTTGCAGTGAGCCAAGATCATGCCACTGCACTCCAGCCTGGGCAACAGAGCAAGAGCCTGTCAGTAAAATAAAATAAAATACAGAATTTAACTGTTATCCAGGTGTGGTGGCTCATGCCTGTAATCTCAATGCTTTGAGGGGCCGAGCTGGGAGGATCACTTGAGGCCAGGAGTTCAAGATCAGCTTGGGCAACACAGTGAGACCCTGTCTCTGTGAAAAAATAGAAAATAAAAATTAGTGGTGCATGGTGGTACATGCCTAATAGTCCTAGCTACTCCAGAGGCTGAGGTGGGAAGATTGCTTGACTCCACGAGTTCCATGTTACAGGGAGCCATGATCATGCTGCTGTATTCCAGCCTGGGTCACACAGAGAGATACTGTCTCTACTTAAAAATAATAATAATAATATAACTGTTAAATTGCTAAGATTTAACAAGTGGTAATGTAATTTCATTACATTCCATGAGTAAATTAGAAATAAATGTTCCACATCTATGGGCTTTCAGGTCAACCTATGGTTTGAATTATTTAATATATGGTTTGAATTATTTAATCAGTTTATTCTTAACCCTTTTATGCTAATTGGATCATTTTGAAGTTTTGATGACTTGCTATTCAAATGGTTTTTACTGGATATTGGTACTATTTGGATATGGTTCTTTACATTTTGGGGAAATGTAAAGGACATTTTGGGGAAAATTCTGAGAAATAGAAACTCTTTGAATGTACCCTAGAACCTAGATCAATAGAAGCTATGTCTGAAAATTTTGAAGGGAGCAGGTTTTATAAAACAGGAGATTGTTCTGATATTCATAAATTTTAAAGTACCTATCAGAAAATATAGTGACAATAAAATTAAAATAAGATATGTGCTCCATGTATACAAGTGCATTTATATGGTCAAATTGCAATAAGAAAGTTACTATATTTTTATTAGTTAAGAGTTCAATTGATATTTGGAGTAAATACTTTGATGGAGTGATCAGAAATGTTTACAATCTAGTCCTGTCACTAAAATAGCCATGTCAAAAGCATATCCTCTAATCATCCTGTGTGCACAGTATCGGTATGTGTAAGGCTCCACCTAGCTAGTAGGATGCCCTGGGCTTGGTGCCCCTTTTACAACCCCAAGGGAGTTAAAACTAGCAGTTATTAATGTTATCCTTTACCTGGAAGGGTTTTGTCTTTTGTTTTGTTTCATTTGTTCGTTCGTTTTTATTTACTTATTTGTTTTACAATGCATTATTTAACAATACCATGCTAATCTTGAAAAAAATTAAAGGAGAAACATTATTCAGTTTATTCAAATATTGACTACAGTTTTCCATCTTTTCTTGCCTTTATATACAAGTATGTACATTTTATATAGTTAAAATCATAATGTACAGGCAATTTGGATCATGCTTTCCTCAGTTAGTACTATATCATTCATATTTTCCCACAATATTGTCGACTCTTTATAGTAATTACTTTAATGGCTTCTTAATTCTCTATCAGGTTTACTACCACTTTTCAGTTGTTGAACATTTAGGTTTTTTTCAGTTATTTTTTTCTGATTACAATCAATGATACCACAAATTATCAAGTACCTTTGTTTTTTCTTATAATGATTTCTTAGAGATAAATCCCAGGAGTGGGGTTATTGGGTAAAAACAAAATAAAAATGATAACTTACATGTTTTCAGTACTTACCAAGGGCCAGGTTGTTAGTGGGGCAGGCCTTTACCTGAATTTAATTTAATTCTCGTAACACCCTTTCAGACAACTACATATAAGATAACTATGTTAAACAACTTAACTAAATGGGCATTGGAACTTTGCCATTCTGAAAATTAGAGATTGCCAACTTTGAACCACTGTTTGAGTCTCATGTTCTGGATGTATTTTACCAAATTTTCCTTGTAAAGAGTTATACTAATTTATAGCAGTTCTCCATTCTGTTCTGCCCACCCAGGCTGTAAATGAGAGTATGAATTTTATGAACCTTAGAAAGGGTTATGCATCCCCCCCATCCTCCGTTCCAAACTCTGTAAGTTTTGTTAATTTGATAGAAGCAAAAGGTACCCCATAGTTAATGATAGAATTTTGCCACTGGAAGGGAACTCCTGGAATATCATCTTATTGATTAATTAATTCAAGTTCAGAGGAGTGAAGTAATTTTTCCAATATCAACCCAGGGCCCACTTGACTCCCTTGACCAGTGACTTTTGCAATACACTTTGTTATCATCCAGATATTTGTATTTTCCTTCTATATGCTTTTTCTTGCTCTCATTTGGTCTTTGCCAATAGATACCAACCACAAATTTTGCAGAGCTAGCCCAAGAATAAAAGTTTAAAAACCGGCTGGGTGCAGTGGCTCACGCCTGTAATCCCAGCACTTTGGGAAGCCAAGGCAGGCAGACAGCTTGAGCCCAGGAGTTTGTGACCAGCCTGGGCAACAATGGCAAGACTCTGTCACTACTGAAAATACAAAAAAAAAAAAAAGAAAAGAGAGAGAGAAAAGCCAGGCGTGGTGGTACATACCTGTGGTCCCAGCTACTCGGGAGGCTGAGGTAGGAGGATCGCTTGAGCCATGGGTGCAGAGGTTGCAGTCAGCCCAACCTGGGTGACAGAATGAGATCCTGTTTCCAAAATAAATAAATAAATAAAGTTTAAAAAACAAAGCAAAATCTAGTCTATAAGATTCAATCAACTTCACTACTGGTTCATTTTTTATTGGGAATGGGGCAAGAGAAAAAATCTGAAAAAAAAATCTATGTTGTTTTAAAAGAGAAAGTGATTGATCTGACACTGGTATCACTGGTGAGACTTCTAATTTTTTAATAGATTGGGGTCTTGCTATTTTGCCCAGGTGGGTCTTGAACTCCTAGCCTCAAGTGATCCTCCTGCCTCAGCCTCCCAAAATGCCAGAATTATAGGGATGAGGCACCATGCCCAACCAAGATTACTAATTATGAGAATGTAGGACTAAATTACTAGTTTTCACATAGCTTTTAAGCAATTCCAAATTGAAAGATTCTCAAATTTAATTGGTTTCCCATGATTCCTTGTTTTTTGTTGAAGAAATGGCATGTTCAAAGTTAACAAGATATTTACTTACTAAGGCCTTGTGGGCTGTTGAGAAACACCTTTTGATATATAAATGAATTATGTGTTTTTCAGTGTCTTTATGCCAGCCAGTTTGGGGAGAAAGGAGACGGTAATTGAGCACTTAACATGTACCAGCTTTGTGCGTAACATACCTTCACTTATACAATCCCTAAACAGAGGTTTACAGATGAGAAAACTGAAGCCCAGAGAAGTTAATTGACTTGTTCAAGGTCAAAACAGGTAATTAGGAGGTGAGATGATATCTGATTCCATTATGGTTTGTTTTCTCATAGAAGCTCACTGATATCTTTTTCTTAATTTCCTAGTACAAAAATTAGGATAGTCAATTATAATTATTATGTTTTTAAACAATAAGCAGGTAAAAATATGTATCCTTTTCACCTTCAGTAAAGATGATTTCTTTATAGTGACCCTAAGACTAATTCTGAAGCAATTTTCTTAAGTTTGAGAATGTAAGTGATCAAATTCACTGTCAGATTTCTATGGAAACTATATGTCAAGATAACAAAGGATCTATTTGCTCCGTTTTCTTCAGGGCTGATTTCTTTAGACCTTATCATGCATGTGTGTGTGTGTGTGTGTGTGTGTGTGTGTGTGTGTGTTTGTTTTAAAACCTATCCCTTTTGCAGGTGTGGTATTCATCCCCTCAAGCATTTATCCTTTGAGTTACAAACGATCCAGTTACATTCTTTATGTTATTTAAAGGTATACAATTATTATTGACTATAGTCACATTATTGTGCTATCAAATATTAATAGTAGGTCTTATTCTTTCTTTTCTTTAATTTTTAATTTTTTATTTTATTATTATTATTATACATTAAGTTTTAGGGTACTGTATACAACTGTACCTTATTGAGGGTGTGCGTTCACATCTTCATTTTAAATTACTTTAATTCTATCTTCCTGTGTCATATTGTTTTCACCAAGGCTTACATTTCCTGTTTTCCAAAGGAAACATTTGAACTAATTCTTGGAGATGCATTTTTCATCTCTCACCCATGCAACTTCTCTTATTTTTCCTTTGGTAGGCTGTCCCTTTGTCTTTAATATTGCATTATGTCTGTCCCTCCTCCCTTTTTGCCTTTTATGTTAGTGTCTGGTCTGCCAGATTGTTTTTCTTCAAATCACATCCCTGAGAGTATTTCTTGGGTTAATCCTACTTTACTTTTGAACTCCCCTACACCTCGGATGTTCTGTCTTTTCTGGCCCTATGGCTTTCATAATGCTTCTCTGTATACCCTTCTTGCTTCCTCATTTACTAGACTCACTGATCCTGCGTTGTCCACATGGTTCACGTTTTTAAAACCAGAAACATCTGCATGGAGAGGAGATGCTAATAGTAAATAATTAAATTTAGCACTTCCCATGTCTTAGACCTCTTCATCAGTGTTATTTAGTTCTTTCACACAATAGTGGAGCTAGTAGGCCATATTATCTTTTTCCCCACTGCAGAAATAAAGAAGGTTAATGACCTGAGGAAATTGAGATAAACTGAGATCCAGTCTTGGAATTTAGTCAGTATTAAAGTTGATATTATGGTTCTTAGCCTTGACCTGAAAAAATGAACTAATACTGTATGTTTGTGTTCTATAAGACCATTGATCAGAGGTGATGATGTTTTGTGATATAGGAAAACTCATTGTTTGGTATATTAATCATTTCAACTTTGTGACTTTTTGTGACAGCTTCTGAGGCATTCCTTTGTACTATCTCTATAAATTTACAGAGGATCCAAAACCATTAAGTCTGCTTTGCCTTCTTCAGAAATCAAAAGATTGAGAAAGATCTGACCACATCATTTAATCTTCATATGCATATAACTCATTGCAAATAATACCATTGAAATGCCAGACCCATGATTCATCCTATCACTTCCTGTTTAATAAATATTCTGACTTCCAGTTCCCTGTTGAATTGAGGAAGCTCTCCTAGAGCTCTACCAGCCCTACTCTACTTTAAAGACATTTACTCTGTTCTTGTCTTATGCTTTTCCGATTCTCTCAATTTTTATCTCCACTACTGATTAGCTTACCAATCAGTCCATTCCAGTATTTTGCACTAAGCCTTTAACACGGTAGGAACTTCATGATTCTTTGTTGAATCAGTGAATCTCAAAGCTCCTCCTAGTGAGTTCTTTTCTCTCTCTCCTTTGAATCTTCCTAACGTTTGCCATGAGCCTTCTCTATGGCACTCTTTCCTTACTACACTCTTGATTTGAGTCATTAGCATGTATCTCCTCTGTCTCTTAATAACACTTTAATTCCTGGCTAGACATTTTGTGTTGCTGTAGTGTTAAGGCATTATACATAATAGATGCACTGTAAATTTTTGTGAACTTTGGCATATGTGAAAGTAGTGCAATTACATTTTTAAATATGTTCTATTAGATTAGATTTGCATGCCTTTTATTTAATCCCAGCAAAGGTGTTTTTACCTTATGTGTCTTGGATGTATCTGGAATATAGCTACAATATATGAATATTTACAGTATTTCCTCTGCACACTTGTTTTTGAAAAACCATGTGGCAGGAGATTTGTAACTGAAATATATGAGAATTTATGGCAAAAATAGTCTTAGGGGAGGTGAACTAAGACCTCATATATAAACATCTTTATAAAATTCTTATTTTTGTGTATCTTAATATTGATACCTCAAAAGAAATTTTTAGTTTTGTTTCATCCTAAAGTTTTAAAAAGATGCTCATAAATTGACTATGAATTTTTTGGCAGATAATATGGATACTAAGAGGGTGTTTGTTTTTCAATAGCTGGCCCTTCATCTAAACTTTCAACACCTTTCAGATTTTATACTGTCTCCAGATTTCACCATAGTAACAGAGATGAAAGTAATTTGGATGGAGACCTGCCTCAGAGATACACAGGTTTGGTCCTAGACCACCAAAATAAAGTGAATATCTCAATAAAGCAAGTCATATGAGGTTTTTGGTTTCACAGTGCATATAAACATTCTGTTTATACTGTACTATAGTGTATTAAGTATGAAATGGCATTATGTCTTTAAAAAGTACATACATTAATTAAAAAAAAACTTTAGTGGCAAAAAATGCTGACAATCACCTGAAACTTCAGTGAGTTGTAATGTCTGTACTAGTGGAGGGCCTTGTCTCTATGTTGACAAATGCTGACTAATCAAGGTGGTGGTGGTTGTAGGTTGAAGTGGCTGTGGCAATTTCTTAAGATAAGACAGCAGTGAAGTTTGCCATATTGGTCAACTCTTCTTTTCATGAAAGTTTTCTCTGTAGCACATGATGCTGCTTGATAGCATTTTACCCACAGTAGAATTTCTTTCAAAATTAAAGTCAAACTCTGCAGTTGCTTTATTAAGCTTATGTAATATTTTAAATACTTTGCTGTCACTTCAACAATGTTCAGAGCATCTTCACCAGGAATAGTTTCCATCTCAAGAGACCACTCCCTCTGCTCATTCATGAGAATCAATTCTTCATCCATTAAAGTTTCATCATGAGGTTGTTGCAATTCAGTCACATATTCAGGCTCCACTTCTAATTCCAGTTCTTTTGTTATTTCTACCACATCTGAAGTTACTTCCCCCACTGAAGTCTTGAACCCCTAAAAGTCACCAATAAGGGTTGGAATCAATTTCTTCTAAACTCCTGTTAATGTTGCTATTTTGACCTCCTCCCATGAATCACAAATATTCTTAATGGCATCTAGAGTGGTGAAACATTTCCATAGGTTTTCAATTTGCTTTGCTTAGATCCATCAGAGGAATCACTGCCTATGGCAGTTCTGGCCTTACAAAATGTATTTCTTAAATAATAATACTTGAAAGTCCAAATTACTCCTTGATCCATGGGCTTCAGAATGGATGCTGGGTTAGCAGGCATAAAAACAACACAAGTCTCTTTGTACATCTCTGTCAGAGGGATCTCTGCAAGGGATCTAGGTTGTGTGCTCCTTACGAGAATCTAAGTAATGCCTGATGATCTGAGGTGGAACAGTTTCACCCTGAAACCGTCCTCCTCGCCAACACCCCACTACCTCCACCATCCATGAAAAAATTGTCTTCCACAAAACCAGTCCCTGGTGCCAAAAAGGTTGAGGACTGCTAGAGTAAACCATGCTGTAAACAGATGTGCTGTCATCCAGGTTTTGTCATTCCACTTATAGAGCACAGATGGAGTAGATTTTGCATAAATCTTAGAGAACCTAAGATTTTTGAAATGGTAAATGAGCACTGGTTTCAACTTAAAGTCCAGCTGCATTAGCCCCTAACGAGAGAATCAGCCTATCCTTTGAAGCTTTGAAGCCAGGCATTGACTTTTTCTCTCTAGTTATGAAAGTCCTAGAGGGCATTTTCTTCCAATAGAAGGCTGTTTCAACTACGTCGAAAATCTGTTGTTCAGTGTAGCCACCTTCAACAATTACCTTGGCTAGATCTTCTGGAGAACTTGGTACAGCTTCTACATCAGGACTTGTTGCTTAATCTGGTACTTTTATGTTCTGGAGATAGCTTCTTTCCTTAAACCTCATGAACCAACTTTTTCTTCAGCAGCTTCCTCACCTCTCTCAGCCTTCAGAGAATTAAAGAGAGGTAAGGCCTTGCTCTGGATTAGGCTTTTGCCTAAGGGAATTCTGTGGCTGGTTTGACCTATCTAGACCACTAAATCTTTCTCCATATCAGTAATAAGGTTGTTGAGCTTTCTTATAACTTCTGTGTTCACTGGAGTAGAAATTTCTATTTTCTTCAATAACTTTTTTCTTTACATTAACAAGTTGGCTAACTGTTTGGTATAAGAGGCCTAGCTTTGAGCTTTAGCTTTAGACATGCCTTTCTCACTAAGCTTAATTGTTTTGAGCTTTTGATTTAAAATGAGAAACATGTGACTCTTTCACTTAAACACTTAGAGGCCATTGTAGGATTATTATTTTATTTATTTTACTTTTTAGAGTTGGTGTCTTGCTGTGTCTCCCAGGCTAGAGTGCAGTGGTGCAATCATAGTTCACTACAGGCTTGAACTCCTAGGCTCAAGCAATCCTCCAGCCTCAGCCTCCCGACTAGCTGGCACTACAAGCACATGTCATTATGCCTGGCTAATTTATTTGTATTTTGTAAAGATGGGTCATGCTATGTTGCCCAGGCTGGGTTTGAACTCCTGGCCTCAAGTGATCCTCCTGCCTCAGCCTCCCAAATTGCTGAGATTACAGGTGTGAGCCACCACACCCAGCCAAGATTCTTAATTATTAGCTAGCTCTAAAAGTTTCTAGCCATTTTGGACATTGAAAAACTCTGCTTTATTACTACTGTAATAAAAGCTGTTATTAACTTACAGTGAATGTCTATGTTTTTAGAATAATTTTCATAGAATTATAAAGTTTCTTGGCTGAAAGAATTTTAGGTTTTAACTATCTTTCAAGCTAACCATATTTTCCATATGATTTTGGAATCTTCTTTATAACACCCATGCCTTGTGGTCACCTAGGTATTTACTTGGATACAAGCCATCATTGAGAAGTTTTTACTGTTAAAAAAGTTTTTTTTTAAATTGTGCCAAAATGTATATTCCTTTGATCTCTCAACCCACTACCTCTACCAAGGGTACCACATTTTTACAACAAATAAAACAAATCTTGTCTCTCTCTTCCATATGATAGCCCTTCAGAGCTAGGAAGATGGTCAACATATGGCTTTTCCTCTCCATGCAAAACTGCTCTTATTGCTTTAAACATTGATCACAGGACATGTTTGGGCGGAGGTGAATCAGACTGATAAAGTATACAATCTTCGGCATCATACTCTGAAGGTTCAAATCTTATAACAACAACCTGCTAATACTGTGATATTTGCATAGTTATTATCTCCTCTGTATCTCAGTTCCCCAAACTGTAATAGGGAAATTGTGTTTATTCCATAGTATTGTTGTAAAGAAATAGATAAATAATTCGTGTAGAGCACTGGGCTAGATTAGACAGTCATTGTTCTGAACTTCCCATAAACTCTCTGTGTTAAAATATTTTACATTTATCCTCTTTGCCACTATGCTGGGCCTGCCACTGTGAGTAGAACATACTTTCCTGTCTCATTGATGTTGGGTTTAGCCAAATGACTTGCTCTACCCAATGGAATGTTAGCAGAAGTGATATAATGAAAAACTTTAAACATACTTGCATGGTTTTCTAGTCTCTTACACTCTAATGATCTTCTATAAGAACATGCCCCAGAGAGTCACTAGTACAAGGAAAATAAGAAAGCACACAAAGCTGATTCGAACCCAGTTTACAATCTGAAGCCAAGCCTAGCCTATTTCAGCCATATCCAGCAGAGCCGCAACTGACTCATGACTTTTGAGAAAAAAAAAATATTGTTGTAAGTCATCGAGACTTTGAGGTTGTCTGTTAGTATATTAATCAATTATTGCCACAATAGTGCTGCATAGCAAACTCCCCCAAACTCAATAGTCTTCAACAATAAACATTTATTCCTAGCTCCCTTGTCTACAGGTTGGCTGAGGTTCAACTGATCTAGAATGATCTTGGCTGGAATTCACTCCAAAGGCTGCTGATCGGTTCTGGGTCTGCTCCAAATATGCCCCTTCTTACTCAGACTAGCAGCTACCCAAGGCATGCTTATCTAATGGAGAAAGGCAGGAGTGTAGGAGGGAAAAGCCAACTAAGAAGACACACAAAAAGCTGGGCTTTTGCCTGTCACCTCTGCTAGCTTACCATTGGTCACAGAAAGTCCTGTGCTAAGTCCAAAGTCCAGAGGAGGGGAAGTAAACTCTGCCAACCATGAGCCCAAAACAAGTCACATAGCCACATTCAACATCAAATGGGGTGGAAAAGTATACACTTCCAATGGATGCAGGGGAGGGAGGAGTGAATATTTACTAAAAAATAATGTAATCTACACAGTTATGCAACAAAAACTAGTATAAGCACTCAAGAGAATGTTTGGTACATAGAAACTGGTAAACAAAGGCTAGCTGTCATAACTAAACATCATCACAGTGATTTCGGGTTCTTCTCCATTTTGATTGTTCTCCTATAAGTGCAGTTTATTATTGTCTCTCTCAAAAGTAATATGTTGATATAGAAAGCAATAGTTATATATGGTCTAATTGGATGGAATTATCACAGTTCTCATTCTATATTATTATTCGAAAACATCCTAAGCATTAATGTTTTGTTAGTACCTTCACTGTCACCTAAAATCCTAGTTTATCTTTCATCCACACTGATATGCAAACATCTCTTCCCATCAAGTAACCAATCATTTAGCTATATGTGTATTTAGGCCCATCTTGCTATATTTAATTTGGTTGCAGCCTGTTCAGATAGTTTTGGATCCTGACTTTATTACTTAGCACATCCCTCCCAACTTCCTGTCATATGTGCAACCCCTACCTTCATCCATGTCATTGACTGAAATGTATATTGCCAGTGTAGGAAGGAATGACTTGACTGGACTTGATCTACCAAGGGAAGCCGTGGAATCCCTACCCATAAGAACAGAGCCAACTGCTTCCAGCAAGAATAAACCTCCCAAAAGCCCTGCTAATTCTATGAATTCATCATTCTATGTTCTTCCTGCACAGCTGCTTGCAGCCTGTGCTGAGGCCA
Source organism: Homo sapiens (assembly GCF_000001405.40). Taxonomy (NCBI): domain Eukaryota; kingdom Metazoa; phylum Chordata; class Mammalia; order Primates; family Hominidae; genus Homo; species Homo sapiens. Next base: position 98,881,132 of record NC_000010.11, on the reverse strand, counting down.
GAGACTATAGAGAAAGGAGGGTGAAGGCCCAGATCTGGAAGCAAACAAAGCTATACTTCTGGGCAGGGATTATTGGGTCCTGAGAGCTGTCCTCAAATAGAGGAACAACGCTATGGGATAGAGAGAGCAGCAACAGCAGCAGGGTTTACATCCTTTGCTGGCATGGCAGACTTCCCATTGATAGTAGAGAGGATTAACCAATTAGGACTGGGAAAGCAATCTTAGGAATACCTGACAAAACAAACTAAGAAAATAAAATTTCTCACAGTTCACAAGATGGGGGCTTTTATTCATATTGATTTTGCTTCTTTGTTTTTAACAAAGTCATATTTAAACATGGAAAAAACCTCCAATGGTACAAAAGGATATGCAGTGCAAAATAAGTCTCCTTCTCATCTTCAGTTCACCTCTGGGGCAACACTTGTTACTTGGGTTCTGTAATGGCTCTGCAGAGTCATTTCCATGTAAAAATAAGCATATTAATTTATATATACTTGATAATCAAAAGGAAGCAGGGCATATGGAGTCATTTAATTTTGAATATTCATTTTGCACCTGGTGAGAGCAGGACATCTGAGTTACACATATGAAGCTCCTGAGATTCATAGAGGCTAAGTGACAAAGTCACAAGTCTAAAAGAGGCAAAAACAGTATCTGAACTGAAATGCCAGGCCTGGAGCAAGACCTAACCCTAACAGGCATGAGTTTACATAAAGGAAAAATACCCATGATGTGATGTAGTAAAGGTTTTCCAAATCTGTGAATAGGTTGTAGGTATTTGAAGGGGGCAAAAAAGAGTTGCAGGATACTTAGTTGTGACTATAACTCAAATCCATGCCCTGCAACCTCAGCCACACCGTGGCAACCTAAAGGAGTAACTGATGATTATTTTGTGTACTTTTTGAGTTGGGGATCTGGTATTTCTCAAAACCCTAAAATATTCTAACTGAAAACTGTCTTAAGAAAAAGGAAATGTTTCTATTTGAAATCCCTAATTAAAATCACATTCATAATTCTAAGTATTTTAAGAGAAAGTTAAAGAAGAAATTTACATCACAGAGATTATAATAAACACAGAACCTTGCCAAAAGACATGCCTCCAGCTGCACTGAAGTAACATCAGAATAGAGCAGCACTGCAGCTTCAGCAAGTGAAAGACTGAAGGCAAAGTCATGTACAGAAAGGCAAACAACTGTAATGTAAAACTCATGTTCCCTGGTGGAGTAGGATTCTGCAGAAACACATCACACACACACACACACACACACACACACACACACGCACATGCACACCAACTGTTGTTTCCCAGTATTAACTAAAAAACTGTCAACTGTAAGTCTGTTTTCTTGAGGTCCACCAACGCCACAAATGTTTGCTCCATAAAACCATTTCTAATTTAGGGACAAGCTCAATCAACTTGTGCCTGAAAATGATTCACATGGGTCTTTACACTGCAGAGCTCATTACTTCAGGGATTTCCCAGAGCTCTACATTCCTGGCTGCCTGCTCCAATAAGAGAATGCATATTTATTTTGCCAGGATACACATCATGGTAGGAAAAAAAAATCCTTCAAAATTCCTGTAATTCCTAAGAAATCCATTGCCTCAAATGTGGAATGCTATACCTGTAAGGGAGGAAAAAGTGCGTCCTCACCAGACACCAGCTGGAACAAGAGTAGTGTTTTCTGGTTTCTCTGTTGAAAATGTTTATAGTGTATGTATTGTGTATAGAGGCTTATTCTAGAAGCTACAAAGAAACAGAAGTAGTATATAGGAAATCACAGACTAGGAGCATCTCTTACAGCATGCAGATATGTGTGAAACACCTTAAAACAAACTACTGAGCATACAGACAAGTAAGAAATAAATAGTATACTTACATGTACCATGGTGTGACAGGGCTTCTTTTATCTGCATCCATGACTTCTATACCATTTACATGGTAAAAACTCCCATATCTTGCTGGCACTCTCCTCCTGAGCTCTAGACGTGTGTATTCACCACATTGACAGCTCCACTAGGATATTTCACAGGCATGTCAAGTGTAATGTTATCAAAGTTGGATTTATTTTGTCTTCCTCCCAATATGCTCCTTCTTTAGAATTATCTCTTTGATAAAGGACATCGTTCTTCTCCCAGTTGCTAGACATAGAAACAGTGAAGTCATTCTTGACTTCCCTCTTTCCCTTTCCTCTCTTGCCAGATATTTAATCTATCCTCCAGTCTCTCTCACTCATCTTTATACTGTAATCCAGTCTCTATAATCGTTTATTGGGGCATTTGCATTAGCTTCCTAAATGATCTCCTTGCTTCTAGCCCATTCCAACTCATTCTTGACTTGGAGCCAGAGTAATGTTTTAATTATACAAAATTGATTCGATCTCTTGTTTGTTTAAAAAACATCAGTGGCTTCCCATTATCATTATGATAAAGCATCACATTCTTAACATGGCCTATAACCTGTTGCATGCTCTGATCCCTGCATCATTCTCCAGTTTAGTCATAACTCCTCAACCACAAACTCCTATTTTCATTCTAATCAAACTAAATGTCTAATCACTAGGATACACTAGGATCTCTTCAACTTGTGGGTCATTGAACCTTCTCTTTCTTCAGTCTGGAACATTCTTTTACCCTTAGCCAACTTGTCCTGCTTATCTCTTATTCATCCACCAGAAAATAAGCTCCGTGAGAGCAAGTACCTACCTTGTCTTTCTTGTTTAACTGTGCCACCTAGCACTTAGAACAATCAATGCACAGATGCTCAACAGTACTTGCTGAGTGAATAACTAAATCTTTCAAGTCTCAGCATAAACATCATTTCCTCAAGGAGGCCTTTCATGACTCCCAGGAAAAAAAATAGATCTCTTTATTATATCCTCCTATAGCATTCTGTACATTGGCTATAACTTAGGAACGACTTCCAGGCAATACGTTGGAGAAGTTTGTTTTTCTTTTCTCAGTGATCACAGCACTGTGCTGGCTGTTGTCAAAGATTTGAAACGTCTTGTATATTTTGTCCAGGTTTTCAGTTGTTTAAGTCAAGAGGGTAATTCTGTTTCTTGTAATTCTATCTCAGCTGGAAGTGGAAGTTCCAGGTCACATAATTTCTCTTGGAATTACTCTATATTAGCATTCTCTGAGGTTTGGATTTTATTTCTCCCTGAAGTTAACCTTTTTCTCTTAGACCGCCTTAAACCTAGAAAGTTATCCATTTGGCTAAGACTTTGTTTTGTTTATTTCTGTATCCCCACAGCCCACAGCATCATGTGAAGAACATAATAGACACTGAATAAATTAAAGGTTGCATGAAACCTGCCCTGAACGTACCCTCCCTCATTGCATATCTGCTACTAGAACACAGGCCTGGGCAAATCACAATCCTACAAAAAATTGGTATGTTAGTTTTGGAAGTGAGAAAACTGCACATTTAATTTTTAGCTATATCGATTCTTTATCAGTTTATTCTTCATAATGATTATATCCTACTTATTATTTGTCACATTCCTTAGTTTTGAAATATACCTAATATTTCTTTTCAGTTATGATTTGCCAAGCACTATACTAAACATTAACTGATATAATCCTGCCAATAAACTTATGAGATGGGGCCTATTTTTGTTCCCACTTTATCGATAAGAAAAAGAGGCATTGAAAGATTAAACAAAATGTCAAGATAGCAGCTGAGAAGCAATGGAGCTAGGATTTGAACACAGAGAGTTTGAGTGTGCATTTTTTCTAAACTACCTAAACTGCTTTCTAGTACTTCTTGCTTCCAAGTAAGATTATAGATGGCTTACAAAAAAAATCTAGAAAACATATTATTAAAATAGAAATTTAAAATAAAAGTCATGGTGATAGGAAGCATATATTCCCTTAAGAACCCAAGCTAATATGTGCTACTGTAAAAGGACATTAACTTAAGTTTCAAGCTTTCCATCACTCAGGAGTAAAAAGGAAATTCAGTCAGTCAAATAAATTTCGTTTTATAATAGAACGAAGGACGCTCATTCATTTTCTAAAAAGAATTTGTACAGCAGGTTCTTATATAAGAGATATTTCACAACAAAAAATGTTTTTGAACATGGATTTTTTTTTACAAAATATTCAATAGCATGCCCTATATAAAGGTCATGCCTAATACTATTAATAAACTTCAGAGGTGTAACAGAAAAGCTCAGTGAAGACATATGTACAGGATATTAAGTAATGAGATTCAGGTAAATAGTCATCTATTGGTTTTATCTGGTCTGAGAATAGAACTTGGAATTCATAGAAAAGTAGAGAGAGGTAGTATGTCTTCAATTTCTTCAACTGTTAATAATCTCAGCTAAGATTGTAGCAACAATTCTGCAAGTAATATTTTGAGACAGAGCTCTCTAGTGAGTCAGCCATGAAGATATTCTGTTGATGCTGCTGCTTGCAAGAAAATTCATATGCTTTGAATATTAATGTACAGTTGGCAAAGTTGCCATTTATTATGACTAAAAAAATCCACCCTCAGTCTGCATAGAGTTAGGCTATGGGATGGCTGAAAATAGGCTCAATATTTTCCTTAAAAAGTAAAATAGAAAAGGTGGGTTTTAGCCAAGAAGATTCTATTGGTCTGCATGTCAGTTAAATGCATTAATTCATCATTCAACAAATATTTATGGAGTGCATGCCATGTGCCAAGTTATGTGCTAAGTTCACTGGTCACTAAGAAATTTTAGAGTATTTCCATGGAACATTTGATTTGGAAGGCGCTGCCTCTTGGTGGCCCTACCAGAACTGGTTAACTCATTTATAACTAACAGCCTAGCATAGCACTTTCCAAAATTTAGTCACCACCATAAGAATTTTAGCTATAGCCTTCTACTAGCTATACTATAATATTTTTCTCCACATTGACCACTTTTTTTTTACTTCTCAAATTTTGTTTAAACATAAAGTTAACTCCTTCCTATAATGGGAAACCATTATCACCTCCTAAAAGTAAGTACAATAGCTGACATTTATTGAATATTTTCTAGTGCTTCATACTATATTATTTTTCATGAATTAGGTCTTTGATCCTCACATGAACCCCATTAAGTAGGTACCATTATTAGACCCATATACAAATGACAGCAAAGAGACACAGAAGAAACCTACCCAAGAAATCAGTCAATAGTTAGCAAACCTGTATTTTTTTAATTCAAGCTGAGTGACTTCAAAGCCTGTAATGCCTAACTACTGTAGTATATTACTCTGTAAACATAGATACAAATGACAAACAAAACAATACTATTTAAATATAATTACATATTGTTGCCTGCTTGGTGAAGTTTTTGAGAGATAATCACCTAGTGCCAAACCAAGTGTTTATTTGATGCAAATAGAATTCACGGAGGATTGAAACTAGAATAACTTCCTGAAGTTTTCATTTTTTGTTGTGTCTCTGCCAGGTTTTGGCATCAGGATGATGTTGGCTTCATAAAATGAGTTAGGGAGGAGTCCCTCCTTTTCAATTGTTTGGAAGAGTTTCAGAAAGAAGGGTACCAGTTATTCTTTGTACCTCTGGTAGAATTCAGCTGTGAATCCATCTGGTCATGGTTTTTTTTTTGGTTGGTAGGCTATTAATTACTGCCTCAATTTCAGAACTTGTTATCGGTCTATTCAGGGATTCGACTTCTTCCTGGTTTAGTCTTGGGAGGATGTATATGTCCAGGAATTTATCAATTTCTTCTAGATTTTCTAGTTTATTTGCGTAGAGGTATTTACAGTATTCTCTGATGGTAGTTTGTATTTCTGTGGAGTCAGTGGTGATATCTCCTTTATCATTTTTTATTGTGACTATTTGATTCTTCTCTCTTTTCTTCTTTATTAGTCTAGTTAGTGGTCCATGTATTTTGTTAATCTTTTCAAAAAGACAGGTTCAGGATTCATTAAGTTTTTGGAGGGTTTTTGGATCTCTATCTCCTTCAGTTCTGCTCTGATCTTAATTATTTCTTGTCTTCTGACAGCTTTTGGATCACTTTGCTCTTGCTTCTCTAGCTCTTTTATTGTGATGTTAGGGTGTCAATTTGAGATCTTTCTAGCTTTCTAATGTGGGCCAATATCCCTAATGAACATCAGTGTGAAAATCCTCAATAAAATACTGGCAAACCGAATCCAGCAGCGCATCAAAAAACTTATCCACCACGATCAAGTCAGCTTCATCCTTGGGATGCAAGGCTAGTTCAACATATGCAAATCAGTAAATGTAATCTATCACATAAACAGAACCAAAGACAAAAACGACATGATTATCTTAATAGATCCGGAAAAGGCCTATGATAAAATTCAACATCCCTTCATGTTAAAAACTCTCAATAAACTGATATTGATGGAACATACCTCAAAATAATAAGAGCTATTTATGACAAACCCACAGCCAGTATCACACTGAATGGGCAAAAGTTGGAAGCATTGCCTTTGAAAACCGGCACAAGACAAAGACGCCCTCTCTCATCATTCCTATTCGACATAGTATTGGAAGTTCTGGCCAGGGCAATCAGGCAAAAGAAAGAAATAAAGAGTATTCAGAAAGGAAGAGAGGAAGTCAAATTGTCTCTGTTTGCAGACAACATGATTCTATATTTAGAAAACCCCGTCATCTCAGCCCAAACATTCCTTAAGCTGATAAGCAACTTCAGCAAAGTCTCAGGATACAAAATCAATGTGCAAAAATCACAAACATTCCTTTACACCCTAGACAAGCAGAGAGCCAAATCATGAATGAACTCCCATTCACAATTAACTCAAGATGGATGAAAGACTTAAATGTAAAACCCAAAACCATAAAAACCCTATAAGAAAACTGAGGCAATACCATTCAGGACATAGGCATGGGCAAAGACTTCATGATGAAAACACCAAAAGCAATTGCAACAAAAGCCATAATTGACAAATAGGATCTAATTAAACTAAAGAACTTCTGCACAGCAGAAAAAAAAAAAACATCAGAGTGAACACACAACATACAGAATGGGAGAAAATTTTTGCAATCTACACATCTGACAAAGGTCTAATATGAGGAATTTACAAGGAACTTAAAAAAATTGATAAGAAACAACTCCATCAAAAAGTAGGCAAAGGATATGAACAGACACTTTTCAAAAGAAGACATTTATGTGGCCAAAAAACATATGAAAAAAAGCTCAAAATCACTGATCATTAGAGAAATACAAATCAAAACTGCAATGAGATACCATTTCATGCCAGTCAGAATGGAGATTATTAAAAAGTCAAGAATAGATGCTGTCAAGGCTGTGAAGAAGTAGGAATGCTTTTACAAACTGTTGGTGGGAATGTAAATTAGCTCAACCATTGAGGAAGACAGTATGGTGATTCCTCAAAGATCTAGAACGAGAAATACCATTTGACCCAGCAATCCCATTACTGGTATATACCCAAAAGAATAGAAATCATTCTACTATAAAGACACATGCACCTGTATGTTTATTGCAACACTATTTACAATAGCAAAGACATGGAACCAACCCAAATGCCCATCAATGACAGACTGGATAAAGAAAAAGTGGTACATAAATACCATCGAATACTATGCAGTATTCGATGCATAAAAAGGAATGAGATCATGTCCTTTTCAGGGGCATGGATGAAGCTGAAAGCCATCATACTCAGCAAACTAACACAGTAACAGAAAACCAAACACCACATGTTCCCACTCATAAGTGGGAGTTGAGCAATGAGAACACATGGACACAGGGAGGTAAACAACACACACCAGGGCCTGTTGCAGGGTGGAGGGTGAGGGAAGGCAACTTAGAGGATGGGTCAATAGGTGCAGCAAACCACCATGGCACGTGTATACCTATGTAACAAACCTGCATGTTCTGCATATGTATCCAGGAAATTAGTGTAAAATAAAAATAAACAAATACAAATTAAAAAAAGAAACTAGAGTAACTTCCTCTATGGGATTCAAGTGTTATTTAATACCATATTCATGAACCATGTGAAATCAATTCATATACCACATAAAATTATACGTCCTATGCTTTGGGAAACAAAACTCCAGCATTAAGTAAAGTTAAATAGGGGCCCTTGTAACCGTGATGGCTCTAAGATGACCAAGTGTGGTCAAGTTTAGCCTTCTCTTCTTCACCTTCTAAACAGAGCAAGCAGATGCTGCTTAGTGTCCCTTCAACGGAAGCCACATTCTGAAATTTGCTGAGTAAAAAGATAGGAAGTAAATAAATCTTTGGGTCTTCAATTATTCATAAGTTTATTCATACAAGTTTACTGAGAAGTTACCACTTGCCAGAAACTGTTCTAGTTACTGAGAGTCAGTGATGAACATGACAGCTTCGTACTCCGAATTGATAAGAAATAATATCTAGAACTTGCTGTAGTTTTCTTAGCATTTTCCGGATATTTTCTTAGATATTCTAGTCAGCTATGGCAAGAGACAGAGGTGAATTGAAATTATCATTGCTCAAAATATTGTCTATGTACCACTGGTTGCTCTGAGTGATAGGGGGCAAATTTAATTTCCTATGGATTAAAAAGTATAACTAGCATATCAGACCTGAGATTTTACAGATGTTTTTACCCTAGGTGAAGTAAATATAAGTATTTACATTAAAAAGTAAGGTGCTTTTTTGTAACACTTTAAGTTACTCCAAAGAAAAATTTAAGTTGACAATAGAAAAGATCCTAAGTGGATATGGCAAATATGAAGATAACAGAAAATTGACTAAATTTCTAAAGTTTGAGAACCTCTGCCTCACGCTAATGCTGGGTATTATATATCTCATGTTGAACACCAGAATTTGACCTAATAATCTCTACAACACAGGAAGGAAGGGAGACATTCATTCTATCATTAGGGCTGGAGACAGAGTAGAGCAGGATGTCCTTGTGTTCCGTTCCTTTTAGAGGAATTTGATTATATTCCATTTCTTAGTGAGGGGAAAAAGCCTCTGCAGAAAACGGTCCTTCCTTTTCATCCAGGCTGCACATCTCTTTCTTGACCAGTATTTAGTACTAGTCCATATAGTAACGGACCTCACAAAAATGCCTAAATGGTGGATACAGTGGTATATAGAAGAAAAAAAGGATTTATCCTAGATTTTCAAAGTTTCTCTTCTGGATAGAGGTGGGATATAAACAAGGACAAAGAAGTAAATTGGTAGATTTTCATTTTTGGGCCAAAATCAATTTATTTTTTGCATTTAGTATTTTGTATTTTCAATGCTTTCCTATCCAGTTTTCAAGGTTCAACTTCTATTGCTGAGGCTGTTTTCACAGTAGATACAGTCTCCAGTTTGATTAATAAGTCCCAGTGGCCTTTTGTTCATGGAGTTGTCAGCTCTACCAAAGATAGGCAACATTTTTACCTGCTTTCCTCTAGTAGTCAGTTTTCCAGAATCCCTTCCTTAGGCTGTTTTTCTGCTTGGAATAACCTGCCCTACTAAATCTGCCTGTCCAAATCCTTCCTTCTGTGCTCTAATTAAATGCTGCATCATGGTGTTTTCAGCATGAATTTAGTAAATATTCATTTAATCAAGGAATAAATAATTTTAAATAAAATATAATTCTGTAACATAATTGCTTAATTTTGTATATTTGCCATTAAATGTCATTAAATTATAAATAATATTAAATACTATTAAATTATTCCTAACATGCCTAATAAGCCAAGAAATTTTAGCTAAAAGTATACAGTTTTTTTTAAGCCAGTATCCAGTAATACCAACACTTCTATGGATATATGAAAGAAAAGCATCTGGTTCTGTCTTGCTCCCTATGAGAGGGTAAGGACCCATTTGGGTGCACCTCCTAGCTGTACTTTTCGTATCAATTATGATGGATGTAGTCAAGAGGATCTATCCTTAAGTATGGGTTGTATGGATTAGAGCCCCAAAATATAAACTGGGCATATAATCAAAATCCATTTATTGAGCATCTATATTAGGTGTTTTTCATCCACTATCTGCATTGCCATAAAGGAATACTCGAGACTGGGTAATTTACAAAGGAAAGAGTTTTATTGGCTCTTGGTTCTGCAGGCTGTACAAGAAGCATAGTACCAGCATCTGCTTCTGGTGAGGGCTTCAGGAAGCTTACAATCATGGCAGAAGGGAAAGGGAGCCAGTGCGTCCCGTGGTGAGAGAGGGCAAGAGAGAGAGGAGGAAATTCCAGCCTCTTTTTTTTTTTTTAATAATTTAAAGATATCACTGTGAACTCAGAGTGAGCACTCACTCATTACTGCAAGGATAGCATCAAGCCATTCATGAGGGATCTGCCTTCATGAGGGATCTGCCTCCATGATTCAACCACTTGTCCTACCAAGTCCTAGCTCCAACATTGGGAATTGTGATTTGGAGGGGGCACACATCCAAACTCAGTATCAGTATCTCATGACAACAATTTTTCAAAGTAGGTAGAATTATTCTCATCATATGGAAATGGAAGTGAGATCACTTTCCTAAGGTCACTTAACTGTAATTGTCCGAGCCAGGGTATAAACTTAGATCTGTACTTGTACAGGCTTTATTTTTTGCATTTAGTATTTTGTATTTTCAATGCTTTCCTATCCAGTTTTCAAGGTTCAACTTCTATTGCTGAGGCTGTTTTCACAGTAGATACAGTCTCCAAGTTGATTAATAAGTCCCAGTGGCCTTTTGTTCACAGAGTTGTCAGCTCTACCAAAGATAGGCAACATTTTTACCTGCTTTCCCTGTACTTGTCCCATTACTTTACCCTGCTTCTTAAAGGTTTCCCGAAGACACTGTGGCTTTAGCCTTGGCTGCTGCTTAATGGGTAGTTTGAGAGCCAGCTCAGATCTCTGTAGCCATACACCCTTCTGACTCTAAGGACATCTCAGCTGCTTTGGTTGCCAATTAAATTATACATTCAACTTTGGGTTCTGATCATTGAAAGGCAATGTAATAAAAGAGGAAAACACTGGATTCCTGGGTTCAATTTTGTTAGAGTTCACAATTAACCGTATATTCACTGGATAGTTTGTTATTTTCTGACATCTTTCTACATTATATGTGACCTATTATTAGGTATATATTTTAGACCTGCCTCCCCTAATAAAATGACAGTTTGCAAGCACTATATTTTTCTAAATCCGAAGAGTTAAAACTTACACTACAACATTAAAAAACAGAGTATGTAATGAAATAATACTCCTGATAAACATTTATCTTCTTTCTTTTTTTTCTTGAAGCTCCAAGTCAGGCTGTCTCAGGTTGTTGCTTTTATATGCTATTGATTTCCTATTGTAATAATTGAATAATAGACTTTGACAGTATGCCTCTCAATACACTTCGGAAGGAAACTATGGCTGAGAGGAAAAGAGAAATTACTTGCCCATGATCACACAATTTATTTAGTGTCCAAGTCAGGATCAAAATTCTTATTTCTTTAGGAAATGGTATGTTTATTCCAAATTTGCCACCATTGGTTCTCCCTGGGCACTACTTTCTGAGTCTGTGGCATATTATTGTAAATACTCTCACTGGTGGTAAGTCAGAAGGCAATCTGGAGCCAAATTAGAGAAGAAAGTCTGTGACGGAACTGTATAATCACATTTGGAGTAAAAACCAATTCTTAATTACAATAGAATGAAATAGACTTTGTTCATATGAGGCCATAACATAAAGGTCTGGAAGCTAATTCCCAAAAACCAAAGGACAAAAATGTTTAGAGTGATAACAACATTGTTGTAGTAAGTGTCTGACTTCATAAGAACTACTTTAAAGGGATTAAAACTCATTTGGACATTAGGGCTCTGATATGCTTGTTTTAAAAAGATGTCTTAATAATGAAAAGAGTTTCAAGTCACCAGAAAAAGTATTATAATTTTTATTTAACTAAAAACATAGCTTCAAAATATATAAAGAAAATCATGACAAACTACAAGGAGAAACAAGCAAACATATAATCATAGTGGTATACTTTAAGATACTTTCTTAAAAACTGACCAAACAAGCAGACAAAAAAAAATCACTAAGGATATAGAAAGTTGAATCTCAAAATGGCAAACACATTGTTTTTGAAATAAATAGATGACTCGAAAACACACACGCGTGCGCACACATACACATACTCACATGCACACATACGCACCACACACACACAGAGACATGCACACATGCAATTGGGCACCACAAAAAGCAAGTCTAAATACATTCTAGAGGACTGAAATAATTTAGAATGTAGTTTCTGACCACAAAATAATTTTAAAAGATTTTAACTAGAAAAATCCACATTTGGAAATTCAAAAACTCCTCTAGTAAACATTAGTCAAAGAGAGAAGTATTAATCATGAAAATTAGGACATTTTTGAACTTTGTAATAAAAATACAACAATCAAAATTTCTATGATACTGCTAAGGTAGTACTTTAGAGAGAGAATTATCATGCTAAATGTATATATTAGAAAATCAAGAAGACTGGAAGTTAATGTGCTGAGCATTCATATTAAATTTTTTAAAATTTTTTAACTTTTGTAGATACATAGTAGGTGTACATATTTATGGGGTACATGAGATATTTTGGTACAGGCATGCAATCCGTAATAATCACATCTTGGAAAATTGGGTATCGATCCCCTCAAGCATTTACCGTTTGTGTTACAAGCATTCCAATTATATTCTTAGTTATTTTTAAATGTATGATTTAATTACTATTGACTACAGAACCCTGTTGTGCTATCAAATACTAGGGTTTGTTCATTCTATTTTTTTTATTTGGACCCATTAACCATCCCCACCTCCCCGCTGCCCACACCACCTCCCTACTCTTCTCAGTCTCTGGCAATTATCCTTCTATTCTCTATCTCCATGAATTTAATTGTTTTGATTTTTAGATCACACAAATAAGTGAGAATATGCGATGTTTGTCTTTCTGTGTCTGGCTTATTTCATTTAACATAATAACCTCCAGTTTCATCCATGTTGTTGCAAATGACAGAATCTCATTCTTTTTATAGCTGAATAGTACTTCATTGTGTATAAGTACCACAATTTATTTATTTATTTATTTATTTATTTATTTATTTATTTATTTATTTTCTTTCTTTCTTTTTTTTGTGGAGATGGAGTCTCTGTCACACAGGCTGGAGTGCAGTGGCACGATCTCGGCTCACTGCAACCTCCACCTCCTGGGTTCAAGTGATTCTCCCGCCTCACCCTCCAGAGTACCTGGGATTACAGGCATCTGCCACCACCCCTGGCTAATTTTTTTGTATTTTTAGTAGAGACAGGGTTTCGCCATGTTGGCCAGGCTGGTTTTGAACTCCTGACCTCAGGTAGTTGGCCTGCCTTGGCCTCCCAAAGTGCTGGGATTACAGGCATGAGCCACTGCACCCAGCCCACAGTTTCTTTATCCATTCGTCTGTTGAACACTTAGGTTGCTTCCAAATCTTGGTTATTGTCAATAGTGCTGCAACAAAAATGGGAGTGCAGATAACTCTTTGATATACTAATTTTCTTTCTTTGGGGTGTATATCCAGCAGTGGGATTGCTAGATCATATGGTAGCCTATTTTTAGTTTTTTGAGAAACTCCAAACTGTTCTCTGCAGTGGTTGTACTAACTTACATTTCCACCAATAGTGTACAAGTTCCCTTTTCTCTACATGCTCGTCAGCATTTGTTATTGCCTGATTTTTGTATAAAAGCCATTTTGACTGGAATGAGATGATATCTCATTGTGGTTTTGATTTCCATTTCTCTGATGATCAATGTTGTTGAGCACTTTTTCATATGCTTTTTGCCATTTGTATGACTTCTTTTCAGAAATGTCTATTCAAATCTTTTGCCCATTTTTAATTGGATTATTAGATTTTTTTTTTTTTCCTATAGAGTTGTTTGAGTTCCTTATATATTCTGGTATAATCCCTTGTCAGATGGGTAGTTTGCAAGTATTTTCTCCCCAAAATTTCTTTATTCCCTTTTAGTCTGAATGAAGTGCTTTGGTCTCCCCAGACTGTTATCTCTATCTCCTCAAATCAAGGAGATTACTAAGGTCCTTTCACTTCATCGTCTGTGTGTCATGACCTATAAACTCTGTTAATGCAGAAAGCTGAAAAATTACAGTGCTCACCTTATTTGGTTGTCATTTCTCTGTGTTCACTGTCCTTTATTGTCTGGTTGCTCAAACCATTGTAAGTCGGGGACTATCTGTAGTTACCATTTCCAGTACTCTATATTATTTCATGTTGATACAGATTTCTATTTGTTATTATTTTCATTCTGCCTTAAGGACAATCTTTAACATTTCTTATAGTTCAGGTATTCTGGTGATGAATTATTTGTCCTTCTGTCATTTTGAAAATGTTTTTATTTCATCTTCATTTTTTGAAAGATATTTTTACTGGCTATAGCATTCTAGGTTGACAGGTTTTTTCTTGTTGTTGTTTGTTTTATTCTTTAAGTACTTTAAATATGTTGCTCCTGTTGTCTCACTTGCATTGTTTCCAGTGAGGAATCTGAAGTCTTACTTATCTTTGCTCCTCTGTAGGTAATGTGTTTTTCTTCTCTGTCTACATTTAATATTTTCTGTTTATTATTGGTTTTGAGCAATTTAGTTCCTTGGTATAGTTTTCTTTATGTTTCTTATGCTTAGGATGCTTTGAGCTCTTTGAATTTGTGTTTTATGGTTTTCATGAAATTTGGAAAGTTGTCTGCCATAATTTCTTCAAATATATTTTTCTGACCTTTCTTCTCTCTGTTCTAAGACACCAATTATCTCTATGTTAGGCCACTTGAAGTTGTCCCAGAGCTGACTGATGCTCTTTTCATTTTTTTGGATTCTTCTTTCTCAGTGGATTTCATTTTGGATTGTTTCTAATATCACTCCTTCAAGTTCACTAATGTTTTCTCTTGCATTGTCTAATCTACTGTTAAACCTTTGTGTATTTTTTGTCTCACACATTGTAGATTTCATCTCTAGAAATTCAATTTGGATATTTTAAAATATTTTTCTTGTCTCTCTTAGAACATATGGAAGTACAGTATGTCATTCTTTGATAATTCTAACATATCTGTCAGTTCTGAGTTGTTTTGGATTAATTGATTATTTTTCATATCATGAGTCATGTTTTCTTGACTCTTTGCATACTAAGTAATCCTTCATTGAATGAGAGATAATTGTACATTTTGCCTTGTTAAGAAGTACATATTTTTGTATTGTTCTGAGCTATGTTTATGGAGAGTTAAGTTATTTGGAAACAGTTTGATCCTTTCCTGTCTTGCTTATATGATTTGTTAGGAAGGGCTGGAGCAATGTTCAGTCTAGAGCTAATATTCTCCATAACTGAGGCAAGACCTCTCTGAGTACTCCGTCTAATGCCCTATGAATTATGATTTTTTTCAGGCTTACTGGCAGGAATAAGTACTATTTTCAGTCTTGTAGAACACATTATTCCTTATAACTTTCAGATGATTCTCTACCTCTGGTAGTTTCTTCATACTCATGTGCTTATTTGTATTCTGCTACATATTTGAGAACTTTCTGGAGATGTCTAGAGTTATGTCTCCATGCATCCCTTTATTTGCTGTTAGTCTGAATGAAGTGCTTTGGTCTTCCCAGACTCTTACCTCTATCTCCTCAAGTCAAGGAGCTTACTAAGCTCCTTTTCATCTTTTCTGTGTCATGACTTGTAAACTCTCTCAATGCAGAAAACTGAAAAAATTACAGTGCTCAGTTGCTTGGTTGTCATCTCTCAGAGTTCACTGTCCTTTGTTGTCTGATGTTCAGTGTTTTGGAAACCATTATTTCATATATTGAATCTGGTCCTTGTTACTTTATCTTGGCCAGAAGTATAAGTCTCTCATATCTTTTTTCTTTAAACTACATTTAGTGACTTACCAATTTGGAAGTATCTTAGGAATCAGTTAACATACCTTCTAACTTAAAAATCTGTGATTTTATTTTTTTCTATGGCACCTAGATTAAATTCCTCTGGTTGGGAAGAAAGGTTCTCAGCTATAATTTAATTTAAGTCTTAGTTCCTCTCCTAACTAGGAGTATGATTATTGGGTTTCAATTGAGATCATCTCTTAAGAATCTTTTTAATGCCAACATTTTATGCATCTGTCTCTTGTGACAACATTGATAAAAACACTGAACAAAAAGCATGGCTTGACATAATTACATATCATTGCTGCCTGCTAGAATTACCCAAGAGTAAAACTTGCTTTCACATAACCTCTAAGGTGTTGAAGAAGGAAATGGTCTGCAAGCCATATTTCTTTAAATTACTTGGACTTTAGAAAATGAAAATGTCAAAACATTTAAAAATGTTAAATAATATATGTTTGATCAATAATACTGAAAGATTATTCTATACCAAGCCAGCAAAACTTTGCAGGCTTAATCAGACAATGAATGTCAAAGAAAAAAAACCTGGTCATACACATAGCAACTTTCAATGCATAATGCATGGCTTTGACACTGTCATTCTTTAAGGGCAGCTTGTGTTTGTGAGTGTCCTATTAGCTGCTCTAGGAAATGTACCATGTATAGTGTTTCCACTCAGTCCTTGTGTGGACTTAATGAGACTAATGAACTGGATAACTTTATTTAGCCTCTCTCAGTCTCAGTGTCATCTAATAAAATGGGAATAATACTCACTTTAAGGATTATATAAGATAATGAATATAAAGTTCCTTGGCCCATATATTCTCAATAGAAGCAATATAGCCTTCAAGTTGGTGAAAAATTGGTACTTGGTGGAGTGTGTGTGTGAGAAAACTTAGGTATTACAATGGTTCGTTCTCCTCCAAAGGTCACAGTATGAACAGTATAAAATAGATATATAGTATATGTGTAGTATTAAAATTTCATGGAGGACAATTAAGAAAAATAAATATCTATAAGGGGTCCTTGGGGAGATGATAATTTAAAAACGTTGAGAAGCTCTGCCTTAGTCTAATGTTTAGCCATTGCTTATTATTAGCTTATTAGTTTATTAGTCATCTTAAGTTTCCTAGTTCTGGGTTGGTCACTTAGAACCCAGAATGCATTTTCTATGTAAGATTAGTGATGTAAATTAATGATTCCAAACATGTGGACTAGAGGTTTCTGGGAATCTCAGAATTAGAAGACGTTTTTTAATTCATTTACACACAAATCATCAGCTATAGGCTGAATAAATTTTGTTTTGCATAGTACGTGTATATATATATTCATATACGTATATAGTACATATTTTATAATATGTACAACTTCTTGAGTATATTTATGATGATGGTGAATAATAATGAAATTCACTTAAAAGTTTTTGGGTTCACAGCAGCTCTCTTCATTTTGTGTTTTCTCAATTAATAGATTCTAAAAAATCCAACTACCATCATTTGAGAGCTTGAATATAAAATATTTTTCTATTAGCAAAGGCTCATTATACTTCATATAAGGTTTGTAAACACACTTATAAATGACAGTTAGGGGTTTTAGGCCAGTCATTGAAGGAATATTTAACCCATAGGGTAGCTAATCTGTCTTACTAATTGCAGGTAGGCTTGAGCATCTCTGAGACGATCCCTTTCTAAACTTGAAACAGGAGGCTACAGAAGAAGTAGAGGCTGCCTGTAGGTTTCTTCTACTGACTAACCTTCAGTGGCATTGGACAGGGTGGGTAGGAGGAGCCAAGAAATCACAGTGCATGTACATGTGGGTAGTTCACAGGACAAGTTTTCTATCTTTTTATCTATCTATCAAGATATCTATAACTGCTTCCCAATTCCACTCTCTCTCTCACACACAGACACAGACACACAGATACATACAGACACTTTATTTTTTTTTGCCAGGTCTACTCCTGTTTTCTAGGCACTGGAATTACTGACAAGACCTCTCAGAAATAATGTCAGTTATTTGGCACATTGGAATTCCCTAGATTCTATTAAATGCTTTGTAATTTTCTTTTCCAATTTTTTCCAAGGCTTGGGTCTCATTGCCTGTGATTTTTTCTGGGAACCAATGGTCAACAAAAATTTACCCCTTTTCTTCTCTTTTCAACTACTGACATGTTTCATTCCTGGGGGAATCAAGGATTTTCCTTTCCACTTAAAAACTACATTGTTGGCCTTGCACAGTGGCTCACGTCTATAATGCCAGCACTTTGAGAGGCCAAGCCGAGAGGATCACATGAGCCAATGAGTTTGAGACAAGCCTGGGGAAAATAACAAAACCTCATCTCTAATAAAATCTTTTTAAAAAGTAGCCTGGCACAGTGGTACATGCCCACAGTCCCAGCTACTTGGGAGGCTGAGGCAGGAGGATTGCTTGAGCCGGAAGTTCAAGGTTACGGTGAGCTATGATCACACCATGTCCCCCAGCCTGGGTGACAGAGCAAGACCCTATCTTTACAAAAAGAAACAGCAACAACAGCATTGTTTTCACCTCTGGTCCCAAGAGTCCTAATCGCCCCTCCTTAATAGTTGTCTCTTGCCTACTCTACTCTTTTGGGGCTTCATGTACAATTCCGATGTTTTATCCCAAAAGCTTCTATAGGGATTCTTCTCTGCTAAGCCTAGTATATCCTTCCATGATCACTCTCCCAAAAGCATGAGAGAACAGAACTGCAGATTCTAAATTAGTAATCTGATAATAGCCTTAAAAGGGTGACTATTTTGAGTTCATCATCCACATTTCAGTATGAGATTAACAACACCATGAGATAGGACAAGTATTACAAGTGCCACTGTACATATCAGAGAGATTAAATATCAAGTTAAAATCTAATAAGTGGAAGTGTCAGGACTTCAAATGAAATTTTCTGAATCCAAAACTAGGGATTTTTCTGTTTCTAAGGACTGATACTTGGAATATATGAGACCCCCAAGTTCTTACCAATTTGAAGATCATGGATAAAACTCTTTAATTCTCTATTTCTCTCTCTGGAAAAGCTGCCTTTTTTCTTAGGCTCTCATGCTGTGTGCCTGATTCCAGTGCCCCTGAGGCTCAAGATTGCATTAGAGCCAGAGATGGGCTCAACCTATCTCCGCACAATGAGATATCTATCTGAGCTTTGGTTTCAGCGCAGCCAGTACCACTGTTATGGATTAAAACAGAATGATTTCTTGTTGTGTCTGTTAACCAATATTTAACTAACAGCACATACTTTTTGTCAGTCCAAACATGGATTTTTCACCTTGATATTTTACTGGACAACTCACTATTCCTGCAAACGCTAGAGGGCCTATATTTCAAAGATCCACTCCCACCAGCTGATTTTTAAATCATGAGACATCTTGGAGTAATAACTAACAGTTGCCACGTTCTTTACCATTGGTGATACAAGCCTGGTGCAATGTTGAGATGTGGCCCTCAGAGTCCTTTTTCCTGCATCCCCTTTTGAAAGCACCCAGCATCATTATCTTTTGATTGTCCAGTGACCCTGTGGTATGGCTGCCCTCTCATATCTGTCCTCTCCTGCATCCCTGTAGATTCTTTCTTGACCTCATATCTATCAAAATTTATTACACATTATGTCAAAAGGCAAGTATTGAATGCTGCCAAGGCCCTTTCTTGTTCTAGGGATAATTGATGATGTAGAAAATAATAAGTAATAATGAACAAAAATGTGTTACTGAATTAACATGCATTCGGTATAGTTTTCAAGCCAAATTGTGCTGTGTTCTAGAAGTTCTATGGTGGTGCCCTAGGGGTCCCTTGGAGGTGGAAGGATTCTAGAGCTTCATCTTTCCTTGCCTCTCTACCCTCTACTGCTTCAATTACAAGATATTTCATTTCATTGATTTTATATTATAATTTGGACTTCCATATAGGATTTTGTTAAATAAAATATCAGCAAATAAGAAAGACTGGAAGATCACTGCCTTAACCCCAAAGAGAGATGAATGTTGGGGGCTTCTGTTTCTCTGGCTTGATCTTGTATAAACAAGATAATTTCTTCAATTATCCTGTTTGGCTATACTTAAGGCTTGCTTCAGGTAGTTATGTAGATTTGAAAAGAATGTCTTGGTTATGACTCACTTTGAATAGCAAATAAAACCAAGCTCCCTATCAAACATGTTAATATCTTTACCACCTGAGGAATTATCTCCATTAGAATGTTTTGTTTAATATCAGGAGCCAACTGCCTTTGCATTCATTCACTCAGTTATTTGCAGTAGATGCATTTGTGAAGCACCTGCTCTGTATGATGTAATGGATTGTATGTTTCTTGCCCTGAATGAGCTTAAAATTCACATTTTGTTTATGTATGTGCCTAAGGTTGGGAGTGCAACATGTAAATTAGAACACAGAGTAAAATGAACTGAGTACTTTTATAGACAAATAGAGGGCTCATAAAACCATAAATACAATTATTTTGAACTTGTGGGCATGGGGAATCTTGGAAAAAGGCTTTATGAAAAAATTGGCATTTTAATTAGGCCTTAAAAGTTGAAAGGGCTTTCAAAAGTTGCAAAAGAGGTTATAGCCTTGTGGTTAGTAGTTAATAGCATAATATCTGAGATTGTGTTAGATTTCTAGGGTTTATGTCCTAGCTCTAGCACTTACTAGAAGTGTGACTTGGAGCAAGTCTGCGTTTCAGTTTCCCCATCTGTAAATGGGCATATTAATAGTAATTATCTCATTCTGTTGTGTGGATTAAGTAAAGTAATACATGTAAAATGCTTAAAACATGTAGAAAATGCTCAATTTTCTTAACTCATAAATATTAGCCATTTTTATGGTTTTTCTTGTCGGGGAGAGGTATTCCAAACTGACTGAACAGCATGAGCAAAGGTAGAAAGTATGACTTTGAAAAGTATGTTCTGATATTCAAAGCTTCCACAGCTGGAAATGCCACCAGAATTCTCAAAAGAATTCAAGGCATAGACTTTGGAATTCTATTAACACCACAGCACAACCACATTTTAAATGATATTGGCTTTTGCCAGCCAACCTGGGAATGTAATAATATTTTATAAGAAGGATCAATGTATTAGTCAGAGTTCTCCAGGGAAACAGAATAAATAGGGAATATATAGATATATAGTAGTCCCCCCTTATCCATGAGGGATACATTCCAAGACCCCCAAAGGATGCCTGAAACTGTGGATAGTACCAAACCCTAAGACACTATGTTTTTCTCTTATACTTATATACCTATGATAAAGTTTAATTTATAAATTAGGTACAGTAAGAGATTATCAACAATTAATAAAATAGAACAATTATAACAATATATTATAATCATAGGCATATGAATGTGATCTCTCTCTCTCAAAATATCTTACTGTATATAGTAATTTTGGACTGTAATTGACTGAGGGCAACTGAAACCTCAGAAAGTGAAACCTCAGATAAGGCAAGACTACTGTTTATATATAGGAAATTTATCATGGGAATTGACTCATGTGATTATGGAGACTGAGAAGTCCCACAATATGCTTTATGTAAGCTGGTGGTATACTTCAGTCCAAGTCTGAAGGCCTGAAAACCAGAGGTGGCTATGATTAACTTCCAGTCTAATGCTGAAGGCCTGAGAACCTGGAAAGGGAGAAGAGGGTTGGTCTAAGTCCTGAAGTCCAAAGGCCTGAGAACCAGGAACTCCATTGTCCAAGGGCAGGAGAAGATGAATGTCTCACCTCAAGGAGGGGAGAGCATTTCTACTTCTCCACTTTTTATACTATTTGGGCTCTCAAAGGATTAGATGATGCCTGCCCACATATGTGAAAGTGGACTTTCTGCACTCACTTTTCTAATTTAAATGCTAATCTCTTCCAGAAACACCCTCACAGATACACCAAGAAATAATGTTTTATCAGCTATTTGAACATCCCTTAGCCCAGACAAGTTGACACATAATATTAACCATCACAACCAGGAAACTTTTAATGTAAAGGGCCAGATAGTGTATATGTGTGTGTATATTTAAGGCTTTGTGAGTCATATGGTCAAAACTACTCAACTTTGCTGTGATGTGTGAAAGTAGCTGTAGGCAATACATAAACAAATAAGCATGGCGGCATTTCAATAAAACCTTATCAATGGATGTAGAAAATTGAATTTTCTCTATGAAAAACAAAATTTAAAAGTATTAACTTGGCACAGTGAAACGCACCTATGGTCCTAGCTACTCAGGAGGCTGAGGTGGGAGGATTGCTTGAGCCCAGGAGTTGGAGGCTGCAGTGAGCTATGACTGTGCCACTGCACTCCAGCCCGGGCAATAAAGTGAGGTCTCGACTATGAAAACGAAAAACAAACAAAAAAAACACAGATGATAGGCTGGAGTTAGCATGTGGACTATAGTGCTGATTTCTGATTTGTAACATTGTTTCCATGGTGCAATGTATTCTGCATTCTAAATAATTAACTTTGAAATAGAATTAAAATACAACCTGTTGGTAAGGTAGGTAGGGGTTATGTAGCCTCTATTTCTTCTAGCAGCCCCATCTGCTGGTTGGTCTTATCCACAACCACATCGTCGTGAACTTAGATTTCTTGGAAATCATTCCCCTTACAAATGATTTGTAATACCAACTGCCATTTATTAGTAACACTGAGTTTGGGACCCTTCACACAATTCCACAGAGGCTTTTTCAGCAACTTTTAATCTCTAGCTTTTAGCCTCATATACAGGCCCACTGTTCCTTCTCCAAATCTGCTTTACTCTAATGTCCTGGTGAATTATTAATGAAAATTGTGGCATTAAAACCATGGAAGTCAACCTACCAAATATAGGAATGAATTTCCTATTGCCCAATTTGGTTTTCTATTAGTTTCCCTAAACATATTACAGATCTGTAAAGTTGCCAAGGAATCAAAGCTTAATAATCATGCTTCACAGGGGTTTTGTTTTTGTTTAACAGGCTGCTAATTGCCAACACGTATTCTATTTCAAACTATCAAGGTCAAGAGTGGCAGAATTTACAGTTTCTGGGTCATCCTTTGTCTTGATAGTTGGAAAACCAAATTTCATCTTTCAAAGATTGGGATGTGAATAATTAAGACAAATTCATTCACATAGACATTCAACAAGCATTGTTGTAGCATTGGGCAAGCTACTTAAACTTTCTGAGCCTCAGTTAGCTTCTCTATAAGATAGGAAGAATAGCTAGTTTGAAAGATTGTTAAAGATTGAATGAGATAATGTATGATACTTGATAGCTATTGATAGCCATGAATATTATTTGATCGCCATTATTATTTGCCTCTAAGACCAGTGGTTTTCCTTTATAAAATTATATTTTTCTCAAATAAAAATACAGCCCTCACATTTTTTCCTACTCAAAATATTTTGTGAGATTGCATTATGTTTTATGCTTATCACTTGGACATTTTATAATCTAGAAAAGACTCTATGCCTTACAAATGTAAATATTCTACTCTGTATTCCCTGTTTCAGATAATGGATAAATATGCCAAATTAAACTGTCTTCAATCAAGTCCTTGGGTCCCTCCATTATTAGTACTTCATTATTAAAAGTCACATACATTTAATTCTCATCTTTGCTTCTAATTATTAGTATAATTATTTTTCTATTAGAAGACACAACTCCATTGAGATCCATGACACAGTTTTTTTAAAAGTCATTTTATGCCTTGATTTTTGGTGTGTACGTGTTTACCATTCTGTATTTTAAAACCTCATTTTTATGTTGTAAATATTGCACTCATATTAATCTACACTGGGGAATGATTCAAGTTTGTGGTGTTTAATGTTCTCAACCAATAAAGAGATATTTCCAGCTCTAGAAGATCATACTGTTTCTATTCGAACTCACAATTGGAGGACTGGATTGCCTTCACATTATAGTGAGCCATCATCTAGCTTATACAGACATATAAAGGTGTTTTATTTCTTTTATTACGTATAGGTCTGGCTGCAAAGTACAGATAAGAACTCCTGTCTATCTGTGCAAGTAAGGTACCCACAGAGGACTGTGGAGTAAAGTTAATGACCCTAGAATAAATAGGAAGGGCTCATCTTCTTAAGGTAGACAGAAGATCCAAGAGTAAGATGATGAATTAGCCCAAAGACCCCAAAATGGATCTGACTTTACAGATTTAGTCTGCTATCTCCTGAAAGATGATGCCTCTGAGTGACCCTACTAATTCTAACATTTTGTGATTAAGACTTGATGGACATGGACCTGGAGAGAAGAATCAGCTGAGGAGAAGTTAAATGTGAGGAAGTGATAGAGGAGAAAGAAGATATTATCCATATTGTGGAAAAACTAGATTGCCCATCGGGTCACTGAGTGTTGGCCAGATTGCAGCTAATTATTGGCTGTCTTGAACAACAGGGATTCTCATGTGGGAATAATACAAAAATAGTTCCTAACACAATGTTTCTGATTTTTTACTTAACATAATGAATGACTACATGTGGGGTGACTAGGAAACAGTTGAAAAAAATCTCTATTTCTCTTTCATATTTTTGAAAATAATCTTTGTAGTGATAAAACGTACATCACATTTACCATTTTAAACATTTTACAGTCCAGTGGCATTAAGTACATTCAGATTGTTGTACAGCCATCACAGCCATCCATCTTATTCATATTCTGAAAGATTTTTTTTTGCTTATGAAATTCTAGGTTAACAATTCTTTCTTCCAGCATTTATCTTCTGGTTTGCATGGTCCCTAATAAATCTACTATAATTCTTACCTTTGTTTCTTTCTATGTAATGCATTTTTTTCCTCTAGCTGCCTTTAGGAATTTTTATTTCCTTGGTTTTCAGAATGTAAGTTTGAATATATGTCTATGTATTTTTGTTTGCTTGTTTGTTTTAATCTGGTTTAATGTTCTATAAGCTTTCTGAATCCGCTTATTCAGTCACCTACTTTTTGCCTCTGGAACTCTTAACATGTTAATTATAATTGTTTTTAAATCCCTATCTGATGGTTCTCACATCTAGATTATATCTGAGACTTATTTTATTGATTGTTTTGATTCTTGTTAGGGGATTGTTTTTCTTGCTTCTTTGTTTGTCTTAAATTTTTTGGTTGAAAGCCCAACAATTATGTGTAGGACAGTAGAGACTGTGTTAAGTGGTATTTATGTCTGCCGATGGGTGTACCTCTCTTTCTGCTAGGCCTTTAGTATGTATAGATGATGTTTGAGTCAACCTCAGGAGTTTGCATTTTATGGTTTGGATTTTATTGGTAGCTGGGTTTGGATTTTATTGTTGCTATGGTTACCTCATTGCAATGTCAGTGTCAAATTCCTGTATCATTACCTTGTGCTTAGGTAAGGGCTGCATTGCCAGAGGATTTTTCTCAATGTTCCTGTAACATCCTCAGCTTCAGGCATTCCTTGTGAGTCTACACCTGAAAAGAGGGTCTTCCTTCACACTCTTGACTCCTCAGTGGTAGATTGCCACTATTTGTTACTCATTGCTTGCTAGCTTAGTTGGGAAAGGCAAGGGACAGGGGTTCAGCCTATGTTGTTCAGGTTCAGCCTTAGTCTTAGATTGGCATTGTGTCTCTGGGTCTTAGAGGTGGGGCTTTCTCGTCAGTCATTTTTGTTTCATTCTGGTTGACTGGGAATCCTTAATGGTCTGAGCCCAGGACTGCTTCCTGCCCCACCCACAGAGAAGTAGGTATTTTCTGTTTCCTTTTCACGGTTGCAATGGGTTTTCAACTGTGCCCTGAGAGTCATAGGGTATATTTCCTGTCCCCTAGGAGCATGGAGCTTTTGTACCTTAAAGTTAAGAGAGGACAAAAGGATCTGAGCTGGGCTTTGTGCCTTTCCCAGAGTGGTTATTACCACCCTTCCCACCCCCATTTCCAGGCCTGAACCACCAAGGGCAGCTCTCCTTGGTCTTCTGCCTTGTCTCCCTCCTCTCTATCCACAATCCCCACACACCCAATCATTTTAAAGCGTGCCCAGTGAGATTTAGGGATAAGAACCTGTGAGTAAATGCAAAACTCTTTTGTGTGTGAGACTCCCAGGTGTTCTATACACTCATACTAGTCCATACTCCACCTTTTGCAATATGTTGGACCTCTTAGCTGAGTTCTTACCAGCTTGTATGGTGCTTGGCATCACCTGGTCCCATTTTCTGCAAGTGCAGGTATTTCTTCTCTTTTTGGAGGTGCCTGTCTGTAGAATTCATGCTAGTTGGTTGCCCTGAGATTTTTTAACTTTCTCTGACGGGATCTAGATCCTGTAAATTATCTTCTAAATTTTCTTGTCATTAAGGTGACAGTGAAGTTCTTTATAGCTTCCCGTATCCTAAGTAAAGGTCAAAACTCCAGTGAGTTAACATTTGAACTTTTAAAGATGTTGAATGATTAATTTTTTTCCCTTTTTAAGCTTTATTGGTTATTATAGGTAAATATGATGTATAAGAATCCTCAGTGGTTTAAAATACCTTCCTATAAAACTAAATCTACAAGTACAGAGACTTGGTTTTTCTTGCCCATCAGCTAGTAGTGAGTGCCCTCTCTCTTAGTGCCCATGGATCCTGATTTTCATGTTTCTCAATATGTTACTTACATGTTATATGTCCTTTTCTTTTCTCTCTACCAGAATTTCAACTCCTTGAGGGCAGCAGTTTTATCTATTATTCATATTTGTCCTTCCCCGTGTCCCCCTAGCTGTTTATGTGTAGCAGTAGGTACATCCATGTTTGGTGAATGCCAATTAAAGAAATTTATCCTCAATTATAAATCACTGCACTACTAGGTCTTTAGTGTGTCATTTGATTTCCTAAATGAGAAGTTGAAAAGTTATGAGTTGGCCTTGACAAGCAAAGAAATGCTGACCTGTTACAGCTAATGACGTTACAGCTAATGATACATTAAAAAGAAAAACAAAACAAAAACAAAACAGATTTCAGTCTTCTCTGTGTGACCAGCACTTTTAGCAATTCATAATTGAATCTCTTGACCCTTGAGATAATTCTCTCTGCTTGATTACACAGTAAACCATTTCTCATAAAAGAATCATCAACTCATAAAATAGTCATTACGATGCAAAGTGCGTGTGAAACATGCAATATAAGTAAAGTAGCCTAGAGGAAATTAAGAAAAAGAGCAGAGGCCATTTAAGAAATCTTCACTGTTAAACTCTCATTCTTAACTGTAGATCTTCTTTTCCCAGAGTAATGGAAAAGAGGCAACTTTTTTGTTGTATTATTCTAGATCACTTTTCTTAATATTTTTAAAATTATTGAGACATACAAGTATTACTTATTTTCTTGGTACTTCTGATCAGCCTACTTAGAAAAAGACCAGAAGGACGATGAAGAAGATAATAATGTTCCCTTTCACTTGTCTTACACTTTACAGTTTACAAAACAATTTCACGTATCTCATATGTGAGATAGTTGGGACCCTTAGTTCCATTTAACAGATAAGTAACTGAAGCTCAGAGCAAAGTCATGACTGGCTCAAAAGGCCACACAGTTAGTAAGAAGTAGGGTTTGGGTTATCGCTTGTGGCTTAGCATCATACATTTCCTCTTTATAACTGCCTTTTTATAGTTAGGATTCATATATGTATGTTTCAAATATATGCAATAGTACAGTGGGCAGTTGGGATTCATGGGAGTGATACAACTTTTACATTTTCTTGGCCATTTTATTCTAAATCATGCCACCTCACTATGGCAAAACATTTTTCCTAATGATATGTGCGGAAAAGGGACGAGATGAAAAGAAAGGGGAGGTGATAAGGAGACAAGATAAAAAAGGAGAGAAAAAAGAAAATGAGAAAAAAATAAAGATAGGGAACTCTTTTTCTTGCTGTCCACTGTCAATATCAAAGGCAATAATGTTGACTGGGAGAACTGGGATTATAACTGAAATCTCAGGGAGTTTTGTTTGCTGAAGCACTTTCCTTCTCTGGAAAGGAATGAAACAAATTATCTCAATGCCTTCTTTGACTTTATGGCAAAAAAGAGGGAAAACATCTCCTCTTTGTGTTTTCTTTTAAAGCCCCTCACAAATGCTGGAAATTTTTAGTGGAAGTTGTACTATTCCTCCTCATTTAGCTGTGAAAATAGAATGGCTCAGCCTTCCATAAATTGCCTATTGCATAAGAAGTTTTCAAAGAAGATTAATGACAAAGATATTTATGAAAATGTCTCTGTGACATTTGCAACTATTCAGATATGTGGCTTTTGCCATTTGTGTTTAATTTACATTTTAAAACTTTTGTTTTGTAGCTCAGTCAGACAACATAAGGCCCCAAAGAGGGCCTTAAAGCTGTGTAAACAAATAAATAAATGATCCAGTGTAGGTTATATGCATATAGGTGACTTCTTAGCTCTTGTTCAAGAAGGTCAGCAAGCCCCTAGTGGCAGGTGTATATAAGAGCTCATCTTACTTTTCCCAATTTATTTTTTCAGTTTCTTCCTTTAGTTTATACGTTGTTTTTAGAAAAAATATAGGGCTACAAGGTGTGTAGAAAAAAACAAACTAGTTTCCTTCTATTCTCACACCACAACAGTCAATACAAGAAGACTTCTGTTACATATGGGAGACTTCATTGAATAGGCGTGATTGAAGCAGGGACAGCCATGTAGAAATGTAATTGGACAAAAAGAGTATGATCTAATACTAATAGACTGAGTGGGGAAACCCAGCAAGGCCTGTCTGTTCAAATTCTTCTTGGCCTCTGTATAGCATTCTTTTCTCTTGAGTATGGGGCAGGGTTCATTTTGAATTGGGAGTCTTAAGCCAGGTACAGTGATGCACCCCTGGCTACCTGGGAGGCTGAGGCCAGAGGACCACTTGAGCCCAGGAGTTAAAGAGAAGCATAGGCAACATAGTGAGATCCTGTCTTATGACCTATAATCAGACAAGGTAGGTCAGAGAATTCTTTATGGCCAGCTCCAACACAAAAAGCTTGGGGAAGATTTCTGCCTTGGGCAGAAAAGGTAGCAGGTGAAAGGAGGACTGGATAAGGTCAGAGTGAGAGAGATTCTGTTTTCTGAGACCTAAAGTGCCCCAACATTGTAATAAGGGCTATGGGAGTTATCAGCTGGGAAGGATGGATGAAAACCAAACATATATACACACACACACACACACACACACACACACACACACACACACACACACACACATCATAATATACAAGGTTTGCAAAACCTTCCTGTAAAGAGGATTAGTTTTTTAAAGTAAATGAATGTGCGAACTGCTGTAGCTGGACACCGGTAGTGCTGTCTGCAAACAGTCTGACATGAATTCATGATAAATCTTAAATTTGAAAGTCATTTTTAATTTCCCTTCCTGGTTTTCCTCCTAATTACAGTATCTGTTTCTCCCAGCTCTCTTAGAAGACAAAGTAAGGAAGAAGCATTACCAACCTGGTTTTGTCTAGGTAATAAGTGATTTTTATTACTTAGGATACTTAGTTGTAGTGTAAAGAATTCCAGATATAATTGGTATGATCCCATATTGAAACTTTCTTGGAGGTGGAAGTGAGCTTATTTGTATCACAGTTAAAGAAAATACTGGTTTACTGTTTGTCTTAATGACTCAAGAAGTCAACATTCTAGCTAGATTTTAAGAGAAATATGTGTTGGATTAGGGAATTTTTTAAGGAAGATTCCCTCAAAATGCAGAGGAATCTGGGAAAGAAAGAAGACACAGTGGTGAAAAGCCAGGGAGGGACTATAGAGAAGGGATTGTTCTATGTGACAGACATTTGCTCTTTGTAGAAAGAAGAAAAGCAGAAGAATCCAGGAAGTGGCTACAGGAGAAGCAGGTGTTGGTTATGGAACATATTTTCTTGAGGAATGCCTTTCTGGTTTGTGCTGAACAAAAATGTGAAATCTTTTCACTTCATGAAAACCTGTGAAGCAAGAGGTTAAGGATAAGTGAGAAGGGAGACTGTTGAGGTATTCCAGAGAGAAATAGCAGCATCCACAGCATCACTAAAATTCAGAGGCCCCCTCTCTGCTCAGCTAGCCTCCTTGTGTCTTAGGTAACTTCCTGCCTATGTCTTCAAGACCTTTTGGAGATTCACTTCAAATATTCTATAAGGTCCAGAACACATGGCTATCTCTCCTGAGGTACTTTTTCCTTTTAAATTTATCTCTTCCCAACATGTATGGTTAGCAGTTTAAGCCATGCTATCACTATGTGGAATAATCTCAAAAATACAAACTGTTAGTTTTCAGATGTTTAGTTTCACTCGCATTGCCAACTCGGTTTGACATTAATTCACAGTAAATCCTAAGTTTTAGAGTCATTTTTAATCCCCTGTTCTTGTTCATCTGCTAATTACACATCTATTTCTTCCAATTATCTTAGAAGACAAAGTAAGGGAGAAACAGTGTCTACTTGATGTTGCCTAGGCAAGTTATTCAATGTCTCTGATATTTCTCATTTATAAAATTGCAGTTTGCAGCTATTGCATCAAACTGTAGCAATATCCACTTTGCAGGGGTATTAGGAAGGTTAAACTAATAGTTCCTTTTTTTTTTTTTTTTTTTTTTGAGATGGAGTCTCACTCTGTCACCCAGGCTGGAGTGCAGTGGCGCGATCTCCGCTCACTGCAAGCTCCACCTCCTGGGTTCACGCCATTCTCCTGCCTCAGCCTCCCGAGTAGCTGGGACTACAGGCACCTGCCACCACGCCTGGCTAATTTTTTTGTATTTTTAGTAGAGACGGGGTTTCACCGTGTTAGCCAGGATGGTCTCCATCTCCTAACCTCGTGATCTGCCCGCTTCGGCCTCCCAAAGTGCTGGGATTACAGGTGTGAGCCACCGTGCCCGGCCCAAAATAATATTTTTAACTCACTATAATACCTGGATCTCAGTTTGAGCACTGGAGTTTACCAGTTGGCACCAGAAAAGCTATTTTTTTCTAAAGTTACTAGAACTGTTCCTATTAATTCTTTCTTTATCACTTCTAGGCTATACTTCTCAATTATGTAAGAACTTTGAATATCTGTTGAACAATGTCAGATAGAAATATGGAATGTATAGCTCACTCTATATGGGATGATTTGTGTGCTACAGAGAGGCCTTTTTTTAATCAGAAAACTTCTCTACCATTAGCATGTATAAGACTAGCGCTTTTTAGCAAAGTGATGCCATTGCTGTATTGAATTTACCTTTTTCATAAGCCAAGTAAGAATAAATATTTTTGAATTTGATTTTCTTATTTTTACTTTAAAAAATAAGATTGGCTGGGCGTGGTGCCTCACAGCTGTAATCCCAGCACTTTGGGAGGCTGAGGCAGCTGGATCACCTGAGGTCAGGAGTTCAAGGCCAGCCTGACAAACGTGGAGAAACCCCGTCTCTACTAAAAATACAAAATTAGCCGGGCATGGTGACCCATGCCTGTAATCCCAGCTACTCGGGAGGCTGAGGCAGGAGAATCGCTTGAACCTGGGAGGCGGAGGTTGCAGTGAGCCGAGATTGCACCACTGCACTCCAGCCTGGCGACAGAGCGAGACTCCGTCTCAAAAAAAAAAATCGAGGAGCTTAAATAGGGCCAACTTAAAATACTTTATTTTATAGCCAATTACAAATTATTTCTATTTATTCATTTATTAAGAAATAAGAATGGGGTCTTCCTAATTCTCCAGTTCTCATCTTTCCTTTCCCTTTAGGAGAGGTTATGGCCGTAGTAAATCCTTGACTTTTACTTCCAAAGCCTTTGGTGAAGCCATTTCTTAATTTCTTGGTGATGAATTCAGATAGATTTCTTGCATAATTTATCCTGAACCCTGAAATGTATTGTCTTTTGTAAGCAGAAGGATGGTTGTCAGATATTTCCAATCTTAGCTTACTCTTTGGCTTATTTACTCTGATTCTGTTTAATGATGGTGTTAAATTATATTTGCTTAACCTTTTGCAAGGTGCAGAGTACTTTCATATATACCTAGTGTTATCCTTCACACATGTGCTTATATATGTGTGTATATGGATGTGTGCATACACATGATGAAGTACCTCTCTGTCAATTACACAGACTATGGTGAAAGTTATTTAACTGGGAGGGAAGGAAGGTATCATTAACTTTCATGTTACTAATTCTTTTTCATCTCCTCTTTATTACCCATATTCTACATTAGATGGTTGATTTTGGACAATTGCTTAACCTCTTTGGACTTCAGTTTCTTCATTTTAAAAAAGGACATAGTAACTCACTGCCCTATGTGAACAATTGCTTTGTAAAGTGCTATGAAATTATAATTTTTTTTTTTTTGTCTTTCCCACTCGACTGTGGGCGTTGGAATTGCAAAGTGAAAATCTAATTCACTTGTGTAAACCTAAAGTACTTTCAATATAGCTGGCCCTCAACAATGTCTTATGAGATGAAAAAGTGGGAAGAGTAAAGAAAGAGGGGAAAGCAGCAAGGGTAAGGACAGAAGGGAGCACAGAAGTTAAAGGAAAAAGAGAAGGTGTAGGAAAATTCTTCCCTGCATGTGGTACTTTTTCATCGTGGTTGAGTTTAGCAGGTGAGACTGTTGAAGCTAAAGGAATGCATTGCAGCTAAATGAAAGTTAGCCTTACTTTCCTGCCATTGTCTCAGGTCCTGGGCGCTCTCACTCATTTCACTCATTTCCATGGCCTCAGAAATAAGGAATAGAGCAGTAAGGAATAGTACATGTTTCTTGTGGCCACAAGACTAACTCTGACTCATCTGTTTTGGTGTAGCAATAAAAATTACCAGAATATAAACAGTAAGCAAACAATTGTTTCTTAAGAGTAAGAGATGGTGTTTATGAGTTTCCTTTGATCTGATTTCCTCTTTTTCTCTAACCTTGCTGCTCTTTGACCTTATTTTTTTAATTTTTTTTTTTTTAGACAGAGTCTCAATCTGTCACCCAGGCTGGAATGCAGTGGTGCGATCTAGGCTCACTGTAACCTCTGCCTCCCAGGTTCAAGCGATTCTCCTGCCTCAGCTTCCTGAGTAGCTGGGATTACATGCTCATACCACCATGCCTGGATAATTTTGGTATTTTTAGTAGAGACGGGCTTTCGCCATGTTAGCCAGGCTGGTCTGGAACTCCTGACCTCAGGTGATCCACCTGCCTTGGTCTCCCAAAGTACTGGGATTACAGGCGTGAGCCACCACACCTGGCTCTTCCTTAATTTTGAATCCTTGTGTTCAGCTACTCTCATACCCTGAATTAACTCCCTTGGCTGTGAATAAGTCTGTTTACTCTGAGTTTTAATCTTTTAACGACTATTTTTCACCTGAATTATTTTATGAATTATATGCACAGAGAACATCTAGCTAGTGCATAAAGTTTCGTTAACACTTTTTAATTGATATGCTGGTTCTTCTCATTCTCCCATCCCAGTTGAGCCACACATTTCTTGTGGGAAACTTAAGTCTGGTCCCTGTTTTCCACAAATAGTAAAGGGACCACACAGTCTGGGTATTCTAATAAAGTACCATTTAGGGAAATTTCATTGACAGACCATTTGTTCTGATACTAGTCTGATAAAATATGGTCACACAGACATGTCATAAACTGGTCTGCAGAGTAGATCACATATCATACATAGAGCAAGCAAGCATTACCTAAGGCAGAGGTGGCAAATAACTGCTGCATGTATCACCACTACCATTTTTCCATCCCTTGCCATAGCAGACATCAATAAGCTATCATGATTCTTTTTCCCACTGAATTTACACTTTGCCTAAGAATAGAGAAATGTATTTCTAATCCACGCAAATTGGCACATAAAGTAAAATACAATAGCCATGCCTGGGGTAGTGGTCAAAACCATAGGCTTCAGTGTTAGGCAAATTTGAGTTCAATTCCAGCTCAACCACTTATTACCTGTGTAACCTCTCTAGCGTTAATTCCCTTCTCTATCAAATGAGGATAATAATACTTTTAGGGTTGTTACAGACATTAAATGCGACCATATGAAGCACTCGGCAAATTCCTGATGCATAACAGGTGTTCAATAAATGGTAGCTACTATTACGATTAGAATTAAATGAGTTACCAGATATATTTTTGAGAGGCAGTATGAGCCATCTCTGATGGAAAGGCAAGGGGACATAGACTCTACTCTTTATGCAGCATTCATATAGCTCTGGCAAACCTCTTACTAATTCTGAGTTTGTATCTTCTGTCAAATGTTGTTATTGAATCTGAAGGTAAATGGTGAACTGAAGAGATGACTGTGCCAGACAATGCCAGGATAGCTTGGGTTAACTTCACCCATCAGTACTCTTCCTCTGTAGTTGATGTTTGCTTGAAACTTCTCTGAGATCATGACGTCATTTTACCTCTGCATATACACACCCTCTGATTTGCACAGAATAATTTTGTGGAATTTGTCTCCTGGACTTTAAGTGTGAACTCTGTCATTGGAAACAATGTGTCAGAGCCGGGCACAGTGATGTGTACCTGTAGTCCCAGCTACTTGGAAGGCTGAGGCAAGAATATTCCTTGAGCCCAGGAGTTTGAAACTAACTTGGGCAACATATTAAGACCCTGTATCTAAAAAAGAAGAGAAAACAATGTGTCATAGCATTTTGGCAGCTGTCTTAGTAAAGCTCATTTAAAAGAAGCATTTGTTTATTTGTTTGTTTAAATATGCTTCTTTGTTTGTTGGCTTGAGTCTCAGTAACTTTTTGAATTTTTAGGTTTTATTGAAAGCTTTTTCATTAATGATGAAGTTGTTTGAACTGTGCATCATTTATTCCAGAGAGAGCTCCAGCAGATGCTACCGTACTCCTGGGTTGCCTCAACAACAAGGAGAAAAATGGGTGCAGAGGAGATATGTAGCAAAGCATGTTTCCATGCTCAGCATACTCACTACAGCCTTGTGCTGTATTTTTTAAGTTCTTTTTCATCTGATCACAAACTTCAAAACCCAGGTTTAATTTTCTTCACAGTCAAGTAATTGTATGTTGGATCCAAATAGAGTATTTTGCTTTTCAAAGCACTTTCATATAAATAGATCTGAATAATAATCTCAGGAAGTAGGCAGGCAGGGCATGACATAGTTATCAAAAATTTCAATTTTGACTTCTATCTTTTAAAAAAACTCTCAAAAGCTGGTATAGGCTTTTGATCCAGCTTATTTTCTTGTTAAGTTGTATAAAGACAAAATCAGTAAGTTTATAATAATATCATATTCCCCTGAAGAATCAGTCATGACAAAAACTCATCTGATGGTGAATAAACTCTAGCTGTAAAGAGAATCTGTAAAGTTATCTTGCTTGATAGGAAACAGAAATCCCACACCACATGCCAGGCCCAAGGCCCCTTATTCTGCATCTGTTCAAGGGGAAAATACTTGGAATGGAAAAGAATTCCTATTGGTTGGGAGACACCACTACTGGTAATTAAAAGCTCTCATTCCTTTACTGAGCAGTCCCAAGACAGTCAGTAGGAGCTTG
Organism: Homo sapiens; assembly: GCF_000001405.40. NCBI lineage: Eukaryota > Metazoa > Chordata > Mammalia > Primates > Hominidae > Homo > Homo sapiens. The sequence goes on along the minus strand of NC_000010.11, from coordinate 98,845,851 downwards.
TGCTCTAAAGACTCCAGCTGCCTTCAGCCTGCAAATTACCCAGTTCCCAACCTTATTTTAGTCCATGACACACCTGTGCACTGGTCAGGACACACTGGAGAGTAGACGGGAAGTCCCCTGTCCAGCCTGCTCCCAGCCACATCAGAGACACACACCAGGTGTGACTGGAAAGTAATAAGGCTCACTTACAAACAAAACAAGACAAGTGAACTAAGAACAGGATTTATGCATCCAATTGAGGATTGTTCCACAAAGTGGTCACCATGGAAAATATAAAATGCTGCCATTGCTCATAACATTTTTAGAATGGCTCCTTCAAATGGCCTGTAGAGGTTATGATTCTCTCATGAAAATTTGCCCATTACTTTATACTCACATGTTGGTCTTTTAACCAAAAACTTTGTGATTTGCTATATAGATCCAATGCTCAAAAGAAAGGTCTATATAGGAGAGACAGACACCATCAAGGATGTCATCACTGCTACCAACCACCTGTAACAAACAGTATAAACTAGTTGAGAAACTAATATTGGAAGACATCTTTTTGGCTGCTCACCTATCCTCCAGCACTACAGCCTTGATTTGAGTGGGGTGAGAGGAGTCAAGGAATAGGCTTTCCTGCTCTTACCCCATGTTCCTAACTTAGTTTCACAAATAGCTTTTATTTCTTTCACCAACTCTCTCATTCCTGTCTAGCTCCCAGGCAGAGGCAATTTGCCTAGAATTATCTTCCCTTTCTTGTTCCTAGCCAATGCTTAACTTCCTTTCTCCTCCAAGTTACAACTTTAGGAGTTGCCTTCATTTTATTTGTGTCACATTTGGCAATGTCTTCAGCCAGGAAATTAACATCTTAATGGCATTTAACAGCTGCCTTACTCTGCACATAATAGAAATAAATATTCTTGATTTGATATAATTTGCTAATGGAAGAGCGCACTTGAAGGAGGTTGGGATTTTCAATCAGAATACCAAGGTTAGAATTTTGGTGTTCTCAATGAATGTCACTACTTTGAGCTTCAGATTTCTTATCTGTAAAATGGGAATACTGCTACCTGTTTCTCAGGATGTGTTATAAAGTTTAAATATTAGAAACGTGTATGTAATATAAACCAACATAATGCCTAGAACATAGTTTATATTTAATATGTGAGAGCTATCATTAAAATTACATGCTGAAGTTCAGAGAGGCTAAGCGACTTTCCTAAGGCCATATGGCTGATTGATAACCTGGTGTGGACATGGGTTCAAGTATGTCAAATTTATGATTACTACTAATCCATGGCACTAACTTTTAATTTCAATAATATTTCTCTATCTTTGTCTCTGAAACTTTCCTGTGCACAGATCAAATATTGACAAAGGTCCAAATTCTTCAATGTACTGTCTAGTTCCAAGAAATTATGGTTGGACATACTAGTATCATTTAAATAATTATCAAAATCACATAAGAATATGAATAATATAAACTTAAGCATGACCTAACACCCCAAAATGTAAGAACCTCTAAATGAAGATTCTTGGAGTCTAAAGACTGACCACTCCTCGCATAGCCAGTTGTTCTTTCTGGAAGCTTTAATCTTACGGATGCCTTCCGACAAAGCACATCCCTTCTGAGGAAGCTCCTCTTCCCATATTTTATACTAATCAATTCAGAAAATACCAAAGCTGGAAGAGACCTCAGAGATCATGTACTCCACTTCCTCAGTTTGCTGGTGAGGAAACTTAGGCCCAGAGAGGGTAAGTGACTTGCCCAAGGCCACATAGCTTAGAAGTAGAATCACGTTCAATATTGCTTCATATAAATAAGCCCCCTGCCACTGGGTAACTCTCCAGAAGCATCAGGGAATTCCTGTTTTACAATGAAACTACCATCCTAGGAATGAAAGAGAATCAGTCTTTAATCAGAATTAGAATTGAAGCAATATATCAACAGTTTCTTAAAAGTTTTTTTAAATGGAAGATATATATGTATCTAAAATTAAGTCAGAAGAGTCAGAATTTTATTGCTTTTGTTCACCAGGCAGTAAGCCCATCATTTGGAAGCTTTGGAACCAAAATATTTCAATAACCTTTCCCCAACCTGGGGAAGGAGCAGTGCACAAATAGAGCCATTTAGAGAGAAAGGAAGATTTATTGTTTGTAGATTTGTTGTAAAATGCTGGTTTTTTCATGAGAGGTGATGTTATGTCTACTTTCAACAGTGAGTGTAGGAGTGGGAATAGATTTTAGCAGGAAGTAGGTTAGGGAATTTGAAGAACTTTTCATTTATTTTTCCATAGTCTTTATGTTGTAGCTTAATTATTGAAATTTTATATAGTTTCCAAACATCTCTGTTTTCAAACATAAGTGCCCAAATTCTAAAGCCAAATACAAATGTCTTTTGAATTAAGTATATCATTGTTTCCCTCCAATTTTGCAATAATATATTGTGTTCTATATTGGATTATCCTAATACCAACCATTTCCTGTATACCCCAATCTAGAATTTTAAGTTTGAGACTTTAACTTATTTAAACTATTAACCTTAGGAAACTAACATAGGAACAGAGAACCAAATACTGCATGTTTTCACTTATAAGTGGGAGCTAAATGATGAGAACGCATGGACACATAGAGGGAAACAACAGACACTGGGGCCTATCGGAGGGTGGAGGGTGGGAGGAGGAGGAGGAAGAGTATCAGGAAAAATAACTAATGGGTAGTAGGCTTAATACCCGGGTGATGAAATAATCTGTATCACAAACCCCCATGACACAGTTTACCTGTATAACAAACGTGAATATGTACCCCTGAACTTAGAAGTTAAATTAAAAAAATAAGAAGTGAGCTATCAAGCCACGAAAAGAATGGAGGAAACATAAATGTATACTACTGAGTGAAAGAAGCCTGTGTGAAAAGACTGCATACCATATGATTTATGGCATTCTGGAAAAGGCAAAAGTATGGAGACAGTAAAAAGACAGTGGTTGCCAAGGGTTAGGGTGGGAGGGAGTGACAAGTGGGTGGTGAACAGAGGACTTTTAGGGAAGAGGAAATATTCTATATTAGATTATAATAGTAGATGCATGTCATTATACAGTTTTCCAAACTTACAGAATGTACTACACGAAGAGTGAACCCTAAGGTAAACCATGGACTTTGGGTGACAATGATAATCAATGTAGGTTCATCAGAAGAAATGTACCACTCTGGTGGGAGATGCTGGTAACAGAGGAGACTATGCATGTGCAGGGACAGGGCATATATAGGAAATCTGTGGAACTTGCTCTCTATTTTGCTGTGGGTCCAAAACTGCTTTTTTTTTTTTTTTAAAGACACTTAAAAACAAAAAAGAAGAACTAGTAAAAAAAAAAATCAAAAGAAGTGATATTAAAGCTCAATGAATTCAACTTTACATCATTGACATGACAGATTGGCAAACTCTACCAAAACCAGTTCAACCAACTGGATGCTGCCCCCTTGTAATAGTAACTTGTGGCAGAGACCATGTAGCCATGACAAGCTTGGAGCCTGCATTATGTTGTCACTACTAGGTAAAGCACACATATAAAAAGATAGTATCTTCTGAAGACCTACTCTGTCTTTAGACCACTGATGTTCTACATATACTTCAACATATACTGCTGTATCTCCTTATCTGGCTCATAACAGATACTCAAGAAATTACAATAGTGGATGCATGTCATTATACAATTGTCCAAACTTATAGAATGTACTGTATTTACTCAATAAATTTATTGAGTGTCTGGGCCGGGTGCGGTGGCACGCCTGTAATCCCTGCACTTTGGGAGGCTGAGGCAGGCGGATCACGAGGTCAGGAGATCGAGACCATCCTGGCTAACATGGTGAAACCCCGTCTCTACTAAAAAATACAAAACTTAGCTGGGCGTGGTGGCACACGCCTGTAGTCCCAGCTACTCTGGAGGCTGAGGCAGGAGAATTGCTTGAACCCGGGAGGCAGAAGTTGCAGCGAGTTGAGATCGTGCCACTGCACTCCAGCCTGGGTGACAGAGCAAGACTTCGTCTCAAAAAAAAAAAAAAAATTACAAGGAATTGTAATCCCTGCAGAAAGTCATGAAATTTACATTCCACTGGGGGAAGATAATGTACTTTTTGTTACATCCTTAACAACTCTCATGTTAGCATATACAGTAAAATTATTGAAAAGGCATCTTCACGGAGAATATACTCAGATGAAGTGATTGCTGCCCCTTTTCACTCACAACCACATTTCTGGGGGCAAGACTAATAGGATTCCAAAGATGCATTATAGCTACATAGAAGTAAGGATGAATTTTAGCAATACTATTGAGTGAAAAAGTTAAGTTCCGGAAGATTACTTACAGTGTGAGGGTTAAAAAGTCAAGATACCTTTTTTTAATAAAGCTAAATACAAATAAAGCTTAAAAATGTTTATTTTAGGAACATAGGTATGATCAAACTGTATTTTTTAAAAACACCAAAGGAATCCTAAAGGACTGGGATAATAGTGGCCTCTGAATAACAACTATCAGAGAGGTGGAGTGAAGGAATGTGGAAGAACCATATAGGTAAATGTGTGCTATTGTAAGTATTATAGTTGTTTTTGTTGTTGAGACAGCGTCTCTTGCTCTGCCGCCCAGGCTGGATGCAGTGGTGTGATCTCGGTTCACTGTAACCTCCGCCTCCAGGGTTCAAGCGATTCTCATGCCTCAGCCTCCCAAGTAGCCATGATTACAGGCCTGCACTACCAGGCTTAGCTAATATTTGTATTTTTAGTAGAGATGGGGTTTCTCCATGTTGGCCAGGCCAGTCTCCAACTCCTGGCTTCAAGTGATTCGCCCCCCTTGGCCTCCCATGTGAGCCACCAAACCCAGCTGTACCTATTATAGTTCTTCTGTCGAGTTTTAAGTTCATAAGTGTTAATTAGTTAACCAAACAATAATTACAGTATGTCATGAACCAAGAATTGTGAATAATCCAATGCTGTGTATGGTAAATTAAAACTTTTTTCTCTCTAAAAGTGACAGTCCTTTAAATAGTAAAATCTGGCTAACATGACTTGCTTTTATTTTTTTAGTTCCAGGCTAAAAATGCTAATTTCTTTATATCATTTTCATGTATCTTGGTATGACTAAAACTTGACTTATTTTCTTCCCATTCTTTTCTTCTCCATTTCATGTTTCAGCTGATGACGCTATACTCCTCTGAGCCACTAAGGCATGAGAATTTGGAATCATCTCTGAATCCCTCCTCATTTTTTGTCTCTTCCCAATCCAATCAGTTTTCAAGCCCTGCGGAGTCTATCTCTGCTTTTCCCGCTTCCCTGCTGTCTTCTCTGTTCCCACTGTCATCACCCTAGTCGAAGCCCTTATTATCTCTCTTCTGCAATATTGAAATAGCTCCCAACTGCTGTCTCTGCTTCTAGCCTATCATCTCTCCTATCAGTTTTCCACTGTGCTGTCAGATTTATTCTTTCTTCATACTTTCAGACTTCAAGGCATTCCTCTGTTCAAAACTTTTTAACATCTACGGATGGAGTCCAAATTTAATAGGTTGCTCTTCTAGACCTTCTGCCATCTACCCCTGCCTATTTCCAACAATTTTTCATACTCTTCTCCTTTATCTACCATATAATCCCGCCCAGCTGAACTATTAATTCACTTTTCCTCAAAAGATCCTGTAATTTTCTGCCCCATACTGATACTCATGAGGATTTCTTAATTAAAAAATAGTTCATTTACTGAAATGAACAATGGACATAAAACAAGACAACTTGAGTTCAAAATCACCAACTATAAGGCCTTGGACAAGTCACTGAATTTCTCTAAGTCCTAATGTCCATATTTGCAAAAAAGAAAAATCCAATTAAATGATTGTCATAAGGTTTAAATAAGAATGTATATTTATAAATGTTTTGTAAAATATTGTTACATGTAATGTTTCTCCCATTTATGCTTCTCAAAGATTATCTTAAATGCCACTCTTGGAAATTTTTGTTTATCATCATCACTCTCTCCTCCATTTGAATCTAAGCCTTTCTTTTTGTGAATCCTGGTAGCACTTTCCCTACGCTTTACCATTTATGGGATCCACAGATGTGCCCATATGTGCATTGTCAGGAGAGCTCTGCCTTATAGAGGTCATCTGAGAACTCAGGAGGTCAATAGCACGGATAACATAGGGAAAAAACATCTTCCCACATTCCTTTATAATCATTTGAACACCTAGCACTGTGTTCCTGTGAGGAATATAAAAATGAATCAGGCTTGGTCACTTGACCTGTGTACCTTTTATTCTAACTATTTATGTGTATCTCCTATTTCTCCTACTAAATTGTGAGGATTTGGAGGACTGGTTATCTTTGTATCCCCTTTCTTTAATTTAATATGTTGTCTTAAACATTGTTGATGTTCTCTTGTACTTAGTGAATGAATGATGAATTTAATTCATGATTACAAAAGTATTATTCACCTTTCTACAATATATTTCTTTGCCTAATCTCCATCTTACATTTCAAAAACAGAGTATTGGGGAGGCTTCGGTAAGGGTTTGAATCTGATAGGAGTTCAGAGCCTCATAGCCAATATCATATGCAACAGCAATGCTATGTAGGTTTGGTTACCGGTCATTAATAATATGAAAAAATGATCTCTCCTAACTTATGCATTTAAATTTTCAGCCTTAGTGTTGCATGGCTGTAGATTTGGACTTTAATTTATAAAGTTTCCGTATTTTAATTATGTCTAGATGAATGAAGTAAATTTTCTTTATATGGCTCATTACCTACATTAGTAAAGACATACTGTAGTAAAATGTGAATCACATACTCTTTGCTGGCCTATTTCTAGAACTGATCTATTACAGTTTTATATTAACTTCTCTAGATGGTTTATGAATTTTAAATTTGTACTAGATCATAACTTTCTAACCTCCCATAACCCTGTGAAGACTGTTCACAGGATCTACAGATGAGCCTATATGTGCATTGTCAGGAGAACTGCCTCCTAGAGGTCAGCTGAGAGCACAGGAGGCCAGTAGCATGGATAAGATGGGGAAATGGACAACTTCCCACATTCCTTTGTAATCATTTGAACACCTAGCACTGTGCTAGTGATGTGAGGAATATAAAAATGAATCAGGCCAGGTGTAGTGGCTTACGCCTGTAATCCCAGCATACTGGGAGGCCAAAGTGGGAGGATTGCTTGAAGCCAGGAGTTCAGGACCACCCTGGGCAGCATAGTGAGACCCCATCTCTAAAAAAAAAAAAAAGTTAAAAAATTAGCCAGGCATGGTGGTGCATGCCTGTAATCACAGCTACTCGGGGGACTGATGCAGGGGGATCAATTGAGCCCAGTAGTTTGAGACCAGCTTGGGCAATATGATGAGACCCCATCTAAAAAAAAAAAAAATGAATCAGGCCTGGATTATTCTCTGAAAGAGATTAAAATGTGAAAAGATAATTATATCACAGATAGAAATAATATAATGCATTCAGCTATGTGCCAGGCTCTCTGTACATTATTATTATATTTAATATAGTCAATCTTTACAATAAGCAGGTGAGATACATACTATTATCTACATCTTACAGATTAGGTGACTGAGGTTCAAAGAGATAAATTAATTTGTCTATGGTTATACAACCAGTAAGCTGTGGAGTTGGGATTTAAACACAGGTCTGCCTGATTCACAAGTCACAAGAGGATTTGAGCCATAGGTGAGAGAAACAAACCACTATAGGAGATTAGAGAGAGGAAATACTCCCAGCTTGCTATGTTAGGGGCAGTTTCAAATGCATTTGATAGAAATTTGTCTGAAATATGTCATATACTTTTCTAAATATTTCAAGCATGCAGAATAATGTAGAAAATAGTATAATGAATATTCATGTATCTATTACTCTGGTTTCTCTTACATTAGTATTTTATCAAGTTTGTTTCAAAAATTTTTAAGCAAAACCGCACAGATATACTTGGAGGTTTCTTTTTTTTTTTTTGAGATGGAGTCTCGCTCTGTCGCCCAGGCTGGAGTGCAGTGGCACGATCTCGGCTCACTGTAAGCTCCGCCTCTTGGGTTCACGCCATTCTGCTGCCTCAGCCTCCCCAGCAGCTGGGACTGCAGGCGCCCGCCACCACGCCCGGCTAATTTTTTTTATTTTTAGTAGAGACGGAGTTTCACCGTGTTAGGCAGAATGGTCTCGATCTGCTGACCTCGTGATCCGCCCGCCTCGGCCTCCCAAAGTGCTGGGATTACAGGCGTGAGCCACCACGCCCGGCCGGAGGTTTCTTTGTATTCCTCTTAGATCCCATTTCTTCTCTCTCCTGAGGTAACCACAATCCTGATTTTGGTATTTGTTCTAAATTTGATCTTTGTTTCCTATACATAGAAAATAGAAAACAGTAATAGTTCCAAGGGGTGAAATTAGATGGCAACTTTAGCACCTTCCATATTTTTCTGATGCCTGCCCCATTCTTTGAAATAGACAACTGTCATTTTTCTACCTTATATAAAGTACACTATAAATGCTGTTTAAGCTCCCATTCTAATTAGTTTACTGCCTCTAAGTCTCTCCACACAAAATCTTTTGGGTCACCACTAACTAAAAATAATGCATACATTTCTTGATGTTGCTGTTTCAAACTATGAGTATTAATGATTATTCTCTCTTATACTGTGATGGTATTTCTGATGTGTCAACTTGAATAGGTTAAAGTCCTCAGCTATTTAATCACAATCCAATCTAGGTATTGCTATGAAGATGTTTTTTACATGTGATTAAAGATTATAATCAGTTTATTTATTTATTTGTTTGTTTGTTTGTTTTTGAGACAGAGTCTCGCTCTGTTGCCCAGGCTAGAGTGCAGTGGCACCGTCTCAGCTCACTGCTACCTCTGCCTCCCGGGTCCCAGTTCAAGCAATTCTCCCTCCTCAGCCTCCCGAGTAGCTGGGATTACAGGCATACGCCACCATGCCCAGCTAATTTTTGTATTTTTAGTAGAGACGGGGTTTCTCCATGTTGGCCAGGCTGGGCTTGAACTCCTGACCTCATGATCCACCTGCCTTGGCCTCCGAAAGTGCTGGGATTACAGGTGTGAGCCACTGTGTCTGGCCCATAGTTTATTTATGAAAGATTATCCTACATAATTTAGGTAGGCCTAATTTAATCAGTCAAAAGCCCTTTAAAGCAAGGTTGAGGCTTCCCCAGAGAATAAATTCTTATGGTCAGCAGCTTCAGTTCATGCTCATGAATTCCAGTCTGTCCTTACTCATGACCTGTTCTACACATTTCAGACTTGCTAAGACAGATTCCATAACTGCATAAACCTTGTAACAATTTTTTTTATCAGAAGTTACTTTAAAGCTTGTTAGATTCATGATGTAATTGCTTTCCTGAGAACCTACTTTTTGTCAATCTCCTTCAAGGAGGCAGATATGTAAATGGATAAAGACAATAAAGCATTCTGGGTTCTGTGCTAGAGATTTGCATGGGGTATTTGAAGGGTCTGAAGGAGGCAGGAAATTACTTTATAACTCAGGTTACTAAATAACCATGTGAAACACTTTATTTTCAAAGGTGGTTTTAGACTCTAAGAGCAAAATTTCAACGAATTGAGTTTTAAAGGTCTAATTGGCTTTTATCAGCAATTCACGAATGAGACAACACCTCATCTATGAAATAGAAAGATGTTCTGCAGAGCTAAGCAGAGGGAGTGAGCTTTATTTGTAGGAAAGGCTGAATAAAGTAGAAATCAGAAACAAAAAGCATATTGCTGATTTCAAAATTACTTTCCTTGTATGGATTGAAGCAGAGAGGAGTTTCTTATCATGCTGGCTCATGTTGACTAGGCCCCTTTTGATCGATTGCTGTAAATCTCCTGTTTTTAGAAATACTGTCCTGTCTTCGAGTTCAGTTTGATTACATGGCACCTAGCATGAGTGACTCCATTCTGGTTTGGTTTGATTTGTTGGGGGTCTAGTGCAGGAGCTCAGTCCAAAACAATGGCCTCCCATAAATTTTATTTGACAATTCCAAAGAAAAGGTGTGAGGACCCATGACCCACAATTAGAGAGTTACAGACACAAGAACTTGAGAGGCATATAGCTAGTATCATCTTTTTAAAATATGTGACTGAAGAATGGTCTCTTCAAGCTGTAACACATCCAATAATATTGTATAATGGTTAAGCATACAGGCTTTGGACTCATTCCTGTACTTGGCAGGATTAAGTGACTCCATAACTTGCCATATTTTATTGAGTACTAAGAACTCTTTATGGCTTGATAAGTTATTATAAGGTAAATACCTTTATAACCAGCACTTAGGTCAAGAGAATTTTTTAAATCACCTTGAGTCCCCTCTGTGCATTGCCCCAATTAACCCTCTCCCTACCTCCAAAGTAACCATGACAGCAATCACTTTCTTGTATCTTTAAATATTTTTTATTAACCAAGGGTGCATTCCTAGATACTGTAGTTTTGTCTTGTTCATTTTTGTGTGTGTATAAATTTCATGTTTTTGAAGTGTCTTCAAATATAAGCTATTTTTCTATCCTTTTCTGTTTCTTACAGTTTGCTTGTGGAAGAATTCAGGGCATTTGACCTGTAAAGTGTTTTACAGTCTGAATTTTGCTGATTAGGTACTTACTAATATGTTGCAGATCAACATGTTCATCTGTCCTCTGTATTTCCTGAAAATTGGCAACCAGCTTCAGGGACACAGTCAGGTTCCATCTCTTTGGCAAGACCAACAATTCTCAAACATTTTAGTTTGAGAAATAATCCTCTTTTATTTCTTCAAGACCACCCCCTTCCCCCGCCAAAAGCATTTGTTTATGTGGGTCATGCTTACCAATATTTGCCATATTAGAAATTAAGATAGAGAAATTTAAAAATATTTATGTAGTAATTCATTTTAAAATAACAATATAAACTAATTACATGCTAATATAAATTTTTGAAATCATAAGTAACTATATTTTGCAAAACAAAAAAAAAAGCCTGGTGAGAAGAATGACATTGTTTTACATTTTTGCAAATCTTTTTAAAGCCTGGCCTAATAGAAGACAGCTGGATTATCATATCTGCTTTTACATTCAATCTGTTGCATTGTGTTCTTTTATTTGAAGTATATGAAGAAAACCTGCCCTCATACAGATATGTAGCTGGAAATGTAAGGACCTCACAGATCTCCTAAAGGGATCCAGGATTCTTAGACTACACTTTGAGAACCTCTGGGTAACTCTACATGTGATTTTGAGATTTTTCACCATGAGGGACATTATTTCTACTTGCTCCTCTTTTTTTTATGGTGTTAGCAGCTATTGATGCTGAGTGTACAAATGCATTAATTCATTGGATGTTGCAAAATGGTGATATTCTATCAGTTCTTTTAAATGGTCATAATACTTTTATGCAAACCTGCTTCCCCTCATTTACTGGCTACTCAGTGGTGCAGTTAGTACAGGAAAACTAGAATAAATCTTTGATTCTTTTTCCTTATTTACCATATTTTCAAGATAATGAATTGGTTCTCTATCATCTTGCAGATGTCACCAATTAGTTTTTAAAGTATCACTAATGGATTAATGGAATTAGTATATTTCATGGGTCTCAATCAATTGCAGTTATCATTTTGAAGCTTATTTTGTCCCATCTTTAACAAGTCAGAACTTCCTGAAATTGTCTTCTGAGTCCTTATAGTAAGGAAGCTATAAGTCTTGTCATTTCTTCACAATTTGGCATCTCTGAAATAAAGGTGTGTTTTACAATCAGTTGGGTGTTATTGTTTATTTGGCAACTTTTTTTTCTTTCTTAGTGATATGTAAAATGACAGTGCATATGCAATCAGTAGCATTTTAAAGGTATTTGGTACCTTTAAAATTTTAAGGGTATTTGGTAAAATACCTTAACGCAACTGAGATTTATTTCTTGCTTAAAGTCTGATTGAGGCATGTTAGGCATACCTCCTTCATTTTGTTATGTCATCTGAAACACTGGTCTCTAAGCTCATTTTTGGCAGGGTTACAAAAAACCTGAGGATTGTACCAGATGTTTTAAAGGTCTAGGCTCAAAAGTGGTTTCTATCACTTCTAAACATGCTTCCCCTTGGATGAATTTAATCACATGATTACAACTTGTGCAATGGATGTTGGGAAATGTAGTCTCTGTGCCTAGAAAAAGGTGATGTGACGAACATAGCAGTGTCTCTACAACATTAAGTAACTTGCATAACATCTGTGTCTCAGTTTCCCCATTGGTAAAATAAAGATAATAACAAGACATACTTTATAGGATTATGTTAAGTATTAAATGAACTAGTGTAGTACATGTAAAATGTTTGGTACAGTATCTGACATAAGTGCTCAATGAATGTTACCTATTAATAACAATATCATTTTGATAGTAATGTTTTAAAACAAATCCCTAATATAGTCCAGAAGTCTGAAGCATGGTTATTCCTTAAAAGGTATTCCTCAGAACATGCTCAGATTCAAGAAGCACAGAAGACTTTGGCACATGTATCTATGCTCTAAACCAATCCTTTAGTGAGGCCATCTTTTTTGGATTCACCTTGGATTGTCAGGTCAAAGAATAAGATATTCAGGAAGAAAAGTAGTTGGTAGTCATGGCTGGGTTTTTGCTTCTTCCCCAAGGAATCCAATTCCATTTTTGTGTCTCTAAAATTCTTGTGGATTGTTAGGTGTTTGGAGAACTGTCTAATTCTTAACTATTTGAGAATGCTTTTAAAAGGTTCCAGAAAATGCTGTTTGTTGATAAATCAGAATAATCAGAAAGAAGAGTATTAGTGAAACTGTAAAAGTAAGAACAAGATTTTATGCAGTGGTGCCAGCTGTCATCCCACTTAGGAACACACATCATAGATTTCAGTGCTTTTCAGACATCTGCTCGCTTAGCCATATAAAACAGCCGTTCTGTCAGCAAAACTCCTGGCAAAAGAGCTCCATTATTTCAGGAATCACATTCCCAGGCTTGCTGCCTGTATCCCTCTTCATAATTGTGGATATGGAGAAGTCACATAATATTCTCTTGCAAAATTAGCTCATGACCTAGTATACACATTTTCTTACCACCTAATATACACATTTCTTACCCCCATGGCTGGAATTCAAGCTCCTTTTTTTATTATCTAAATACATTGCACTGGATCAGTGGTATCTGGTCACCTTCTCTGTCTCCTAATCTGAAAAGAGTGGTCGTTATCTAAATCCTTTCCCACGTGGATCCTGACCACAAGTTGTCTCTAATCTGGTGCAGATTCTTAGCTACCTCACCTAGACTTTTAGAATCCTCCAAACTGAACTCATTTCTCATGACAATTATCTAAACCCTTAACATTTCAAGATTGAACCCAGATCTTGCAGTTTATTTCAAGCTGTTTGTCAGCTTTCACTTGAACCTAGAAACCATTGTTGTCATTTGAACTCTTTACTATTTGACGATTGAAACCAGACCCCAAGCGTCTTCCAAGCATTTTAATGACAAGAGATTGAACCCAGACCTCATTCCTGACATCCAAAACTCTTACCATTTGAGGATTAAACTCATTCCCAAATATATTCCAAGCTTCGTGACATTTGGAGACCAAACTTTAGGTCTTAGGACTTTTATCTAAGTCCTTTACAGTTTCTGGATTTAACCCATGCTGCTCATATGTTATCAAAGCATTATATCAATTGGAGATTGACTGAACACCACAAGGCGGACAGCCAACCTCTTTAGCAGTTAGATATTGAACCCAGACCTCACTGAGGATTGTCTTCCAAGTATTGTGCCAGCTGGATTTCTAGCCCAGACTGTGGCTGCCTTCCAACCACTTTATTGATGGGGGAGAAACAGAGGTCCCCAAACCACTTTAAGTATTCTATCCCAAGGGATCAAACCTATCAGCGGTCATTATCCAACCTCTTTACCAGCTGTGGATTGGACTCGCCTGTCAAAAACTAAGCAGAAAGATCGGTTGAAAGTCTATTTATTTATTTATTTAGCTATAAAGATCTTGAATGATGATCTTAGTAGCTCTGAGGAGCAGTACTTCTCAAAATGTGGTTTTCTATCACCTGCATCAGAATCACCTGAGGCTGCTTATTAAAAAGTAGACTTCTAGGGTCTACCCAGATCTCCTGGCTCACAATTATTAGACCTGTGGCTGTGGAATTTGCATTTTTAGCAGGTACTCTAGCTGATTCCATGCACACTAAAATTTGAGAACCACTGCCCTTGAGCAAGGTCTCTCTTATCTGTTGGAGAACAATCCCAAATTTCCAGCTGCTATGCAGCTGCTCACCAGCTGGGTCTAAAATGCAGGTTCTTATTAATATACACTATCAGTGTATTACTTTATTAGCTTGGATGTATAAGCCAAGTTTTTCCTGTTACTCAGTTGTGCTAGTTTATAGGATGGGGTTCATTCCCTTGTTTCAATAAATATTGGGGGGAAGGGAGTTAGTTGATTCGTAGTACAGCATAGCCAACTCTGCCACAGAGTTTTTATTTCCCACTTAAAGAGGGCCACCAACATAGTACCTTGCCTTGGAGGAAGCACACTGTCAGCCCTGAATGCATATTCTTCTTCAGGACTACACCCTCCTGCAAATACAGGAAGGCCAATATGGCTTCTATGAAGGTGAAAACTGGTCTTCCCTCAGCTTACTCTAGCAAAAAAGTTGGTCTGATTGGCATAGCAGATGAGACCCTAGATTTCTTGCTCACCCTATTTCTTCCTGCTCTCTTGTACCACCCTCCCATATTTAAAATTTCAGAAAAATGTGCTGTTGTATAAGGAAATGCAGAGGGGTGGAGAATGAAAAACAAACAATCTAGATGTTAACATCTGGAGCAGACTAAATTAAGACATAGAACTCATTACTGCAGCAATTACTTACTAAGTCTGGGAACTTAAACCTAAATCTGGGCTGAAATTTTTCAAGCATGCCTTCATGTAAAAATAACTTGGGGGAAAAATCTGCATGGACTATTGTGAATCAAATTGAATTTCATCTCCATTATTG
This sequence comes from Homo sapiens, assembly GCF_000001405.40. NCBI lineage: Eukaryota > Metazoa > Chordata > Mammalia > Primates > Hominidae > Homo > Homo sapiens. The sequence goes on along the minus strand of NC_000010.11, from coordinate 98,830,840 downwards.
AAAATGCATGGCCTTCCTTTCCCATTGATTATGGGGAGAATCATACTCTCTAGGGCTGAAATGGGTGCCTTTGTTTTTGACCAAAGGATGCTAAGTTAAATAATATTTTAAGTCATAAAGTCTTTTTCCTACTAACAAGATGGCTGTTTACTCTTTAAATTTCTTGGTTAAAGCAAAGCTAAAATTTTCATAATGTTGGGAGTCTTGTTAGTAAGCCTTGCTTATGTCTACACAGGCACATTTTCTATAGAATTAGACTTAGTAGCTATCAAGCATAATTTTTGTAAATTCTTCACCCTCTTCCCAGTAGAGTATAAGCTCTGAGGCCCAGTGTTCTGTTATTGAATTTACTGTTTGCAGATTGAAGCCTTTTATTTGTGAATTATAGGTGTCCTTTGCCCATTAGGTAGAGGAAGGCATGATATATAGGGCATCTAAAATAGTCCCCTCCTTCCAGTTAAGTCCTGTTCCTTATCTTGCTTTGTTCCTTTCTTCATCTTTTCCTCTTCTTCCTCCTCTCCCTACCCCTCTTCTTCATCACATTTATTATCTTCCTCCTCCTTCTCTCTATTGAGTTTATTGTTTTCTGTCTTCCCCAATAGAATGTAATCTCTATTAACACAGGGACTGCATATGCCTCATTCACTGCAGTTTCCGTAGTGCTTGGAACATAGTAGGCAATAGTATTTATGGACTAACACCTGACTGTCTGATTGAATAAATGAATGAATGAGTGAGTGAATGAATGAATGAATGAGTGAATGAGAATAGCCAGAAAAGAAACAAGTAACTTTAAAAATCCCCATTAGTGAACAACACACACCAGGGCCTGTTGGTTGGTGGGAGTTGAGGGGCGGGGAACTTATGGGATGGGTCAATAGGTGCAGCAAACCATCATGGCACACATATACCTATGTAACACAGCTGCACATTCTGCACATGTATCCTGTTGTTTTCTTAGAAGAAATAAAATTTTAAAAAGAAAGAAAATAAATAAAAATAAAAATCCCCAGTGGTATTAGAGAAAAGTGAGAGGTTAAAAATTTCATATAAGTAGTGTTGAAAAATCACTTTGAAAATGCAATCCAGCCCATGTATTAAAGGCTAGATAAAGTTTTTGGTTTTTTGTTTGTTTGTTTTTGTTTTGGGGGGAAGTTTAAATTTTATTTTTAATTGTGGTAAAATATACATGACATAAAATTTACCAGTTTAATCATTTTAAGTGTACTATTCAGGGCCATTAAAGAGATTCACATTGTTGCGCAACCATTACCATCATCTATCTCCAGAACTTTCTTCATCTTTTTTTTTGTTTTTTTTGAGATGGAGTCTCACTGTGTCGCCCAGGCTGGAGTGGAGTGGCATGATCTTGGCTCACTGCAACCTCCACCTCCTGGGTTCAAGCAGTTCTTCTGCCTTAGCCTCCTGAGGCTAACCTCACCACGCCACCACACCTGGCTAATTTTTGTATTTTTAGTAGAGAAGGGGTTTCGCTATATTGGCCAGGCTGGTCTCGAACTCCTGACCTCGTGATCCACCTGCCTCGGCCTCCCAAAGTGCTGGGATTACAGGTGTGAGCCACTGCGCCCAGCCCAACTTTCTTCATCTTGTAAAACTGAAACTCTTTATTCATTAAACAATAAGGCCCCATTCTCTCTTCCTGTTATCCCCTGGCAACCACCATTCTTCTAACTCTATGAATTTGACTATTCTAAGTACCTCATATGAATGGAATCATCAGTATTTGCCCTTTTCTGAGCAGCTTATTTCACTTAACATTAATGTCTTCAAGGTTCACCTATGTTGTAGCACATGTCAGAATTTCCTTCCTTTTTAAGGCCAAATAATATTCCATTTTTTTTTAATTCATTCATCTGCCTATGACACTTGGGTTTCTTCTACCTTTTAGCTATTATGAATAATGCTACTATAAATGAGTGTACAAATACCTGTTCATGTTCCTGCTTTCAGTTCTTTTGGTTATATAGTCAGAAATGGAATTGCTGGATCATATGGTAATTCTAATTTTAATTTTTTGAAGGACTACTATACAGTTTTATACACCATTTTACATTCCTACCAGCAGCACACAAGGATTCAAATTTCTCTCCACTCTTACCAGCCGACACTTACCTTCTGGGGTTTTTGTTTGTTTATTGTAATAGTCATTCTAATGGATGTGAAGTGACATCTCATTGTGATTTTGATTTGCATTTCCTGAATGATTAGTGATGGTTGAACATATTTTTATGTACTTATTGGCCATTTGTATACCTTTGGAGAAATGTCTATTTAAGTCCTATGCCCATTTTTAATTGGTTTTGTTTTTGCTGTTGAGTTTTAGGGATACATGAGATTTTATTCATGAGAATGTATCAAAGTTAATACAGAAGGCAAGATGATATAGTACAAATAATTGGTACCAGGAATCAGACGATTATGAGTTCTAGCCAGGCTCTACCACTTACTTAGCCTTGTGACTTTGGAAAAATTCTTTATTCTTTCCCAACTTCACCATCCTTGAAATTTTCATTCTGCTTACCTTTCAAGGTTGTGGGCATATAATAAGACAATATACATGAACATTCTTTGAAAACTACAAAGCATTATTCAAAAAGAAGCAGTGTCTATTAGTTACGGTTCTACAGAGAAACAGAACCAATAGACTATGTCTGAGAGACAGAGAGATAGAGATTTATTTTAAGGAATTGGCTTATATGATTGTAAAGATTGGAAGCTCTAAATCTGCAGGGTAGGCTGGTAGGCAGGACACCCAGAGAAGAGTTGAAGTTTGAGTTCAAAGGCAGTCTGCTGGCAGACTTTTGTCTTTTCCTGGGGAGGCCAATCTTTTCAAATTGAAGCTTTCAACTGATTGGATGAGGTTTACTCACATTATGGAGAGTAATCTGCTTTACTCAAGGTCTACTGATTTAAATGTTAATCTTATCTAAATAAATAAATAAAATAAAACCTTCACAGAAACATCTAGAATAATGTTTGACCCAATATCTAGGTATTGTGATCTACATAAAATTAGCTATCACATGGTAATAATAGTGGTCGGATATGTGCCTTGGTGACACCACCTGGCTTCAGCAACCTTAAAGCAGTTTTTAACTATGAATTTTTACCACATGACAAAATATGTAATTCATCCACACTTCTATTTCTCCAGTCTTTTGACTACCTTACTTAATAACTACCATTACTGTTTCCCCTTTGTAATCAAATTTAAGCTGTCCTTCTCTAAACATCTTTCTGCCCTTTTCTGTTGAAGGGTGTTTCAGTTTTATGTTGCTGCGTAACAAACCACTGTTGAAAACCTAGTGGTGTAGGGCCGGGCGCAGTGGCTCAAACCTGTAATCCCAGTACTTTGGGAGGCCGAGGTGGGCGGATCACGAAGTCAGGAGATCCAGACCATCCTGGCTAACATGGTGAAACCCTGTCTCTACTAAAAATACAAAAAAATTAGCCGGGCGTGGTGGTGCATGCCTGTAGTCCCAGCTACTCGGGAGGCTGAGGCAGAAGAATGGCTTGAACCCAGGACACAGAGCTTGTGGTGAGCCGAGATTGTGCCACTGCACTCCAGCCTGGGCGACAGAGCAAGACTCCGTCTCAAAAAACAAACAAACAAACAAAAAACCACAATAATTATTTAGCTTTGGTTTTTTAAAAAAAAATTTTTTTTTAGAGACAGGGTCTTGCTCTGTTGCCTGGGCCTGAGTGCAGTGACACAATCCTAGCTCATTGCAGCCTCTAACTCCTGGTCTCAAGCTATTCTCCCACCTCAGCCTCCAGAGTAGCTGAGAATACAGGCATATACCACGACACCCAGCTAATTTTTTAAAAAAATTTTGTAGTGATGAGGTCTTCCTATGTTGCCCAGGCTGGTCCCAAACTCCTGGTCTCAAGCGATCCTCCTGCCCTGGCCTCCCAAAGTGCTGGGATTGTAAGTGTGAGCCGCCATGCCTTGCCTGATAAGTGTTCAATTTGTGCAGTGCTTGTGAAAGCAGGCTCACCTCTCTTCTATGTGGTATCATCCAACTGGGCAGCTTGAGCTAGTGGATTTACTCCCAATATGGCTGACTCACATGGCTGGTAAATTGTGGCTAGCACAATGTCTACTGAAGCTGAAGCCTAGGGGCCTCATTTCCTCTTTACTGGGTCTCTTCTTGGGATATTTGTTTTCCTCATGGCATGATGGCTAGGTACCAACAGTAAGCATTATAAGAGATAAGAAGAGGAAGCTGCCAGTTTTGTAAGAAGCCTGGTCCTAGAAACTGGCACACTGTCATTCCTGGAATATTCTATTACTTGAGTAGTCACAGAGTCTGAATTCAAGGACAGGAGATATATACCCCAACCTTTCTATGAAAATAGTGTCAAAGAATTTGGGACCATATTTTAAATCTGCCCCAAAGGTACTTCCACAAACCCCAATATTTAGTCTTGTCAATGCCTTCTTTTCAGTGTTGCTATTTGAAGTTAAAATTTTATACAGTGTGGTAAAATGAATGTAAAAAACATTAGAAATAGAGTCTTTTTTGTTGACCCTACACAATACAGACATAAAATCCTTTCAGAGTTTTCTCATGTATTCATTCAATAAATATTTATTGAGCATCTGCTATGTACTTGGCACCATTCTAAATACTTGGAATACAGTGGTGAACAAGATAGACAAAGTCTTTGCATTCTTTGGAGCATACATTTTAGTGGGGAAATAAAAACATAAAAATCAAATGATGATAGATACAATGCAGAGAATTAAACTACAATGATGTGTTAAATGACTGAAAATGAATGCTGTCAGCTGCAAGTAACAGCTGAATTTAATTAAGGGTAATTTAAATGATGAGGAGTCTGGAAGTAGGGTGGTTCTGGCTGGTTAATTTAGTGGTCAGAGACATCATCAAGAATCCAGGTGCTGTCCATCTTTCTCCTCTCATAGTCATAAAATGGCTGCAGCTGTTTGGCACCACATGCATTCATGACCATGTCCAATGACAAAGAAGGGGGAAAAGGAGTGTGTGTATATAAGTCTTCTCTTTTCCTTTTGCTTAAGTGAGATAAATTTTCTCATAGTAGGTTTCTTTTATGTCTCATTGGGTAGAACTGTGTCACATGCCCATGCTTGAGCCAATCCTAGCAATGGTAGTGAGACCACTATAATCAACTTACACCAATTAGGTTTCACTCCCCCCCACACCTCCCCCACCCCCGCCCCCCCAACCCCGGGGCTAGAGCCTGTATCCCTATAAGCACCAGTGTGTCAGAGAAGGCTAATTTAATTCTTGTTAGCAAAGGAGGAAAAGGAATTGGCTTCAGCTTCAGTGACTAGGTTCAGATGTTAGGGAAGGCCTCCCTTGAATAGTTGTTGTTTAAGGTGAAATCTGAATGACAGGAAAGAGCTAGCCTTGCTCGAGGAAGAGCAAACACTTAAGGACTTATATAATTGGCATCTTACCTAGTTCTCCAGCCTTTTCTCAAATAATTATCCACATATCCATCCCAGCCTTTGTTTATCACATTTTGGCTCTACACTCTTTCTTCCTTTCTTTCATCATAGTAATACCTACTTTTTCCTTTAGGAAAGCTCAGCTCAAGTATTACTTCTTCAGGAATGCATTTTTTCCCTCTCCCCACCTCACACACATCCAAAAAGAACATTAAACCTTCTTGGATTGATAAACTCTGAAGAAGTGTGTACCTCTCTTTTGTTATAAGTATTACAGCAGGGTTTTAAGGTATACTTGAGTAGTGTGTGCAGCTCCTACTCTACTGTTGTTTGCAAGAATAAAGATCATATCCAGTTTTTTCTTTGTATCCCTAATGACTATCACAGTGCCTGACAGACAGTAGATTATTGATAAATGTCTGTTGAGTGAATAAAAGAGAAGGAGGAAGGAAGGACATGTTTACCGTTATGAAACATACAGGCTACTGAGGAAGATGGGGAAATAAGCAAATAACTGCAATGAAGCCTGCTAAGTGCTATACCACAAGGAACATTTGAAGAGGTTTTAAGAGCAGAAGCAACAGCAGCTACCTGTGACTTGAGGGGTTTTCTTGAAAACAATGCAGACTCATGAAATGGTTTTGATATTCTAGAAAACTCACATTATTTAATTCTGTCCTCAGATGGACAAGCTGAATATGGTTCAAGGGAATAAAATAATTTTAGTAGGATAAGCAGAATGTAACTAAATCTTTCTCCAGGTTATAGAACCATAAAAGATTAGAAATGAGATGCATTTCTGAAGGCACCTAAAAATTAGCTCCATCATTTTAAAGATAAATTGAGTGACACTTTCTTAACCTAGATAGCTTCGTATGATAGTAAGAGACATTAGCACACACACAAAATCTTCAAGCACCACAGGAAATAAAAATGAAGAAAAATTTTTCTGAGTTATGTTAGTAACATTTTAGTGAATTAAAACATACATGCAGAAAAGTGCACACAGTATTAGTGAATAGCTAGATGCATTTTCATAGTGAACACACAGTGAACACAACCGCTCAGATCAGAAAATAGATCATTACCAGCACTAAGATGGTCCTTCCATGACCACCCCCGCTCACTAACCTTAATCTCCTCTTTGAAGATAACCATTGTTTATCTTCTTATTGACTTTAAAAACCATGAAATTAGTTTTGCCTGGTTTTGAACTTTGTATATGTGGAATCATACAGTATACACTCTTTTTATTGTTCAATTCAAGATATTTTCCAATTTCCCTTTTGAACTATTGTTTGACCTGTGAGTTATTTTAAAGAATGTTGCTTAATTTCTAGTTATCTTTTAATCTTCTTCATTTAATTCGACTGTAGAGAACATACTCATCAATCCTTTAAAATTTGTTAGGACCTGCTTTGTAACCCAGCATATATTCTGTTATGGTAAATGTTGATTGAAAAGCATGCATTTTTTCTGTTTGGAGTTCTATAAATATTAGGTGACGTTTGTTGATTATGTCCTTTAAATCTTATATTATCTTATTGACAGTTTCTATCTGCTTCTAAAGGTTATTGTTAGAGGTATGTTAAAATGTCTCACTGTGACTTGTGTACTTGTTTATGTATGCTGTTTTCTTTTTTAATGCATTTTTGAGGCTATATTTTTATGGACATGAAAATTTAGAATTATATCTTCTTGGTAGATTTATGCTTTAAATCATTATCTATCTCTATCTATCTATTTATTTATTTTTTAGAGATGGGGTCTTGCTTCGTCACCAGGCTGCAGTGCAGTGGCATGATCATAGCTCACTGCATCCTTGAACTCCTGGGATCAAGCAATCCTCTCACCTCAGCCTCCTGAGTGGCTGGGACTACAGGCATGTGCTACCACGCCCAGCTAATTTTTTTGTTTTCTAGTTTTTGTAGAGATTGGATCTCGCTATATTGCCCAGGCTGGTCTTGAACTCCTGGCCTCAAGCAGTCCTCCTGCCTTGGCCTCTCAAAGCGCTGGGATTACAGATGTGAGCCACTGTGCCTGGTGCATTATTTATCTTTATAGTAATCCATCTATATTCATTTTGACTGCTGCTGTAACAAATCACAAGTTAGTGGCTTTAAACAATGCAAATTTATCATCCTACACTTTGGGAGATCAGAAGTCTAAAATTCATTCTCCACAGCTGTGTTCCTTCCAGACGTTCCAAGAGAGAATCTGTTTCCTTGACCTTTTCAGATTCAGGAGGCTGCCTACATTCTTTGGCTTCTGGCTCCTTTCTTCCATCTTCAAAGCCAGAAGCATAACATATTCAAATCTCTTTCTCTCTGTCCCTCTGCTGCTTTTGTCACATTGCCTCCTATCTAACTTTGACCCCACCTGTATCTCTTTTACAAGACTTGTAATTATATCAGGCTCACTTGGATAATTTAGAATAATCTCCCCATCTAAAAATTCTCCATTTGATCACATCTTCAAAATCTCTTTTGCCCCATAAAGTAACATTCGTAGGTTCTAGGGATTAGGATGTAAACATTTTGGTTGGGAGAGGGCAGCCATCATTCCGCCTACCACAACATCTTTTAACTTTTCATTGTCCGATAGAAATATATAGGTACATACAACTTCCTTTTGGTTAGTGTTTGCATAGCGTTATCTCCCATCTTGTTACTTTTATCATTTTTGTATCCTTATAGTTAAAGTTGGCCTCTTTTTCAGTAACATATTATGGGTTTTGTTTTCTGTTTAGCTGACAGTCTTTGTCTTTTAATTGGAATTCTTAATCCATTTCCACTGAATGTTGTTACTGATATATTTGGATTTACATCTACACCTTATTTATTTTCTAATCATCCTACATTTTCATGTTCATTTCCTGTATTTAATTTTAAAATTCGTGCTTAGTATTTCATTTTCTCTATAAGCAGTTTATTAAACATTATAATTTTTAGTGATTATTCTTGAAATTATATAATACATTCTTATATAGCATGATATTATTAAGTTAAAAAATCCTTTGACATGGAGGTTAAAGGAAATATCTTACAAATTTTAACTAGAACATATTTATAATCTTGATATGGAGGTGGCTGAATGAAATCCATTTGCCAAACCTCAGAGTGTCCATTAGGTAGGTTAAAATGACCTGGAACTATCTGAATTGTCTTTCCTGGGTTGAATTTTGGACAAACAGTACAAGACAGTTGTAACTATTTGGCAGCCCTTGAAATGTTTCCCCACTAATAATACTGCTTTATAAAATTTATCAGTTGCCCAGTTAGTCATCTGATATGTCATTTTGAGTAAGGTTTTTAAAAGACATATAGATTCTGGTAATAGCAGTTTATTATTGGGACCATACCGTAAATTTGTTGTTGGGCAAAAAATGCAATTGTTATCAGCTCAATATGATTTTTTATATGATGCCCAAGACTGAGCACCTTTCACAACATCATTTAAATCCTTTTTTGGAAAACAATCCATATCAGCTATAAGGTTTTAAGTCTTAGTGGAACTCTAGGTAGTTGCTTTTGCTGCATGATTAGCCAAGTCGTTTTTCTTAGCCTTTCTAATTTAGAGTGCCCAGAAATTTTGATTATAGCCAAGGCAGAGGGAAGTTGAATTGAATTTAATAAATTATTGACAAAAGTTCCATTTTTAATTTGGTTCCCTCTGGAGGTTAAAAATCCTTTTTGTTTCCAAAGCACACCAAAATCACGAACAACCCCAAAGGCGTAACGGCTGTTGGTGTAAACGTTTGCAGTTTTATTTTCACCAGAATATAAGCCCTGATTAAGGCATAAAGTTCTGCTTGTTGGGCTGAAGTAGCCATCAGCAGTGCAGCTTCTTCAACTATAGTCACGTGCTGCATGTAGTCATGTGCTGCACATTTTTGTCAACTGACCACATATATGACAGTGTCCCATAATTGTAATACCTTATTTTTACTGTACCTTTTCTATGTTGAGATATGTTTAAATATACAAATACTTAGCATCATGCTATAATTACCTACAGTATTTAGTACAGTAATATGCTATACAGGTTTTTAGCCTAGGAGCAGTAGGCAATATCATATAACTAGGTATGTAGAAGCCTAGGTTTAAGTATACTCTATAATATTCTGTTCATACAATGATGAAATTACCCAACAATGCACTTCTCAGAATGTATTCCCGTACTTAAGAGATGCATGTCTGTACTTCAAGAAAAGTTATAGTATATCTAGCACAATATTCTCCTATATTTTAATCTGTCATTTATGATGTGTCAGTAAACCATGAAAGTTCTGTATTTGGTCTAGGAATTTCATGTAAATTGACTTTAGGTTTTAGCTGGCCACTTAGATTTGAACAGTCATGATGTGTCTCATCAACAGGTAGGGGAAGGAGGGTTACTGGATTAAGAGTATTGCAGTGAGAAAGAATGTGAGAAATCAACAGCAAGATCTCATAAGAAGTTAGTCTGCTCAGAATAATACTGAGTATGATGAGAGTTCTCTACGGTTTCTACAAAGCTTCTACAGCATGAAGAACATAGACAGTGAGAGTAGAGTTCGTGATTATCTCTTCTGTAGAGTTAATTAAAGCTGTAGTGGCTGATATAGCTGTCATGCAGAGAGGGAGTCAGCTATTGAACCTAATTGCTGGCTATAATAGCCAATGGGTCTGTGTTGAACTCAATGTTTTGGGGTAAAGAACCCCCAACACATTTATTTATTTTTCATGCACAAAAATGAAGAAAGAGAGCTGATGATTGGGGTACCTTAAGGCAGGAAGACTTAGAAATCCTTCTTTTGATAGAAGGCCATACAGGCATTCTCTTTTTAGCCCAGGGGATCTGGGTTGTCAAATTTCTGAAGAGCATATAAGGGTTATGCTATCAAAGGAAAATTAGGTATTCAGTTTTGACAGAACCTGCCAGCCCCTATCTCCTTTGTAATAGTCTCAGTCTGAGATTGAGGAAAGTTTAAATACCATTAAGTCTGTCAGGATCCAAGAGAAGTCCTTGGTTTTATATCATGTATCCCAAATGTTTGACATGGTCCTGGGTAAATTATAGTCTTTCCCTGGAAACTTTGTGGATTTTGTCTGCTAGAAGTTTAAGGAGATGAACATAATCATGTTCACAAGGAACAAAGAAGGAGGTCATCAACATACTGCAAGAGAGTCAATCCTTGGGGGAAAGACATGTCTGTTAAATATGTCTTCAGTATCTGAAAAGTAGGGAGGGCTTTTGGTATACCCTCAAGACATTACTATCTAGGTATATTGTTGACTTTCCTACGTGAAGACAAATAAAATTTGACTCCCAGTGTCCACATGAATGCTTTTTTTAAAAAAGTAATATAAAAGTATGTCACTATAAAATTTACATTCTGTGAGGATGGAAGTCATGAGAGTATGGAGATTTGGAATGACAGGGTGTCAAAGAGTGACAATATTATTAATGTTTCATAGGTCTTGTATAAATCTCCATCCATGTCCATGAGATGTCTTTATAGGAAGGTTAGGAGTACTACAGGGGCTAGTACTAGGCGCCACAAGATTCCTAGCTTTACATTCTTCTGTAATTGGCTTAATTTCTGCAGAAGTTTCAGGATTTAAGGAGTATTGTCTGATATTAGGAAGGGGCTTGTTTGGGTCAATTTGAGTCTTTATCAGGAGAGCCCAGTGGATTTGTCCAATGTCTGTTGTAGATTTATCCAAAACTTCCTCAAAAAGCTCTTTTAAAAAGAATTAAACTGTCAACATTTTCATTATTTAGGTTAAAGACAAAAGTAGGCAAGAGTGTTGAAGAATTTTCACTGTTGTCAGTTAAAGGTGATGGGGATGTAAATCAGCTTTAAGAATTATCTTACCCTTATGGGAAAAGGTAATGGCCACATGATGTTTTCCTAAGAAGTCCCTTCCAAGTAAGTGAACTGGGGCCAAGAGAACTGGTTAAAAAAAAAAAAAAAAAGAATGATTGTAGAACCTAATTGAAAAAGCAAGGGGAAAGATTTGTAAACTGTTAAAGGTATATTAGAAACTCCTACCATTTGCATTTTTTTTCAGTACTTCAAGGAAGGAACTGGTTGAGGCTGATGAGTGTCAAATACAGAGGATTGCCCCAGTGTTGATAAGGACAGTGAGAATCTCCTTTCTGATCATGACAGGGGTTGCACCCAAATGATTAAGAGACAAGATTGAAAGATCGCCTGTAGGTTTTTTGGAGCACCCTCAGTCTATAAGGAACATAGAGGGTGGCCTATTAAAGGGGGTCATTTATCTTGTTTTAATTGTATGCAATCTCCCCCTACTCCGTGTCCAGGCTTTTTGTAGTAGTGGCAGACTCCTTTAACATTTAGTTTTATAGTGTTAAAGTACCATGTTTTATTATGAGGGATAGAAAGATGGTGAAGCTGTAGGTTCATTATTTTCTTTGCCCTCACTTTATCCACCTTACAAATTGTTTAGGCTAATTGGCTGGCCAGGTTAACTGAATCAGAGGTGGACATTGCATTGTTTCCCATTCAAGGTGAACCTATTTAGAATTGTAAGATCATCATCTAAACTATTTATGAACATAGAATTAAAAGCCACTTGGATAGATTTGGTGACTGAGGGGAGTCCAGAGTTTTCCTTGATAACGATTTCATGTCTATTATAATAATTATGTACTGCCTCAGCTTTCTTTTGGGTGCAGGCCTGGATCTTGTTTTAATCTACTGGTTTAGGGAATGTTAAAGGATAGGTGGATATAAAGTTTTGGCTCCTCGTTGGACTTTCTCCCTATTGGAAGGCAATATTGCTTTGGAGGCCTGTTAGAGCAGGGATCCACAACACCTGGGCCACAGAGGGGTACTGGTCCATGGCCTGCTAGGAACAGGTCCACATGGCAGGAGGTGAGTAGCAGGCAAGCAAGTTGAGTGCTGACTACCTGAGCTCTGCCTTCTATCAGATCAGCAGTGGCATTAGATTCTCACAGGAGCATGAACCCTACTGTGAACTGCACAAGCGAGGGATATAGGTTGTGTGGTCCTTATGAGAATCTAATGCCTACCGATTGGAGGTGGAACAATTTCATCATCCCCCACCCCCAGCCTGTGGAAAAAATTGTCTTCCAAGAAACCGGTCCCTGGTGTCAAAAAGATTGGGGACTGCTGCATTAGAGGATTGTTCTAACCTGCCTTGCCATCTAACATTGTGCTGATGTTCTCTGATGGGCATACATGTACAGCTAAACATTGAATAACACAGATTTGAAGTACATGGGTCCACTTATATGTGGATTTTTTCAACCAAAAGTGGATTGAAAATACGGTATTCACAGGATGCAAAAGCTGCATATATGGAGGGCCAACTTTTCATATATGCTGATTGGTGGGGCCAACTGAGGGACTGGAGTATGAACAGATTTGGGTATAGCATGGGTCCGGAAACCAATCCCTTGTGTATACTGAGAGATGACTGTATTAATGGATAAAAGTTAGAGAAATCAGATTTATGTGTTTGGATAACAATTTTAAATTCTTCAGCAAGTTTATGAGGGTCCTCAGTAATCTTGGTGAACTCTTTAGCTATATCTCTAAGTTCAGCTTTTGTCCAAAGTGTATAGGAAACATTTAGTAGAGTGACCTCATTATTCCGATGGAGCTTGAAAGGGTGAATTTGAACAGTTTTAACAGAAACGGGAATCAAGGGAAGCTTTAGAGTCAGAAGAGTAGAAGGGAAGTCAGCAAGTGTAGGACATAGAGGTTGGAGAGCAGAAATAGGAGAGTGAGAGTTAGTAGAAGAAACCAGAGCTTCAAGGACTTTTTCTTTCTCTTTTGGTTTTTTTATTAGCCTCTGTGAGTTTCAAGACTGCTCTAGCGAGAAGCAATTTTAGAGTCCTGAATGTGTTTGGATGCCTCCAGATGCTAACTAAAATATGTACTTCATTCAGGTTGTTTTGTTTTAGAGCCATGGTCTTCCAATATAATTTGGAGAAGCCTAGTTTTGGGGAAAAAAGAACCCCAATTTGGTTATTGTAATTCTGAAGTATCTTTTGTTTAGAAAGTCAACTGTTCCAGATTAGTACAGATGGAAGTCCCATAATTTTTGAACAAATAACCAGCTGTAGTCTCAGAAAGGGGACAATCACTGCAAGGTTTAGAATTAAAGAATCCGAAACTTATAATAAGAATAATAATACTGACCAATAGGAAAATTTCCAAATAATAGGAAAACTAACATACCTGGAAAAATTTCCACACAGGCTAAAAGCCTTTGTGGGCACAAATGGAACAACGTCCCCAAATTCCCAAATAAAAGCATTGACCTCAACCAAAGGGAGGGAGGGAGGAGCTCAAGAAGACTTACAATTGAGGGTGCCAGCAGTCCAAGGAAGCAGAGAAGGAGAGCACAAGGGGCTCTTTGTTGTAGGTACCTCATCCGATTCCAAAGAAGCCAGTCCACTAGAAGGTAAGATTACTTCAGGTCCTGCTTCTGACATAAACTATGTTATCTAAAAAATAAAATAAAAATAAAAAAAAAGATTGACACGGAGGTCAAAGGAAATAGCATTTACTTGGTAAACAGAGAATTGCAGTTCAGGTACACTACCTCAGGACAGCCCTGAATAGTGTCCCATAAGGCAAGTATAGGACAGTGTTTTTAAATCAGGGATTTTCACAAAAAGTTGTTTATGGAGGCAGTTCATTGGCTGGGCAGAAATCCTAAATTGTAAACCTCTTCTAATTGGTTAGCTAATTGGGGTACTTCCAGCTGGAGAGATGTTGAAGGCTGGCAGATACTAACCTCAGTTGTTTTTCCAAGTCTATCGAAACATTCCACCTTTAGCAGGTGTGAGTGCAGACCTCTCACAATCTACCCACTCTACTTTAGAAAGCCTTAGCCTTAGTTACCTCATTTTCTTTCACAATGTAAATTAGTAATTTTATAATGTACTCGACAACACAAGGGCCATAAAATACTTTAAATCTATTTATCCACTCTCCATCGTTTATGCTGCTGTTGTCATTTGCCTTATTACTCTGTATATTTTGCAGCCCACACTCCCAGAACTGGAAGCTCAGCTCCCAGGCATCTGTTGAGAAACACCTTTGACTGTAAAAAAACAAAAAACAAACAAAAAAACAAAAAACAAACAAAAACCTGTAGATTGTAATGGCTGCTTCTTATCTTTTGCATTTTAAATCTTTTTTTAAATTATTTTATTATTATTATACTTTAAGTTTTAGGGTACATGTGCACAACATGCAGGTTTGTAACATATGTATACGTGTGCCATGTTGGTGTGCTGCACCCATTAACTCGTCATTTAGCATTAGGTATATCTCCTAATGCTATCCCTCCCCCCTCCCCCCCACCCCACAACAGTCCCTGGTGTGTGATGTTCCCCTTCCTGTGTTCATGTGTTCTCATTGTTCAATTCCCACCTATGAGTGAGAACATGCGGTGTTTGGTTTTTCGTCCTTGCGATAGTTTGCTGAGAATGATGGTTTCCAGCTTCATCCGTGTCCCTACAAAGGACATGAACTCATCATGCATTTTAAATCTTACGTAAATTCGTTGTTGGCCAACTCTAACATAGAACGATAGGGAGAAGAGGACGTGGAGAAATGTAGTTTCCAGCTTAACCAAGTTAGCACAACACAAACCATCACATCATTTTCTTTCAGTAAATATTTACTGGCAGACAGATTAGGGGCCAGTTATCTCAATCCTAGTTGGAACCCCGCTGACTTGAAGCTTGTTTCTGTCTTTGTAAGGACCATTTTATTTCTGGTTCATTCTTACTCTTAGGTTGCATCCTTTCAGGTTCCCAACAGGAAGCATAGGAAATTTACCAGGGCATATCCTCCCAAACTACAAGTGCTGTACTTGTATCCCAGCACTGTGAGACTGCCAGAAACTGTGCTCAGAGTCTTAGCCTCTTAGCTGCTGCTTTCTCCTTATTCAGCTTCTTGGCTCTGTTTTGCATGTGAATCAGCAACTGCTTTGAAAGGAAAGCCATGAAAGACAGCTAACCTCAATTAGGGATTTTTCTTTCATAGATCTACCTGTTATATACTGCCTGTCTTGACAACTATATGATGCCTTCAAACTGATTTTTTTCGAGGTAGTGTCTTGCTCTGTTGCCCAGGCTGGAGTGCAGTGGTGCCATCATGGCTCGCTGCAGCCTCAACCTCTCAGGCTCCAGTGATCCTCCTGCCTCAGCCTCCTGAGTACTGGGACCACAGGTGCATGCTACCACACCAGGCTAATTTTATTTTTATTTATTGTTTTACTTTTGTGGAGATGGGTGTCTCCCTTTGTTGCCTGGGCTGGTCTAGAATTCCTGGCCTCAAGCAGTCCTCCTGCCTTGGCCTCCCAAAGTGCTGGACAGGCTCGGGCAACTGCCTGGCCAAACTGATTTTTAAAATTGTTTTTTTCTAGTTATTCTCAGCAGGAAGATTGGTCTGATACAGCCTGACTCTTCCTAACCAAGAATGGAAATCTCTTGAGTGTTTTTAAATTAATCGGCCACAATGTATAACGTAATAACAAATTATATTGGATAATGAAGAGTAAGGGACAAAGATAGCACTAAGAAACAACAAATAATGGCTGTTTTATTGGCTGATCTCCCTACTGCTGAAGAGAATTGTCTGCCATAGTTAAATTAATAAAACTCTGCTGCTTCTTACCCTGGAGCATTGTAATACTTGAAGTTGCCCAAATAACAAGCATGCAATAAATTGCAGTTTGATGTATCTGCCCTTAATGTGTTTCTTAATTGATTGTTTTCTCTGTCTCTGGTATTTTAATCAATGTTGCCTTTTCCTTTCGTTGGGCAGTCATGTGGGTCTGCAATCATGCTTCACTTTCAGCTGCTTGTGATGATGATTGTCTGCCTCTTTAAACGGTCCTGAAAGTCATCTCCTGATAGACTATTATTAGCCTAATCACATTATATTTTCCAAATTTGATAAAAATTTATGTAGTCATTTTTACTTGACATGGAACAGAGAAATAGACAAGTTATAGAGATTGGCTCTGTATAATCTACAAAAATACTGGCAGGACTAATAAGTGAGTTTAGCTAAATTATAGGCTATAAAGTCAATACACAAAAATCTATTATATTTCAATATATTAGTCACAAATAACTGGAAAATAAAATATTTTAAATTTTTTTTTCAATTTTATTAAAAACATTAAAAAACTCAGTATCAAATTTGATAAATTTGATCTGTGAAAATTTACATAAAATGATTTTATTAACATTTATAAGGGTATAGTGGAAAGGCCAAGGCCTTTTGGGTAAAACAAATTCAAACTCTTGCTCCACTACTTACTTGCAGGGTAACCTATAACAAGGTACTTAGACTCTCTAGACTTCAGTTTCCCCTTTTTTAAAGTGAGAATAGTAGAAATTACCTCAAGGGGTTGAAATGATTTGACATATATGGCAAATGTTTAATACATATTAGTCGTCTCTTTCCTCTTTGTATAACAATGTAAGGACCATCTTGTACCTCTGAATTTAATATGTTTTATTGCAAATTTGGCTATCTTAACATTTTCAAGATATTGATTGGTTCACTAAAGCAAAAACATATTGAAAGAAAGAGTGCAATTTAAAGATATGATGAACATAACCATTTGTTAATCCAAAATAAAAAGTTCAGGGAACTGTCATACTGGAAAATATTGCTTTAAGTGCTGACAGTAACAAATAAGATTAGTTATGGAGAAATAGTAATTTGGAACCCATGGGATAAAATGGGTCCCAATCTGATTGATTCCAGAATCTCTGTCCTTAAATTTTACATTCTACTCTTGAGTAACATCCCTTTAATTGATCTGGTTCTATCTGACCTTTGTGGGCAGGGCCACTTTTGTGCATAGATGGAGAAGGCAGTGATTTTGGGGTTTCTAAGATCAGCAATTCTTCCTCAACTTCACAATGTTTTGGAGACTATGAATTGAAGCTTCTTATTAAGGTGAGTATGTTCAAGTTAATGACTGAGATTCTGCCTATGAAGGAGACATCCTCCTTCTTACCTAGGGGATTTAATTTAGAGACACAGAATACTAGAATTTCTGGAATTTTTGATGTATAGGAAGAAAAATGTGAAGTTCTGGTCACATGTCTTTGGTTCAAGTTTGAGGTTAAGTGGCCCAGATCTTGCTATGAGTGATAATTCATATTAGTTGTTTAACGCTTGGTAAGAATGCTAGATCAGAAAGCAGTTTTCCTGGGAGGAAGAAAGCAAGGTCATTGGGGGTAATAGAAATATCCTTGAGGAAGAAGTAAATAGAATTGGGAGGCTGGAGAAAGCCAAGACCAATAATTCTTTGATGTTCTGGGATCTCTTTGTCAAGAGTTCAGCCTTATCCAGCCCATAGAAACTATTTGCCTGAGAGCCTACATGAGCTTTGGTTCATGCCCTGCTGCTGTGATTCCCAAACTTCCCTGAAAATGTGAATCACCTACAGTGGCACATATTCTTAGGGTTTCCTATCCAAACCTACAGATTTAGAACTTTCAGGGGAGAAGCTTATTAATTTATTGTAAAAAAGCTTTTATGGAAAAAAAAGAAGAGACAAAGTTTGAGGTGACTTTTATTATCAAAGAAGTTGAGCAATATTGCTTAAAATCAAATATTCATATGAAAGTGCTGTTTCAGATGAATAGCCACTAGCCACATGTGGCTACTGAGTGCTTGAAATGTGGCCAGTGCCACATGTCAAAATGATAATATTTTGGATATATTGGGCCAACAAAAATATATTGTTAAAATTAAATTTATCTTTTTTAAAAGTAGGACTACCAAAAAATTTTAAATTACATATGTGCCTTGCTTTTCTGGGCAGTGCTGCTTTACAGAGCATAGAATATAGACTAGTATTCCTCAAGTATGGTTCATGGACCATCTGCATCAGACTCATCTGAGGTGGCTTGCTAAAATGGTTGAAGTCTCAGAAATCTGTATTTTTAATAGGTGTTCACAGGGGATTCCTGTGTATATAAATTTTGAGAATTCCTGGAGTAGCCCTTTATTCCTGTCTTTCCCTTTCCAAATTATAGGAGTCAGGACAATTCAGGTTAAGAAGTCAGAATCACCACCAGATAATCTCTTATGGGTAACTCCTGATTCATTCATAATCCTCCCTAAACAATATTCTTTGTGGATTGAGGATGGAGCAACGGTTACCAATAAGAAGACTGTTCTGTGGTTGAAACCTGTCTGACATTAATATAGCATTTTCCCTGGCTAGTGCTAAATAGATTTATGTTAAAGAACCACACAAATCAAATGAAAGCTGGATTGTCTAGGAAACTTCAAAAAATCTACAAAAATGTCGCTGGAACTAACTGAGATTAATAAGGTGAAGGATACAAGATCAATAAAAAGAATTGTATTTCTATATCCTAACAATTAACAATCACAAATTGAGACTTTAAAATATAGTATTATTCACAATAGAACACTAAACCATGAAATGACTAGGTATAACTCTAACAAAATTTGTGTAAGATCTGATGCTGAAAACTGTAAAACAATGATAAAAGAATACCTGAATAAATGGAGATATTTGCTATGTTTATGGTTTACAATACACATTGTTAAGATGTCAGTCTGATCTTTAGAGTGATCTGTAGAGTGAACACAATCTCGTTCAAAATCCAGAAGGATTTTTTTGGTCAAAATCAACAAGTTTATTCTAATATCTACTTGCTAGATTCTTCTGAGGATCGAATGAGATAATTGCATATAAAGATAATTGCATACTACAAAGTCTAACATTCAGCAAGCAATAAATATTAGCTATTATTAATAAATATTTTATTGTTCTCTTTGACCAGTGAATGTTTTGATCCTAGGTACTGTCTTTTCTGTAATACATACTGAGAGTTCTATCCTCTTGGACATTAGTCTTCATTCATTTATTTCTTCATTAATTCTACAAATATTTATTGAGCACCTACTCTGTATACAGCATTGTGGTAAACTGGGGAAACAATAAATAAACAAACACACTGTCACCCCTACTTTCATAGAGTTTTCATTCCAGTAGCAAATAGGTATTAAACAACTTTTTACAAAACTCTGTAATTACAATTGTGAGGAGTGTTTTTGAGGAAGTAGGGAATATCGTGAATGAGATTACTGGGAGACTTAAACTAGGCTTCAAGTCTTTCTTGACAAAGTAGCATTTGAACTGAGCTGTAAATGGTAGAGTTGGGATGGGAAGAGGAGTCTGGGCAAAGGAAACTACCTATGGACAGGTCCTAAGGCAGTAAGAGAAGGTTAATGTAGTTGGAGTATAGAAGGTAAAGAAGAGATCAAGATGCAGTTGGAGAGGAAGGCAAAGGCTGGGTTATACAGTAATTTTTTATCTTAAGAGCGGTAGGAAGCCATTAAAGGGTTTGTAGCATATATTTGGTAAAAAAGAGTATGAATCCACCCATCCCTGCCTTCCTGCTCACAGCTATATTTTTGAGGATCTAAAAAAACTTGTCCAAACCATGGCCCACGGGCTGCATGTGGCCCAGGACAGCTTTGAATGTGACACAACACAAATTTGTAAAGTTTCTTAAACAAGAGATATTTTTGTGTGTGATTTATTTTTATTTTTATTTTTTTTTTTTAGTTCATCAACTGTCATTATTGTTAGCATATTTTATGTGTGGCCCAAGACAATTCTTCTTCTTCCAGTGTGGCCCAGGGAAGCCAAAAGACCGTATACCCCTGGTCTAATACATTTAAGGCACTGTGCTGAGTGCTGAGAATACAGCAATAAAGAAGTCACACATGGATTTACCGTGAAGTTAATGAAGCTCATACTTCAGTATATACCACTTTCCTAGGCTCTTGTAAATGCCAGTAATGGGAAGGGAAAGCCGGGTTGTAACTGAAATGCATTTCTATGTAAACATTTCTGGTAAATTGTCTAAAGAAGTCTCAGAAGAGAAGGATCTTAATCGCTAAACCTTCAAGAATGTGTTGTGATTTTTTTTTCTCATTTTAAATAAATATACATATTTATACATAATTTGATATTTGTAATTTTGTATATTTTTTAATGTAGGCTCCCTAAATTGTATTAGTTTCAAGCCCCATAAAACTTGGATCCACCCCTGGTTGCAGCCCACTTGCAGTCTTACAGGGGAAGCAGATAAGTAAACAATTTCGGTAGAGTATGACAAGTGTTATAATAGAGGAAGACACCTGATCCAGATTTGGGTGGAGAGATAGTGAAAGGCAGGGAAACTTGGACATGAAGACTACAAAAATCAGCAGTACAAAAGCAAGGATAACTGCAGATTCTCCTTAGGGGAGTGGTAGGAGTATCTTTGGACAAAGCAGAAATATACAAATTGACTTCGATCATGATTTTACAAAAAATTATGAATTTGGACTAAACGAGGGGCAAGAAAATCTTCTATGGTTTTCCGCCATCTGTTTTGCCCGTAATGGGAAAGATCAAAGAATTAAGTAAAACCTTTTCAGAAAGTAACAGAAGGCAGTCCCAGATAAGGTTGGTAGAAAAAGCACTTAATTAAAGTCAATGTCTTGAGAGAATACATCAAATAAACTTATTTTGCCTTCAATATGTAGCATGCTTTGAAGCATAGATGTATACTTTTATTATTCTATGCTCCCAAGAATATAATCCTCAAGATCCACCTTGCACTAAATATTTCAGTTGTTAATATGATTTTATTTTTAAAATTTTCAGATGTTGGTTATAAAAATTATTGTAGCAAAAAGAGTAAGCTATGATCATCCACTGTAATTCTTAATTACCAGGGTTAGCTGTTAGTTTGGTGGGTCCAAAGTAACCAGATTTTTATCTGTGGATATACAAATATATATATATACACATAAACACATACATACAGAATTTGTAAAACCCAAAATGGAGCATTATTGTTTATCAAGTTGCTATCTCACTTAATAATATATCATAGCCCTATTTCTGTGAGTACAGATTGATCAATCTTAATTGTTTCTAGTAGTTACATTATATTAATAGTACCCTAATTTTAAAAGGTTGTATTATGGAAGAAATTTTAAACATATGCAAAAAAGTAGAGAGAATTATATAATGAACCCATCACTGAATTTCAACAATTACCAACTCATGACAATTTTGTTTCATCAATACACTTACCCTTATTCTACCCACTTATGAATAGACATTGTTATGTCTTAAATTCTGCTAGACAAATGCAACTATAGTGAATATATTTGCAAATGAACCTTTGTATATTTATTATCAAAACTATGAGTTTCAGAGTACTGGAGTGAGTCAATGTCAATTGGGGTATTCTCTGAAAAAAGAGTCACCTGGGAAGGTAGATATCTGGACGATACTGTAATACATTGCAAGAGAAAAGCTAAGCAGAAAGTTAAAATCTGTAAATTAGCTGTTTTGTATTGCTGGGGGATTGGTTTTAATAGAAGCCAGTCATTAGAGATAAGTGTTCTCAGTTAAGATAAGCTCTAGCTTGTATGTTAAGCTAGTAAACTGGAACTTCAGAGCTATGTAGCTAGGACACTAATTGGAGACTATCAAGACTGGAACTTTATGGCACCTTTGAAGGGCACTCTAAATGTAATAATGGGAATATAAGTCTTTATATAGAGACTGTAAAAATTAGGGAAATGTGAGCTGTATTTGAGAAAGCCCAGATTGCGCTCAGATTTTGTTGGTGTGATTTCTTTAAAGATTATCAGATGTTTGCATTATTCAGACCTAGTTATAAAATAACATGCTTTACCAATAAAGAGAACTTTGTTTTTTTTCTGGCTCAGAAAAAGAATTTATGTCTTTAAACTCTCCTAAGTGTTAGTTGAAGGGCTGCTCAGGCATGACTCTCACTTAATTCCTAAAAGTGTTTAGAATTCTGGTTTCTTGATTAAATGTTATATGCTAGAAAGTGTATTTTATTGACTCCATGAGCTATTGCATTAAATAGGCTGGATGAAGCTGTAATGCCCCCATTAGTGGAGTTGGGATAAGAGCAGAACAAATAAAAGAAACGTTTCTAAGGAATAATCACTCTTTGTCTTGGATGTAAAAATGGAAGGATGAGTCTCTAAGACAGTCTGACACAGGAGTGATGGCATCATCAACAGAAACAGAGGGTTTCTGAGAGGGTTTGAGGGGGTGATGATGAGTTTAGGTTTGAATATGCTTCTTTTGGGGTTCAGAAGTTTCTTAGAGTCAGACAAAGAATTGTTGGCTGGAGATGTTTATTTTAGAATTCTTCATATAGAGATGCAGGCTGAAGAAATATAAGTAAGTCACCCATAGGAGCTTGTGAAAAATCTCAAAGAAGAGGAGTAGGTCTTAGAATATGTCCCCATTTAGTATGCAGAAGGATAAAGTGAAGCTGAGAAGAACTTATCAGAGAGGACAGACATAGGTTGAGCAGTGACCTAGAAGAAGTCAGCATTTTCCTGTGTCCTTCACAGTGACTCCATCATTAAAGGAAAGTCAAAGGTATTTTCTGTTTGCCTACCAGTACGCTTTAATAAATGGCTGCAGTGACTTCAGGAACTTCTCACTTAGGCTATGGAGCTTATTCTATTTCTTTTATAATTATTTTAAAAGTAAATACTATCACCAAGAAGATATAAGGAACTCTTTATTACATTTATATCATTTAGGAAACTTAATTCGGTTTAAATGTCCTACCTTGATAAGGTACAAAGGAACAATGAAGAAATGTCAGTAAAATCCTCCAAATAAAACTTGAGAGCCATCACATCAGTGAAATGGAATCCATCGTGTTATCAGCACAACTCTCTGGGAACAGTCATACCTATGAATGGTGGGAGCAAGTGAGCTAACATTTATTGAGTACTAGCTATATGATGTTACAGAACATCCTTTAAAATTCACAACTTTGAGAGATGGATGCTATGATATTTTGCTGAAGAGGAAACTGAGGCTTAGAGCAAAAAAGTTTCATACCA
The DNA here is from genome assembly GCF_000001405.40 of Homo sapiens. Taxonomy (NCBI): domain Eukaryota; kingdom Metazoa; phylum Chordata; class Mammalia; order Primates; family Hominidae; genus Homo; species Homo sapiens. The sequence continues at coordinate 98,807,420 of NC_000010.11, read as the reverse complement.
ATTTGGATGAAAATTAAAGTGCTAGATGTCTGATTTAAAGAGTAAGATCTTCATAATTATCCACTGGATAGGTGGGAAGTGGATGGAAGTTTAAGACTAGCAGACACAGCAATATGAATGTAGTTAATGTCATTGAACTGTGCTCTTAAAATGGTTAAAATGGTATATTTATGTATGTTTTGCCACATATAAAAAAGAATGGCAGAATTTTGAAAATATTGAAGCTGAGTGATGCGTATTTGAGATTCATTAATATTATTATTATTTTTTTAATTTTTGAGACGGAGTCTCGCTCTGTTGCCCAGGCTGGAGTGCAGTGGCATGGTCTCAGCTCACTGCAACATCCACCTCCTGGGTTCAAGCAATTCTCCTGCCTCAGCCTCCCAAATAGCTGGGATTACAGATGCCTGCCACCACGCCCAGCTAATTTTTTGTATTTTTAGTAGAGATGGGGTTTCACCATGTTGGCCAGGCTGGTCTCGAACTCCTGACCTCGTGATTCGCCTGCCTCGGCCTCCCAAAGTGCTGGGATTACAGGCGTGAGCCACCGCACCCAGCTGGGATTCATTATATTCTAACCACATTGTAAACGTTTGAGATTTTTCGTAATTAAAAGTTAAAAAAAATCTTTAAAGGCAAATTTAAACATATGCAACATCTTTTCTGAATCATGAGAATTAGAGACATGAAATATGTTACACAACATTCACATAACAGTCTAGTTACTTAAAAAGTATTATATCCATTTAACTAAGTAGTGACTATGAGATCATCACCATTATCATATATTCTAATAGTTTTACTATCTGTTGTTTTTCACAAAGCACTTTCACATTGAATATACGTAACATTTTTATGAAGTAGGTCTTAAGCATTCCCATTTTTCAGAGAGCTGAAGTGACTTGCCCATGGTCTCATAGGAAGTAAGAGGCAGAGCTGAGATTCAAATACAAGTTTGCTGACTCTAAGTCCAGTGCTCTATTCCACGAGCTCCCTGGGTAGTGGTATTTTGATAGTGACATATTTATGATGTCTCTATTAGCATTCTGGGGCTCTAAGCCTAAACTGTTTGCTCATCAGTAGTATCCCTGTGGGTGACTTTGGGCAAGTCAGTTAACTTTAATTCACTTCATTTTCCTCATTTGAAAACTGAGGGAACTGGACCTGATGAAAGTCTTGGTTTTTCATTTCTAAAATTCTGCATATTAGATTTGAATGTAACAGGTGCTAATAGAGTTCTGGTGATCAAAAGGGAAACAGTTGTCCTGATGTATGCGCCAGGTCACATACAGACTTTAGCTTTTATTTTTGCATACTATATCTTAAGGGAGACTGATAAAGAAAACTATACCAGAGAACAATAGTCCATGCACTGAAAGCCTTTATGATTCAGTCGACTATTTAAATTCATGTTGCAGAGCTTCTTGCTTATTCCCTATCTCCTCTAATTTCTTACATTCTCTATATAGATTTTGGGTTTTCTGATCTTTTCCTTCTCCATTATCCCCAGTGATAAAATTTACAACCACACTTTTCCTTTGTTTGTTTACTTTTAGCTAATATTCATGGCAAAATAAATTACACTATACTTGGAAGAAAAAAATTTTGGAAATCTTGCATTTGCCACTGGGTGTCTAAATTAATTACAATTCATAAATGATCAACAATTTCTTTCCGCATTGTCTATGATGTAAAAGCAACTTATTTATTTACCTAAATATCTAGTCTATTTTATTTAACTATATAAATTTATATTTAAAGTCAGTTATTTTTATTTGTTGAAAGTTTGTAAACATGTCTTATTTCTTATCATTAACAGTGCAAATTCTATTTTCCATCTCTTTATTTTTTTAATCTTTTTATTTTTGTGGATACATAGTAGGTGTATGTGTATATATTTATGAGGTACACAAGATATGCCCTATGTACCCCATAAATATATACACTTGCTTTGCAATAGGCATGCAACACATACTAATCACATTATGGAAAATGGGGTATCTATCCCCTCAGATTTTTATCCTTTGTGTTATAAACAATCCAATTATACTCTTTTAGCTATTTTAAATGTACCAGGTCTTATTCATTCTTTCTATTTTTTGAACCCATTAACCCATTTATGCCAAAGGTTACAATTTTTTTTTGTGAAAAATCAGACCTTGGCGATGACCTTGAGTAGTAGGATATAAATAACTCCCACAGCTTAGCATTCCAGTAATAGAACACTGGGCATAAATGGGTTAATCATACCACCTCCTCTGCACCCAGCTTCCCACTACCTTTCCCAGCCTCTGACAACCATCCTTCTACTCTCTTATCTCCATGAGTTCAATTGTTTTGATTTTTAGATCTTCAGGTAAGTAAGAACATGCGATGTTTGTCTTCCCTTGCCTGGCTTATTTCATGTAGCATAATGACTGCCAGATCCATCCATGTTGTTGTTGCAAATGACAGGATCTGATTCTTTTTCTGGCTGAATATTACTCTATTGTGTATAAGTATCACATTTTATTTATTTATTTATATGTTATGGACACTTGGGTTGCTTGCAAATCTTGGCTTTTGTGAACAGTGCTGCAACAAACATGGAAATGCAGGTATCTCTTCGATACACTGATTTCCTTTCTTTTGGGTATATACCCAGCAATGGGATTGCTGAATCCTATAGTAGCTCTATTTTTAGTTTTCTGAGGAACCTCCAAACTTTTTTCCATAGTAGTCGTACTAATTTACATTTCCACCAACAGCATAGGAGCATTTCCGTACCGTATACATCCTCTCCAGCATTTGTTATTGCCTGTCTTTGGATGAAAGACATTTTAAATGGGGTGAGATGGTATCTCATTGTAGTTTTCATTTGCATTTCTCTGATGATCAATGATGTTGAGCCCCATTTCATGTGCCTGTATGCCATTTGTATGTCTTATTTTCAGAAATGCCTATTTAAGTCTTTTGCTTGTTTTAAAATTAAATTTTTAGATTTTTTCCTGTAGAGTTGTTTGGGTTCCTTATATAGTTTGGTTATTAATTCCTTGTCAGATGGGGAGTTTGCAAACATTTTCTCTTATTCTGTGGGTTATCTCTTCATTTTGTTGACTGATTCCTTTGCTGTGCAAAAGTGTTTTAACTTGGTGTGATCCCATTTGTCCATTTTTGCTTTGGTTGCCTGTGCTTGCGGGGTATTGCTTAAGAAATTTTGCCAAAATCTCCTTAAGCTGATAAGCAACTTCAGCAAAGTCTCAGGATACAAAATCAATGTACAAAAATCACAAGCATTCTTATACACTAATAACAGATAAACAGAGGGCCAAATCATGAGTGAACTCCCATTCACAATTGCTTCAAAGAGAATAAAATACCTAGGAATCCAACTTACAAGGGACGTGAAGGACCTCTTCAAGGAGAACTACAAACCACTGCTCAATGAAATAAAAGAGGATACAAACAAATGGAAGAACATTCCATGCTCATGGGTAGGAAGAATCAATATCATGAAAATGGCCATACTGCCCAAGGTAATTTATAGATTCACTGCCATCCCCATCAAGCTACCAATGACTTTCTTCACAGAATTGGAAAAAACTACTTTAAAGTTCATATGGAACCAAAAAAGAGCCCGCATCGCCAAGTCAATCCTAAGCCAAAAGAACAAAGCTGGAGGCATCATGCTACCTGACTTCAAACTATACTACAAGGCTACAGTAACCAAAACAGCATGCTACTGGTACCAAAACAGAGATATAGATCAATGGAACAGAACAGAGCCCTCAGAAATAATGCCGCATATCTACAACTATCTGATCTTTGACAAACCTGAGAAAAACAAGCAATGGGGAAAGGTTTCCCTATTTAATAAATGGTGCTGGGAAAACTGGCTAGCCATATGGAGAAAGCTGAAACTGGATCCCTTCCTTACACCTTATACAAAAATTAATTCAAGATGGATTAAAGACTTAAACGTTAGACCTAAAACCATAAAAACCCTAGAAGAAAACCTAGGCATTACCATTCAGGACATAGGCATGGGCAAGGACTTCATGTCTAAAACACCAAAAGCAATGGAAACAAAAGCCAAAATTGACAAATGGGATCTAATTAAACTAAAGGGCTTCTGCACAGCAAAAGAAACTACCATCAGAGTGAACAGGCAACCTACAAAATGGGAGAAAATTTTTGCAACCTACTCATCTGACAAAGGGCTAATATCCAGAATCTACAATGAACTCAAACAAATTTGCAAGAAAAAAACAAACAACGCCATCAAAAAGTGGGCAAAGGACATGAACAAACACTTCTCAAAAGAAGACATATATGCAGCCAAAAAACACATGAAAAAATGCTCACCATCACTGGCCATCAGAGAAATGCAAATCAAAACCACAATGAGATACCATCTCACACCAGTTAGAATGGCAATCATTAAAAAGTCAGGAAACAACAGGTGCTGGAGAGGATGTGGAGAAATAGGAACACTTTTACACTGTTGGTGGGACTGTCAACTAGTTCAACCATTGTGGAAGTCAGTGTGGCGATTCCTCAGGGATCTAGAACTAGAAATACCATTTGACCCAGCCATCCCATTACTGGGTATATACCCAAAGGACTATAAATCATGCTGCTATAAAGACACATGCACACGTATGTTTATTGTGGCACTATTCACAATAGCAAAGACTTGGAACCAACCCAAATGTCCAACAATGATAGACTGGATTAAGAAAATGTGGCACATATACACCATGGAATACTATGCAGCCATAAAATATGATGAGTGCATGTCCTTTGTAGGGACATGGATGAAATTGGAAATCATCATTCTCAGTAAACTATCGCAAGAACAAAAAACCAAACACCGCATATTCTCACTCATAGGTGGGAATTGAACAATGAGAACACATGGACACAGGAAGGGGAACATCACACTCTGGGGACTGTTGTGGGGTGGGGGGAGGGGGGAGGGATAGCTTTAGGAGTTATACCTAATGCTAAATGACGAGTTAATGGGTGCAGCACACCAGCATGGCACATGTATACATATGTAACTAACCTGCACATTGTGCACATGTACCCTAAAACTTAAAGTACAATAATAATTTTAAAAAATTAACTCAAAAAAAAAATAAAAAGAGAAAATTTAAAAAAAAGAAATTTTGCCTAGTCCACTGTCCTGGAGAGTTTTCCCAATGTTTTCTCTTGGTAGTTTTATAGTTTGAGGTCTAACATTTAAGTCTTTAATCCATTTTGATTTTATTTTTGTGAGAGATAGGAATCTAGTTTTATTCCTCTATATATGCATATCCAATTTTTCTAGCATTCTTTATTGAAGTGACTGTCTTTTCTCCAACATGTTCTTGGAAACTGTCAAAAATGAGTTCACTATAGATGTGTGGATTTGTTTCTGGTGTTCTTGATTTTGTTCTGTTGGTCTATGTTTTTAAGCCAGTACGGTGCTATATTGGCTACTACAAGCTCTGTAGTATAATTTGAAGTCAGGTAATGTGATTATTTCAGTTTTGTTCTTTTTGCCCAGGGTAGGTTCGGCTATTCTGGATCTTCTGTGTTCCATATAAATTTTAGGATTGTTTTTTCTATTTCTAGGAAGAATGTCATTGGTATTTTGATAGGGATTGCATTGAATCTGTAGATTGGTCTGGGTAGTGTGAACACTTTAACAGTATTGATTCTTCCAATCCATGAACATGGAATATCTTTTCATTTTTTTGTGTCCTTTTCCATTTTTTTCATCAGTGTTTTATAGTTTTTATTGTAGAGATATTTCACTTATTTGAAATTTCTAGGTATTCAATTTTATTTGTGGCTAATGTACATGGGATTACTTGTTTGATTTCTTTTTCATATTGTTCACTGTTGACATATAGAAATACTACTGGTTTTTTCATGTTGATTTTGTATCCTGCAACTTACTGAATTCATTTAGATAGTTTTTTGATGGGGTCTTTAGGTTTTTCCAAATGTAAGATCATATAATCTGCAAACAAGGAAATTTGACTTCTTTCTTTCCAATTTGGATGCCCTTTATTTTTTTTTCTTGTCTGATTTCTCTAGCTAGGACTTCCAGTACTATGTTAAATAACAGTGGTAAAAGTGGGTATTTTTGTTTTGTTCCATATATTAGAGGAAAGATTTTCAGTTTGTCCCTGTACAGTATGATACTAGCCGTGGGTCTGTTGTATCTAGCTTTTATGTGTTGAGGCATGTTCCTTCAGTACCTAGTTATTTGACAGTTTTATCATGAAGGGATGTTAAATGTAATCAAATGCTTTTTCAGCATTAATTGAAATGATCATATGGTTTTTGTCCTTCATTTTGTTGATATGATGTATCACATTGATTGATTTGCATATGTTGAATTATCCTTGCATACCTGGGATAAATCTCACTTGGTCATCAGTGTATTGTTGAATTTAGGTTGCTAGTATTTTGTTGAGGATTTTTGCATGAATAATCATCAGAGATATTGGCCTGTAGTTTTCTGTTTTTGATGTGTCTTTGTCTGGTTTAGCTATCAGGGTATCACTAGCCTCACAGAATGAGTTTGGAAGTATTCCGTCCTCCTCTATTTTTCAGAATAGTTTGAGTAGGATTGGTATTAGGTGTTCTTTAAATGTATGGTAAAATTCAGCTGTGAAGCTATCAGGTCCTGACCTTTCCTTTACTGTGAGACTTTTTATTATGACTTCAATTTCATTACTTGTTATTTTTCTGTTCAGATTTTGGATTTCTTCATGGTTCAATCTTGGTAGGTTGTATGTGTCTAGGAATTTGTCTATTTCTGCTAGATTTTCCAATTTACTGGCATATAGTTCCTCATGATAGCCACTAATTATCCTTTGAATTTTTGCAATATCAGTTGTAATATCTCCTTTTTAATCCCTGATTTTATTTTATTATATATGTTATATTTATATATTGTATAAATATACATTTTATATAAAATCATATATGTTATATAAAATTATAATATATTTTATGTATATTATATTTATATAGATATAAATATATATTTATGTATATATTTTATATATTTTTTTTGAGATAGGGTCTCACTCTGTCATCCAGGTAGAGTGCAGTGGTGCAATCAGAGCTCACTGCAGCCTTGACCTTCTGGGATCAAGAGAGCCTCCCAACTCAGGCTCCTGAGTAGCTGGGACTACAGGCATGTGCCACCATGCCTAGCTAGTATTTTGTATTTTTAGTAGAGATGAAGTCTCGCCATTTTGCCCAGGCTGGTCTTGAACTCCTGGGCTCAAGCAATTTGCCCACCACAGCCTCCTGAAGTGCCGGGATTACAGGCATGAGCCAGCACTCCCAACCTGGTTTTATTTATTAGGGTCTTCTCCCTTTTTTTTTCTTTGTTAGTTGAACTAGAGGTTTGTCAATTTTGTTTATCTTTTCAAAAAAACAACTTTTTGTTTCATTGACTTTTGTGTTGTTTTCCTCATTTCAAATTCATTTATTTCTGCTCTGATCTTTATTATTTCTTTTCTTCTACTAATTTTGAGTTCAGTTTGCTCTTGCATTTCTAATTCTTTAAGATGCATCATTAGGTTTTTTTAATTGAAGTTTTTATTCTTTTTTGATGTAGGCACTTACAGCTGTATATTTTCCTCTTAGTATTGCTTCTGCTGTATCCCATAGGTTGTGGTATGTTGTGTTTTCATTATCTTTTTTTTCAAGAAATTTTGCAATTTTCTTAATTCCTTCATGGACTTACTTGTCAGGCAGGAGCATATTGTTTAATTTCCATGTGTTTGTATAGTGTCCAAAATTCCTCTTGTTATTAATTTATAGTTTTATTCCATTATGGTCAAAAATGCTGTATATTATTTCAGTTTTTTGAGTATTTTAAGACTTGTTTTGTGACCTAACATATAGTCTATCCTTGAGAATGATCCATGTGCTGAGCAGAACTATGTATATTCTGCAGCCAGTGGATGGAATGTTCTGTAAATAACTATTAGGTCCATTTGTTCTATAGCGCAGATGAAGTCCGATGTTTCCTTCTTGATTTTCCATCTGAGAGATCTGTCCAATGCTGAAAGTGGGGTGTTGAAGTCTCCAGCTATTATGTATTGGGCCCTATCTCTCTCTTTAGCTCTAATAATATTTGCTTTACATATCTGGGCACTCCAGTATTGGGTACATATATATTTACAATTGTTATATCCTCTTGCAGAATTGACCCCTTTATCATTATATAATGACCTTCTTTGTCTCTTTTTATAGCTTTTATCTTGAAATCTGTTTTGTCTGATATAAGTATGACTCTCCTGCTGTTTTTTGGTTTTCATTGGCATGGAATATCTTTTTCCATCCCTTTATTTTCAGTCTATGTGTATCTTTATAGGTGAAGTGTGTTTCTTATAGACAACAAATAATTTGGTCTTATTTTTACATCCATTCAGTCACTTTATGTCTTTTGATTGTGGAGTTTAGTCCATTTTCCATTCAATGTTATCATTGATAAGTAGAAATTGCGGAGTTTAGTCCATTTTCCATTCAATGTTATCACTGATAAGTACAGACTTACTCTTGCCATTTTTAGATTTGTTTTCTGGTTGTTTCATGGTCTTCTCTTCCTTCTTTCCTTCCTTCTTGTATTTCTTTTAGTGAAGGTGATTTTCTCTGGTGATACAATTTAATAGCTCATTTTATATTTTTGTGTATTTGTTCTAAGTTTCTTGATTTGAGGTTACAATGAGGCTTGCAAATATTATCTTACAACTCGTTATTTAAAACTGATGACAACTTAACACTGATTATATAAACAAACAGACAAAAAGAAAACTAATTAAAACTCTATACTTTAACTTCATCCCCTCAATTTTTAACTTTTGTTGTTTCTCTTTATGTCTTACTGTACTGCCTATGTCTTGAAAATTTGTTGTAGTTATTGTTTCTGATTGATTCATCATTTCTTCTTCCTACTTAAGAATAGTTTACACACTATAATTACAGTGTTACAATATGCTATGTTTTCATGTGTGCTTACTGTTACCATTGAGTTTTGTACCTTTCAATGATTTCTTCTTGCTCATTAACATCTTTTTCTTTCAGAATGAAGAACTCCCATTAGCATTTCTTGTAAGACAGGTGTGGTGGTGATGAAATTCTTCACCCCTAGTTTGTCTCAGAAGGTCTTTATTTCTCCTGCATGCTTGAAGGATATTTTACCAGATATATCACTTTAGGGTAAAAGTTTTTTTTTTTATTTAGCATTTTTAATATGTCATGCTCCTCTTCTCCTGGAGTGTGAGGTTTCCACTGAAAAATCTGCTGCCAGACCTATTGCAGCTCCATTGTATGTTATTCCATCCTTTTCTCTTGCTGCTTTTAGGGTCCTTTCCTTATTCTTGACCTTTGGGAGCTTGATTATTGAATACCTTGAGTTAGTCTTCTTTGAGATAAACCTGCTTGGTGTTCAATAACCTTCTTGTACTTGAATGTTGGTATCTTCTCCAGGTTTGAGAAATTCTTGATATCATCCCTTTGAATAAACTTTCTACCCCATCTCTTTTTGTTTTTGTTTTTTTGTTTTTTTGTTTTTTGTTTTTTTGAGGCGGAGTCTCACTTTGTCGCCCAGGCTGGAGTACAGTGGCGTGATCTCGGCTCACCGCAACCTCCGTCTCCCAGGTTCATGCCATTCTTCTGCCTCAGCCTCCCGAGTAGCTGGGACTACAGACGCCCACCACCACGCTCGGCTAATTTTTTGTATTTTTTAGTAGAGACGGGGTTTCACCGTGTTAGCCAGGATGGTCTTGATCGCCTGATCTCGTGATCTGCCCGCCTCGGCCTCCCAAAGTGCTGGGATTACAAACATGAGCCACTGCGCCCGGCTTACCCTCATCTCTTTATCTGCATCCTCTTTAAGGCCAATATCTCTTAGATTACCCTTTTGAGGTTATTTCGTAGATCCTGTAGGCATGCTTCATTCTGTTTTATTCTTTTCTTTCTTTTGTATCCTCTGACTGTATGTTTTCAAATAGCATGTCTTCAAGTTTACTAATTCTTTCTTGATCAATTTTGCTATTAAGAGACTGATACAGTTTTCAGCATATCAATTGCCTTTTTCAACTATAGAATTTCTGCTTCTTTTTCATTATTTCGAGCTCTTTGTTAAATTTATCTGATAAAATTCTGAATTCTTTCTCTGTGTTACCTTGAATTTCTTTCGAGTTTGCTTAAAACAGCTGTTTTGAATACTCTGTCTGGAAGGTCATATATCTGTTTCTCCAGGATTGATCTCTGGTGCCTCATTTAGTTCATTTGGTGAAGTAAGATTTTCCTGGATGGTGTTGATGCTCGTAGATGTTCTTCAGTGTCTGGGCATTAAATAATTGGGTATTTATTATAGTCTTCACAGTCTGGGCTTATTTGCGCCTGTCCTTCTTGAGAATGCTTTCCAGGTATTCAAAGGGACTTGGGCTCCAAGCCTAACACTGTGGTTTTTGCAGACTCGTAGAGCTACCACCTTGGTGGTCTTGGATAAGATTTTGAAGAGTTATCTGGATTACCAAGCAGAGACTCTTGTTCTTTTTCCTTACTTTCTCCCAAACAAATGTAGTCTCTCTCTGTCTGTACTGAGGTGCTGGAACTGGGATGTAGTGATGCAAGCACCCCTGTGGTCACTACCACTGGGACTGCACTGGCTTAGATCTGATGCTATCCCAGCACTGGGTCTTGCCCAAGGCCTGTTGTAACCACTTACCAGGCTGCCATCTGTGTTCACTCAAAGCTCAATGTCTCTATGATCAACCAGTGGTGAAGCTAACCAGCTTTGTGTTCTTCCCTCAAGGCAGCAAGTTCCTCCAGACCCCAGGCAGGTTCAGAGATGTATCTTGGAGCCGGGGATTGGAGTCAAAAACTTTAGAAATTTACCTGATGTTCCATTTTACTGTGGTTAAGCTGGCACTCACACCACAATACAAAGTCCTTCCCACTCTTCTCTCCGCTTTTCACAGGCAGAGGAGCCTTTCTGTGTGGCCACCACCATCAGCAGCCCATGGGAGGTTCTGCCAGGCCACTGCTGATGTTCACTTAAAGCCCAAGGGCTCTTTGTTTGCTTGTGGTGAATGCTGCCAGGCCTGGGACTAACTCTTCAGGGAAGTGAGCTCCTCTCTGACCCAGGGAAAGTCCAGAAATGCTGTCCAAGAGCCTAGGCCTGGACTCAGGGACCCCCAGAAACTGCTTGTCGCTTTACCTCACTGTGGCTGAGCTGATACCTAAGGCAAGGTGCAAGACAAAGTCCTCTTTACTTTTCCCTCTTTCTCAAACACAAGGAGTCTTTCACTGTAGCCACCACAACTGAGAATGTCTTGGGTCACACCCTAAAGTGAGCACATCTCAGAGCCCAAAGCCAATGGCATACTACTTGGGTATCATTGGTGGTTATTCAGGACCCAAGGGCTCTTCAGTCAGCAGCAATGAATCCTGCCAGGACTAGGACCTTCTCATCAAGGCAGCTGGTTCCATTTTGGATTGGGGTGTGTCTAGAAATGTCAGTGAGCTAGGGCCTAGAATGAGGGCCGCACCATTCTGTGCAGTGCTCTCTCCTACTGTGACTGAGCTGGTATCCAAGATACAGACAAAGTCCTCTTTACTCTTAGCTCTCCTCTGTATAAGTAGAAGGAAGGAGTCACTTTCATTGCTACTAGCTGCACTGATTAGGCTGGGGGAGTGGCGGCACAAGCACTCCCTTAGCCACCCTGGCTGGTATCTTCCTAGGTAACATGTCACCTGAGTCTACTGGCTCTGAGCCCAGCCTAGCTCTAGGAGTTGCCTAGGAATTGCAGTCCCTGTGGCCTAGACTGCTTTCAGGTTTACCTGGAACCCCAGAGCACTTTGACCTGTGGCGGTGAGACTTTCTAAGAAACTCAAGCTCTGACTGCTAGGATAGGTGATTTCCCTCTGGCTAGTCTGGTCCAAATGCTCCCTCCATGCACAGGCACTGGCTGAGTGCAGCACAGCTTTGCTCTCTGTGACAAGGCAGCACTGAGTTCAATGTAAAGTCCCCCATCTGCTGTGCTGTCTCTCCCCCAAGTGCACAGACTTTCCGTGCCGTAAGGCTGCTGCCAGGGGATGTGGGAGGGTTGGTGTTGGTGACTCAAGACTGTCTCTCCTACCCTCTTCAATGCCTCTTTTCAGTTATATGAAGTTAAAACCAGGTAGTGTGATTATTCACCTGATTTTTGGTTCTTGTGACAGTGATTTTCTGTGTGCAAACAGTTGTTAATATTTGATATTCTTGGGATGGGGGACAGGGAGACACATGCTATAGGCTTCTATTCTTCCATCTTGCCCTTTCCTTCTTTCCTTCTTTCCTTCCTTCCTTCTTTCCTTCCTTCCTTCCTTCCTTCCTTCCTTCCTTCCTTCCTTCCTTCTCTCTCTCTCTCCTTCCTCCCTCCCCTCCCTTTCCCTCCCCTCCCCTCCCCTCCCTTGGCTATGGTTACAGTTTTGAACAAGGAAAGAAAGCCTTCTTGCATTTGCTTTTAATTCACAGGCATTTGCCTAATTATATTTCTAGTTTTACAATTAACATTATATTTTTGCAATCGTTTAAAGCATAAACATACATTGATCTCCTCCTAGCAAAGCATACAATTTTTAAATCTCACCTTCCCAGCATATTAGTAATGGAACAAGGTGACACTCTGTACCTCTCCTGATATGCTATATTGAAAAGGATAACTTTTTTATAACGTGTGTCACCTGAATCTAATCTCAAAGAAACATCAAACAAACCTAAATTGAAGGACATACTGCAAAATAAATGGCAAGTTCTTTAAAAAAATTTCAAGTTCATGAAAGACAAGAAAATATTAGGAACTAAAGAGGCATGAACATTAAATGCAATGCAGCCAGGTGCAGTGGCTCATGCCTGTAAGCCCAACACTTCGGGAGGCCAAGGCAGGTGGGTCACTTGAGGCCAGGAATTCAAGACCAGCCTAGCCAACATAGTGAAACTCCATCTCTACTAAAAATACAAAATAATAGCTGGGCATGGTGGTTCGCACCTGTAATCCCAGCTACTCAGGAGGCTGCGGCATGAGAATCTCTTGAACCTGGGAGGCAGAGGTTGCAGTGGAGAGCTCAGATCTCACCACTGCATTCTAGCCTCGGTGACAGAGTGAGACTCTGTCTCAAAAAAAAAAAAAAATTAATGCAATGTATAATGCTGGGCTCTCAATAACTTTTCTATAAAGGACATTTTGGGGGCCATTAGTGAAGTTTAAGAAAGGTTTATAAATTAGATAAAATATATTCATATTATTTTCCGATTTCAATAACTGTACTATGGTTATAACAATGAAAATTTCCTCATTTTGGTAACTGTACTTTCATAACTGTCCTTGATCCCAGGAAAAATACACTAAAATATTTAGGAGTTAGAAAAAACTTTACAGTTTTTGAGATCCCTCATGTATAACTCCTTCATGATCTAGCAGCTCCAACTTGCCTCTTGGATTTCTCAGAACTCATATCCTACCTGCCACTTCCTTTTATTAGTATTCAACAACCTTGGCTTTCTTTTTGCTCCTCAAAGATTCCAAGCTTGTTCTACTTTCAAACCTTTGTACTTGCTGTTTTCTCTGCTTACAGCATTCTCCTCCCAGACCTGTACATGCTGGCTTCTTGTCATCATTGGGCCCTAACTCAAAAGTGACACTTTAACACCTCATCTCACAGCAGCAGTTTTTTATTATTCAGACAAAAGTAGTTCTCCATACATTATCAATTACATTAACCTGTTTTCTTATCTTCATGTGACTTATCACTATCTTAATGTATGTTGTTTAAGTATTGCCTGTTACTTCCCTCATCCCACACTCTTCTGTTCCTACCTATCTGGAATGTAGGTCCATATAGCCAGACCTTGTCTGTTCTGATGACTTCCATAATCCCTTTGTCTAGAACAATAGCAGGTGCTCAGTAATATTCGTTGAATGGATGGATACATTTATATGTACAAAGAACTAGAGATGAATAGCAGCAGCAAAGAAATCAGTTGTTGGAAGTGATGTTATGGATAACCAAAAAATTTATTTAATTCAATAGCCAGTTGATTTTATGATAGCAAAGTGCCTATGACCCCAAAAAAGTTAACACCTAAAGTGCTGTCTGTTGTAACAGTAGCAGTAACTGGTTATAGCTACCTAAAGCCAAGAACCTGAAGGGATAGGACATGCATAAGGCTTAGGGAGAACAGAGTTTTCAAATTTAACTTGTATTACAGTTAAGGGAGAACATCTGAAATACAAACTTGACTGTTTAACAGAGCAATAGATACATCCCTGAGATAGAAGCAGTCTCCAGGCTGGTGGAAAGAGGCCATTCACATACTTTTAGAACAACCCATTGGCCTGAGGGCCTATACTAATGAAAAATTTCACATTCCAATTTGTTTTTTGTCTGTGAAGTGGGTATGTCATTATTTAAGACATGCTGGAGATGAGCTAAGGCAAGCATTTGTTTAATAAAGGCCCTAAGTAACAACGTTCCTCATTTCATCTTCTTCTGACCTTTTCAAAGACATCCTTCAAAGCTGTTCTCTCTGAGGCTGTATTTACCCCATATTAAATGTCTCTCTGAGTAAATTATTTGGGTAAGGGCCAGTCTTCGTGGTGTACTTGCTAATGCAAGACTTTGGAACTATATAAATGACAGGTCTCCTTTGTACAATTGGTTGGAGAAACAACCACCACTCTGACCCCTGGGTGGCAGGAACCATTTTCCATTCTTCGTGTTTTTTTTTTTTTTTTGTAGGAATTTGTATGGAGCTGGGCTTCATTAGACTCTTTTAAATGTACAAAAATGCCAACCACACTTTGCAGACATGATGTTTTCAGGCACTGTAAGTTCAAAAATACCCTTTATTCTTTCCAATTCAGTAAGAAGGCTGTTCCCCATGGAGGTCTAGCCACAAAGCAGGTTTGAAGTGTTCTTTTGTTTGACTTATGTGGAGTTACCGGTGAACTAGTTATAGAAGCCCCTCCACCTTTTTCTCTATATTTGGGGTGAGGAAATTGAATGAGAAGAACAAAGCTAAAGTTGTCTTCCTTTCACTCTTTCTTATGTCCAAAGGATTAGATTTTACTTAGATTTACACAAATACAGAAACTGATTTTCACCTTGATGATAAAAATAAAAGAAAAATGAGTGTGTACAGATTAGATTTATTGGCTGAAAAAAAAAACCTTTTGATTGTGTGGTGAGACTGTTTGTATTCTAGTAGAAGTACCTATCCACCTGAAACAATAAGCACAGGATTTTACCTGTGCAACAGTGTGGTGATTTATAAATTATTTTTGGTTTAGCTCAATATTATACTCAGTTTTACACAAAGCAGAGATAATAATGCGCATATTTTCCCATGCTGTTCGGGAGACAGGTAACTTTTAACTGTTACATATCTGAGACAGCATGGAAACTATTGAGAACGGGGTAATTTCATATAGCCATTGTCACTTTATACATGTTGAAAAATAACGTTGATAATAAGTGGAAAACTTGAACTAGAAATCAAGTAACAGAAAAAGGAATTCAATAAAATGAGTATGGAATTATACATCAGAAAACTTTGACTCATGGCTCTGTTTCTCTCTAGCTGTGGAATGTCAGGCAAATCTTATGTTCTCTATAGACCTTTATTCAAACATTCACTCAGTAGACAATATAAGAAAAAGGTATGAAATTATTTTGAAAAGAAATAAGTGCTATAATATAGAGGGACTAAAGGAGTTGTTCAGTTAAGTAGAAGTGTCTCTGCAACACAACTGCGTTTGTTTTATAGAGATATTTTTATGTGAGGCAATTGCCGTTTAAGAGGTATTTTGGTCAAATATTTGAAACTTACATATAAGGTAAACAAACCCTTATTTGGAAAATAGTTCCTTATAAGGAAAAAGTCCACCTATTTTTCCTTCTTTTTCTTTTATAGCAGATGTGCTAAACATATAGTCTGTACTCACTGCTTCTACTTTCTCAGCGCATTCCCATTCCTCAACATTAGGCAGTCTGGCTACCACTTCCATCACTATTCTTCATTTTCTTGAAACTCATCAGTCATCATCTGATTGTTAAATCTAACAGCCTTTTGTTAAGGCTTTGTACTTTGTATCTACAATAGCATTGCATTTGCTCCCTCCTCCAAGTTCTAATGCCAGTCTCCCTCCCCCTCAGTCAATTCCAGCATTCATTATATCTTCATGTTCTAAAAGGAAAAACAATGATAAGTTGTGGGAAAATGATATAACATGAAACACAATGCTATAAGTTGTGAAACATAAGATAGTCTCTTTGTTCTATAACAATAAAAAATTTGCAGAATATTTATTGATAGAAACTCAGAAAAAGAAGGAACTATGAGTGCCATCTTGTGGCAAAGCATGCCCTATCACATCTGCTTTGACATACCTCATCACCCCTGCAAATATTTTGGCTGTTTTGCCTGTCTCTGTGTCATTTGACACTGAAGGCCACTGTTTTTTGAAGCTTTTTCTTATCTCTAATCTTTTAGTCACTGCAGTAATACTCAGTCATCATCTTTTACACATCTTTTTCATTTTTCAAAATTCAATTTTATATCACATTATTTTTCTTTTTATTTTAATTGACAAATTATAATTATGTATGATAAATATACATACATACTGACCACACTCCAGTACAATGTGATATTTTGATCTGTGTACACATTGTAGAAATATTCAGTAAAGCTAACATATCCATCACCTCATCAACTTATGATTTTTTTGTGGTGAGAACATTAATCTATTCTTTTAGCGATTTTGAAATACACATTGTTATCAATTGTGGTCAGCATGCAGTACAATGGATCACCAAAACTTAATCCTCTGCTCTGAGAGTTTGTACCCTTTGATCAACATATTCCCTTTCCTCATCCCTCCTTCTCCCTCCCAGCCTCTGGTAACCTCCTTTCTAATTTGTTTCTATGAGATCGACTTTTTTAGATTCCACATATAAGTGAGATCATACAGTATTTGTCTCTTTGTGCCTGGCTTATTTCACTTAGCATAATGCCCTCCAGTTCCACCTTCTGAGTTTATATCCAAAGGAATTGAAATTGGCATATTGAAGAGATATCTGCATTCCTGTATTCCTTGCAGCATTATTTACAATAGCCAAGGTATGGAATCAACTTATTTGTCTATCAAGGAATGAATAAATAAAATGTGGCACATATACACAATGGAATATTATTCAGTCTTCTAAAAATAGGAAATTCTGTCAGTCACTTCATTATTTTGAAAGCCACCTCCTTCTTTGTATCTCAATGCTATTACTTTATCTTGGTTCATGGATCATTCTCTGACTTTCTCTCATCTCTTATTGACAATTCCACTTACTTCTCTCCTGACCACTGAGACTCTATCCTGACTCAGCCTTTAGTAGAGCTGACAAATAAACACAGGACACTCAGTTAAATTTGAATTTTAAATAAACAACAAATAATTTGTTAGCATAATTGTGATTCAACTATTACGTGGGAATATTTATATTAATAACTCACTTTGCTATTTATCTGAAATTTAAATTTGAATGGGTGTCTTATATTTATACTTGCTAAATCTGGCAACTCTAGCCATTAGCCTTCTTTTCCCCATTTGTGGTAGATATGGAGATATACTGCTCATATTTCCCTTAAAAAAAGTACTTGCCATCCAGCTATAAGAAATGAGGTCAATAGACAGCTTCCGGCTGTCATCTCCTTTAGGATCTGCCTTATCTGCAGAGAGTAGCCTCATCCAAGGTCAGCCCTACTCAAGACAGCCCACATCAGTGACTGAATGAGATGGGGCTATAAAGGTCCAACTATTTGGGTCTATTTCAGGACAACTCTGACAGGCAGCATTTACTTCACAGTTTTCTACCAGTTTGGCTGAGGTATTTCCAGCCTGCATTGCAATTTGACTTCTTTCTCTAACCAGTCTGCTTCCTTTCAAAGTTGTCGATCCTTAATAAACACCCAGACTCTTACTCAGGATTTGCTCTTGAAAAACCCATCCTGCAACATTCATCCTCTCAAGGAACTCATTCTTATGATTTCAACTACGACTGTTCCAACTATGTTAATGTGTCCCAAGCATGTGTCTCTGGATCTCTCATACTAGCATTCACAGTTCCCCGTAGTACTTCTCCACTTAAGGTCTGACCATTTTTTACACACAGCTAAAGTTACCATCTTTATATTCATTTATCCAACAAATATCTATTGAATGTCTGCCATGTTCCAAGCCCTGTATCACCGGGCTGTAACAAACCAAACAGATACAAATTTCTGTCCTCATGGAGCTTACATTCTACTGGGGAAGAGAGATAATAACATAAATAGGTAAAATTTACTGTAAGTTATAGAGTGACAAGTGCTAAAAAGAAAAAAAAAGTGAGAAGGATAAGAAGTGGATATAGGAGGAGGAGCCAAGATGGCCGAATAGGAACAGCTCCGGTCTACAGCTCCCAGCGTGAGCGACGCAGAAGACGGGTGATTTCTGCATTTCCATCTGAGGTACCGGGTTCACCTCACTAGGGAGTGCCAGACAGTGGGTGCAGGCCAGTGTGTGTGCGCACCGTGCTCGAGCCGAAGCAGGGCGAGGCATTGCCTCACCTGGGAAGCGCAAGGGGTCAGGGAGTTCCCTTTCCGAGTCAAAGAAAGGGGTGACGGACGCACCTGGAAAATCGGGTCACTCCCACCCAAATATTGCGCTTTTCAGACCGGCTTAAGAAACAGCGCACCACGAGACGATATCCCACACCTGGCTCAGAGGGTCCTACGCCCACGGAATCTCGCTAATTGCTAGCACAGCAGTCTGAGATCAAACTGCAAGGCGGCAACGAGGCTGGGGGAGGGGCGCCTGCCATTGCCCAGGCTTGCTTACGTAAACAAAGCAGCCGGGAAGCTCGAACTGGGTGGAGCCCACCACAGCTCAAGGAGGCCTGCCTGCCTCTGTAGGCTCCATCTCTGGGGGCAGGGCACAGACAAACAAAAAGACAGCAGTAACCTCTGCAGACTTAAGTGTCCCTGTCTGACAGCTTTGAAGAGAGCAGTGGTTCTCCCAGCACGCAGCTGGAGGTCTGAGAACGGGCAGACTGCCTCCTCAAGTGGGTCCCTGACCCCTGACCCCCGAGCAGCCTAACTGGGAGGCACCCCCCAGCAGGGGCACACTGACACCTCACACGGCAGGGTATTCCAACAGACCTGCAGCTGAGGGTCCTGTCTGTTAGAAGGAAAACTAACAACCAGAAAGGACATCTACACCGAAAACCCATCTGTACATCACCACCATCAAAGACCAAAAGTAGATAAAACCACAAAGATGGGGAAAAAACAGAACAGAAAAACTGGAAACTCTAAAACGCAGAGCGCCTCTCCTCCTCCAAAGGAACGCAGTTCCTCACCAGCAACAGAACAAAGCTGGATGGAGAATGATTTTGACGAGCTGAGAGAAGAAGGCTTCAGACGATCAAATTACTCTGAGCTACGGGAGGACATTCAAACCAAAGGCAAAGAAGTTGAAAACTTTGAAAAAAATTTAGAAGAATGTATAACTAGAATAACCAATACAGAGAAGTGCTTAAAGGAGCTGATGGAGCTGAAAACCAAGGCTCGAGAACTACGTGAAGAATGCAGAAGCCTCAGGAGCCGATGCGATCAACTGGAAGAAAGGGTATCAGCAATGGAAGATGAAATGAATGAAATGAAGCGAGAAGGGAAGTTTAGAGAAAAAAGAATAAAAAGAAATGAGCAAAGCCTCCAAGAAATATGGGACTATGTGAAAAGACCAAATCTACGTCTGATTGGTGTACCTGAAAGTGATGTGGAGAATGGAACCAAGTTGGAAAACACTCTGCAGGATATTATCCAGGAGAACTTCCCCAATCTAGCAAGGCAGGCCAACGTTCAGATTCAGGAAATACAGAGAACGCCACAAAGATACTCCTCGAGAAGAGCAACTCCAAGACACATAATTGTCAGATTCACCAAAGTTGAAATGAAGGAAAAAATGTTAAGGGCAGCCAGAGAGAAAGGTCGGGTTACCCTCAAAGGAAAGCCCATCAGACTAACAGCGGATCTCTCGGCAGAAACCCTACAAGCCAGAAGAGAGTGGGGGCCAATATTCAACATTCTTAAAGAAAAGAATTTTCAACCCAGAATTTCATATCCAGCCAAACTAAGCTTCATAAGTGAAGGAGAAATAAAATACTTTATAGACAAGCAAATGCTGAGAGATTTTGTCACCACCAGGCCTGCCCTAAAAGAGCTCCTGAAGGAAGCGCTAAACATGGAAAGGAACAACCGGTACCAGCCGCTGCAAAATCATGCCAAAATGTAAAGACCATCGAGACTAGGAAGAAACTGCATCAACTAATGAGCAAAATCACCAGCTAACATCATAATGACAGGATCAAATTCACACATAACAATATTAACTTTAAATATAAATGGACTAAATTCTGCAATTAAAAGACACAGACTGGCAAGTTGGATAAAGAGTCAAGACCCATCAGTGTGCTGTATTCAGGAAACCCATCTCACGTGCAGAGACACACATAGGCTCAAAATAAAAGGATGGAGGAAGATCTACCAAGCAAATGGAAAACAAAAAAAGGCAGGGGTTGCAATCCTAGTCTCTGATAAAACAGACTTTAAACCAACAAAGATCAAAAGAGACAAAGAAGGCCATTACATAATGGTAAAGGGATCAATTCAACAAGAGGAGCTAACTATCCTAAATATTTATGCACCCAATACAGGAGCACCCAGATTCATAAAGCAAGTCCTGAGTGACCTACAAAGAGACTTAGACTCCCACACATTAATAATGGGAGACTTTAACACCCCACTGTCAACATTAGACAGATCAATGAGACAGAAAGTCAACAAGGATACCCAGGAATTGAACTCAGCTCTGCACCAAGCAGACCTAATAGACATCTACAGAGCTCTCCACCCCAAATCAACAGAATATACATTTTTTTCAGCACCACACCACACCTATTCCAAAATTGACCACATAGTTGGAAGTAAAGCTCTCCTCAGCAAATGTAAAAGAACAGAAATTATAACAAACTATCTCTCAGACCACAGTGCAATCAAACTAGAACTCAGGATTAAGAATCTCACTCAAAGCCGCTCAACTACATGGAAACTGAACAACCTGCTCCTGAATGACTACTGGGTACATAACGAAATGAAGGCAGAAATAAAGATGTTCTTTGAAACCAACGAGAACAAAGACACCACATACCAGAATCTCTGGGACGCATTCAAAGCAGTGTGTAGAGGGAAATTTATAGCACTAAATGCCCACAAGAGAAAGCAGGAAAGATCCAAAATTGACACCCTAACATCACAATTAAAAGAACTAGAAAAGCAAGAGCAAACACATTCAAAAGCTAGCAGAAGGCAAGAAATAACTAAAATCAGAGCAGAACTGAAGGAAATAGAGACACAAAAAACCCTTCAAAAAATCAATGAATCCAGGAGCTGGTTTTTTGAAAGGATCAACAAAATTGATAGACCGCTAGCAAGACTAATAAAGAAAAAAAGAGAGAAGAGTCAAATAGACACAATAAAAAATGATAAAGGGGATATCACCACCGATCCCACAGAAATACAAACTACCATCAGAGAATACTACAAACACCTCTATGCAAATAAACTAGAAAATCTAGAAGAAATGGATACATTCCTCGACACATACACTCTCCTAAGACTAAACCAGGAAGAAGTTGACTCTCTGAATAGACCAATAACAGGCTCTGAAATTGTGGCAATAATCAATAGTTTACCAACCAAAAAGAGTCCAGGACCAGATGGATTCACAGCCGAATTCTACCAGAGGTACAAGGAGGAACTGGTACCATTCCTTCTGAAACTATTCCAATCAATAGAAAAAGAGGGAATCCTCCCTAACTCATTTTATGAGGCCAGCATCATTCTGATACCAAAGCCGGGCAGAGACACAACCAAAAAAGAGAATTTTAGACCAATATCCTTGATGAACATTGATGCAAAAATCCTCAATAAAATACTGGCAAAACAAATCCAGCAGCACATCAAAAAGCTTATCCACCATGATCAAGTGGGCTTCATCCCTGGGATGCAAGGCTGGTTCAATATACGCAAATCAATAAATGTAATCCAGCATATAAACAGAGCCAAAGACAAAAACCACATGATTATCTCAATAGATGCAGAAAAGGCCTTTGACAAAATTCAACAACCCTTCATGCTAAAAACTCTCAATAAATTAGGTATTGATGGGATGTATTTCAAAATAATAAGAGCTATCTATGACAAACCCACAGCCAATATCATACTGAATGGGCAAAAACTGGAAGCATTCCCTTTGAAAACTGGCACAAGACAGGGATGCCCTCTCTCACCACTCCTATTCAACATAGTGTTGGAAGTTCTGGCCAGGGCAATCAGGCAGGAGAAGGAAATAAAGGGTATTCAATTAGGAAAAGAGGAAGTCAAATTGTCCCTGTTTGCAGACGACATGATTGTTTATCTAGAAAACCCCATTGTCTCAGCCCAAAATCTCCTTAAGCTGATAAGCAACTTCAGCAAAGTCTCAGGATACAAAATCAATGTACAAAAATCACAAGCATTCTTATACACCAACAACAGACAAACAGAGAGCCAAATCATGAGTGAACTCCCATTCACAATTGCTTCAAAGAGAATAAAATACCTAGGAATCCAACTTACAAGGGATGTGAAGGACCTCTTCAAGGAGAACTACAAACCACTGCTCAAGGAAATAAAAGAGGACACAAACAAATGGAAGAACATTCCATGCTCATGGGTAGGAAGAATCAATATCGTGAAAATGGCCATACTGCCCAAGGTAATTTACAGATTCAATGCCATCCCCATCAAGCTACCAATGACTTTCTTCACAGAATTGGAAAAAACTACTTTAAAGTTCATATGGAACCAAAAAAGAGCCCGCATCGCCAAGTCAATCCTAAGCCAAAAGAACAAAGCTGGAGGCATCACACTACCTGACTTCAAACTATACTACAAGGCTACAGTAACCAAAACAGCATGGTACTGGTACCAAAACAGAGATATAGATCAATGGAACAGAACAGAGCCCTCAGAAATAATGCCGCATATCTACAACTATCTGATCTTTGACAAACCTGAGAAAAACAAGCAATGGGGAAAGGATTCCCTATTTAACAAATGGTGCTGGGAAAACTGGCTAGCCATATGTAGAAAGCTGAAACTGGATCCCTTCCTTACACCTTATACAAAAATCAATTCAAGATGGATTAAAGATTTAAACGTTAGACCTAAAACCATAAAAACCCTAGAAGAAAACCTAGGCATTACCATTCAGGACATAGGCGTGGGCAAGGACTTCATGTCCAAAACACCAAAAGCAATGGCAACAAAAGCCAAAATTGACAAATGGGATCTAATTAAACTAAAGAGCTTCTGCACAGCAAAAGAAACTACCATCAGAGTGAACAGGCAACCTACAACATGGGAGAAAATTTTCGCAACCTACTCATCTGACAAAGGGCTAATATCCAGAATCTACAATGAACTCAAACAAATTTACAAGAAAAAAACAAACAACCCCATCAAAAAGTGGGCGAAGGACATGAACAGACACTTCTCAAAAGAAGACATTTATGCAGCCAAAAAACACATGAAGAAATGCTCACCATCACTGGCCATCAGAGAAATGCAAATCAAAACCACTATGAGATATCATCTCACACCAGTTAGAATGGCAATCATTAAAAAGTCAGGAAACAACAGGTGCTGGAGAGGATGTGGAGAAATAGGAACACTTTTACACTGTTGGTGGGACTGTCAACTAGTTCAACCATTGTGGAAGTCAGTGTGGCGATTCCTCAGGGATCTAGAACTAGAAATACCATTTGACCCAGCCATCCCATTACTGGGTATATACCCAAAGGACTATAAATCATGCTGCTATAAAGACACATGCACACGTATGTTTATTGCGGCACTATTCACAATAGCAAAGACTTGGAACCAACCCAAATGTCCAACAATGATAGACTGGATTAAGAAAATGTGGCACATATACACCATGGAATACTATGCAGCCATAAAAAATGATGAGTTCACGTCCTTTGTAGGGACATGGATGAAATTGGAAACCATCATTCTCAGTAAACTATCGCAAGAACAAAAAACCAAACACCGCATATTCTCACTCATAGGTGGGAATTGAACAATGAGATCACATGGACACAGGAAGGGGAATATCACACTCTGGGGACTGTGGTGGGGTCGGGGGAGGGGGGAGGGATAGCATTGGGAGATATACCTAATGCTAGATGACACGTTAGTGGGTGCAGCGCACCAGCATGGCACATGTATACATATGTAACTAACCTGCACAATGTGCACATGTTCCCTAAAACTTAGAGTATAATAAAAAAAAAAACATTAAAAAAAAAAATAAAAAAAAAAAAATAAACAAACAGGGAAGTAGACCCACTCAACCCATTATTCTAACTCTTCATCAAAAATTCTTAAGTCTCATTTGGGCCCATACATTTTGTAATACATTTTAATCAAATATTTATATAGTCAGGAGCCCTACAGAACATATTTTCCCAGGGTCCTACATACCCTACCAGTGGCCCTAGCTGACTAAATATGTGTGGATCTGTTTCTGGACTCTAGTCTATTCCACTGGCCAATATGTCTCTCCTCTCATCAACATTACATTGGCTTAATTATTATAGCTTTATAATAGGTCTTGACATCTACTTATGTAAAATCTTCAACTTCATTTCTTCTCTAACACAGTCTTGAATATTCTTGGATGTTTGCACTTCTGTATAAATTTTACACCAATTGTCTTCTCTCCTTCCACATACACAAACATGCACACACAAACATGCTGGGAAATTGATTGGGATTTTATTGAATCTAAAAATCAATTTGGGGGGAATTGCTATTTTTACCATATTGAATCTTCCAACCCATCAACATCATATATCTTTCCATTTATTCCAGTCTTCATTAAATGCCCTCAGCAACGTTTTATAGTTTTTGGTTTTCAGGAAAAAAATTAAATTAATTCCCAACTATAATAATGTCTAACACTTGGGTGTATTTTATTTTAAATTTCTTTTAGATTTTATTGTTAAATGTATAATATATGATTGATAAATATATACATATATACAAGATTTTGGGTTTTTTTAGTCTTCCATATATAATGTAAATATATGTACATATAAGTGTTATAAATAGTATCTTCTTATAAAATTAAGGTTACATTTTATGTAATGTTTCATTATGTACTTCTACTTCACATTAATCAACATTTTCTCACATAGCTAAATGTTTCTTAAAATACTTTTTAAAAAATTTCTGCATAGTATTTCATCATATTAATGTACCATAAATTATTTTAGCCAATGTTCTATTTTGGGTTACTTAGATTAATCCAATTTGAAAATGTAAATATTTCAACAAAAAACATCCATATATATAAATCTTTGTACACATCTCTAATTAGTTCTTTTGGATAAATTTCTAGAAGTGAAATGACTAGATCCAACGATATAAATTTTTCAAGATTTGGATATACATTGCCAAGTTGCCCTTCAGGTAGATGCTGGGTTACATTCCCACCAGCAGACTAAAAGCTGATTGTTCATTCTCTTCCTCATTAATATTGGATATTAAATTATTCTGCCAATTTGGTGGAGAAAATGTTTTAATTTATATTTCTTTGATTACAAGTAAAGTTGAAATATGTATTTTTATATGTTTCTTGGGATTTTTATATTTTTTCTTTTATAAATTACTTGCTTACGTCTTTTGCCAATTTTTCTATTTAGGTGTACGTCTTTCTGGTTAGCACTTCGTTTATGTTAACGATATGATATCCATTACTCATATAAGTTTTAAACATTTATTTTCAGTTTATTTGTTTTGTAATTTTGCCACTGTTTATTTAATGTATAAATTTAAACTGTCATAAAGTCAAATATTTTTCAGTGTTCAGTTCTTTTTCATTTGTGCTTAGGAAAGCCTATCTTACTCCAATACCAAATTTAAAAATAAAAAAAAAAAAAAAAAAAGAAGTGGATATATGGGTGTTTTTCTTTCATAGGGGCAGAGGCTTGTGGAAATTTTGGGTATGGTAGCCAAGCAAGATGTATTAATAAAAATAAGCTATGCTATGCTGTAGCACTAAATCTAGATGTTAGTGGTTTAGCCCAACAAAAGTTTAGCTTTTGTTCAGAATAAGTCTGATATAGGTGGCTCATCGTGTCATCTAGTGACTCAGGATTCCAGGCTTCCTACATATCGTGATGCCGCCACAGAGACATTGTTTCTAGGGGCAGAAAGAGATAAAGGTAGATCAGTATTCAGCAAGTTTCTTGGCCTGGAAGTGGCACATCACTCCTACATACATCCCACTGGCCAAAACTAAGTCATATGCTCCCACCCTAACTACAAGGGAATCCAGGAAATGTTCTTTTGTCTGCCCAGGAAGAGGAAATGGTGCAGTGATCATTCCATTTTTGTTTCCTGCCACACAAGACTTCACTGAAAAAGTGACATTTGAGTCAAGTCCTGAGAAATTTTCTCAGAAGTTTTGCTCTGTTTTAAGATCTATTTATTTCAATTATATTATTACTCACAACTTCCTTCCTATTGAAAACTTGCAGTCATCTTGCATTTTTTTCATCTTCCCTAGCCAAGCAATCAAAAGCCTATTTTGTGGCTATGGTATTGCAGTGATCTCCTAGATTCTCTTTCTTTCTCAATCTCCACTATTCAGTCCCCCGGCCATCTTCCCTGCTGTAGTTGGAATGAAAGTTCTCAAACAAAACTGCTATTGATTTTTAATTGTCCTTAAAAGATGTTTTATTGATATAACAAACTCAATTCTAAGTATGCATCTGTGATTTTCCCACTACGATTATTTGTACATGACTTAAAAGTTATAACAAAGAGCAAGTTTGGAGAAAATATAAACATTTAAGTACAAATGAAATACCTTCTAATAAAAATTTAGCTATTTATTTAATCATTGCCAACACTATAAACTAAATTTTCTATAAGAATTAGAGATCTTCTGTCTTTTGTGTTTGATTATGGTTTCATTTTTATATCAGCACTTTGCAAGCTTCCCTCAGCTCTTAAACTTTCTGCCCATAATTTACCAGAAAGAAGACATCACCTGCTTTCTGAGCACTTTGTAAACAGATCTCAGAACCTCCTTTCTAATTCTGCCTTCCTACATATACCATTTCTTCCCCTTCCCCTCTCTCTTCCTCCCTCCATTTTATTGTCATAGAGAAAACAATTTTAGTTCATGGAATTTTTAAAAATTTTTCTCAGAGAAATCTGAGCTTGAAGGAGAAAAAAATATATATTATGAGAGACCCCCGTGCTTGTAACTAATGTGTGGCTCTCTAGCAAGTCTCTTAGAAATCAGGCAATTCCCTACCCTTTGATGTCAGCCTCTTAGTAAAAACCTTCCAAGTTACTTCCATTGGTTTGGACTTGAATATAATTACTCTCAAAAACACTGGCAGTATTAGGTCTGGTTTCTAGTTTGTGAGCTTTTAGAAATTAGGGACTGTCTTATTCATTTTATATTCCTTTTACCTCAGTGCATGCTATGACTCGATATTCAATAAATGTTGAATAAATTAATGAATGAATGCTAGAGTCCTCTTAAAATATCCTTATTAGTTTTGCTTCTGAAGATCTAAGAACATTTTAAAATAAAAATTTATGACCAACAATACATGTTAATATTTGAATTCTGAAGATAACTCTGTTAGAGCTTATGTGGGTAGAGGAGAACCCATGGTGTGTGTAAATACATCTGCTTTTTCTGGTATCACTATTTGCCTGAGCTATCCCCTGAATAAAGGGGTGAAATTGTGGAAAG